>NC_000008.11:139037078-139339156 GCF_000001405.40 Homo sapiens | reverse complement strand
TCAGCTCCTTCTCTCCTGCTCCCTACCCGGCATCCCTCTGACTGCTTGGCCCTGCTTCTCCTTCTTTCAAATACTTGGCTACATCGCTCTTTTCTCCTCCAGCCCACAGGCAATGTCGTTAAAACTCCCCTTTAGGGTTTCCTCTGGGTGCCAGATATGAACTCTCTGAACTCTGCTTCTCCATCCAGGTCCATTCACTCACAGTCATTCTCATCAGAAACTCACTGTCCCCCAACATGGCACCCCTGGGCTTCCAGGCTCTCCCCTGGAATGTCCCTGCCCCTTCTTTACTCTCTGAACTTTTACTCAACCTTCAACACCTGGCCACTTATCCTCTGAATCCCAGGATGATTGTTTTGTTCTCTCCCAGCCCCTCTGTGGCCCCTGTTGTCACCTGCAGAGAACCACACAAGAGGCTCTAGGGTCGTTTTCTGTTCACCGCCCATGTCTCTCCCTACACTGTCAGCTCCCTGAAGGCTGGAGGCATCTGTACGCCACAGGGCCCAGCACAGGTGCACACTTAGTACAGGTTCAGTAAAAGTTTATCACACTATGAGTGTGAGAGCCAATGAATCAATGAATGAGCACAACTCTAAGGGGGCATAACCCCCATCAGTTGCAGCTCAGCAGGCTGAAGGGTAAGCCCACCACCCTCTAGGAAGCCCTTTCCTGTGCTGCAAGAACAATAATAAATGCACACAAATATCATTTTGTCTTCATCCTTCTGCTCCCATGTGAGGCAGCCATAGAGAGCAAACTCATAACACTACATGCATTCCAATTACCAGCCTGGGGACCAGAAACCGAAGGGTGTATCTGCTCCCTGCCATTGTGAGCAAGTGAACCAGTAATAAATCCCCAATTAGCAAGAAGGAAAATGGATGGAACCTGTTTTCCTTCTTCCTTCACTTTTGTTTAGTGATCCCTGTAAACAGGGTTGTGTGGCTGGCATCCAGGAGGAAAGAAAATTGAATTTAAAGTCATATTAAAGTTGCCAAGATTAACGTCATGCCAGGTAAGCAATGAAAAAACACATTAAAAGGCTACAAAAATGCCTCTACTCTTAAGCCTGAAGAAGTTATCTTCCTACGGGCATATGTATATATCATGTAGATCCATTTACAGTAAACAGATATAGAAACATAGGCCTTACATGGCAGCATGCCACCTCTATTCTCATATGTAACGATGTCATTCATAGCATACCTGCTTTGAGCATAAAATACACATGGGTATATCATATCTTAGAGAACACAGTGTGTAGAAACACTCTACAAATACATGGGAAGAACCGAAACAGTCAAAGGCAGGCAGACCTGTCTTCAGCATCAGACAACTAGCAACTCTGTGACCCTAGAGGCTGGACTAAAATGTTTACTTTCTCCAAAACCCACGGTCCTTATTTTTAAAGTGGTGATGCCAATCATAGATTTGTTAGAATTTTATGAAATGCTGCACATGAAACATTAGCATAGAAACTGGCACCTACTAAATATTCAATTAAAAATCATGGCTATATTTATCCACATCTATGGTATATATGTGTGTAAGTACACATGGATACATGTGTACATCTATTCAGACACATGTGCCTTGCCTATAAGGAAGAGTTACTTTGTGTGTGTGTGTGTGTGTGTGTGTGTGTGTGTATGGAGGGTATATATACGCATAAATTTGGTTTAAAATAACACTTTTAACAGTGTTTTTCCCACATATTTTTATACTTATTTTCCATCTAGCTATGATTCAAATCCAAGTTTGGTATCTGGATTTAGACAGATCTGGATTCATATTGTGTTTTTACACAGCTCTGCAAGACTCTTGACCTCTTTGAGCTTCTGTCTTCTCCTCTGTAAAATGGGGGAATTAGGAAACTTAGTTCAGAGAGTGTTTTAGGGATTAATAAAGTAATTTAGTAGTTTGTTCACCTATTCCAAAAATGTTCCTTTGGTGCCTCCTTTCCCCAAGCAATGAAGGTGCAAAGAAAATGAGACGGGGTCCCAGCTCTCAAGGTGCTCACACTATGGGCAGAACGAGCTTGCAGATGTGCCACTTGCTATAATCTATTGAGTGCCCAGAGCCTGGCCCCTACTGTGTAGGGAGTGCGAGGAGAGGAGTCGCTGACTTATGCTGATTTACACTGAAAAGTGGTCAAAAGCAGGTGAGCCTGGTAAGATTCTGTCTTAACAGCCATTCTTACTGATGAATCTTAAAGTTGCCTAACTCCATGTTTCCCTTCTCTATAAAACAGGGGGAGATGTTGTAAGTGGCCCCATAGGTGGTGGGAGACCATCATCTTTTCAGGATCATCTTTTGAATTTTTGTAAGCCTCTTGACTGGTCTCCCTGCTTGCACCCTGGTCCCAACACTTGGCTTCAACCCAGGAGCCAGTGATTTCTATAAAACGTAAGTCTTATATCATGTAATGCCTCTGTTCATACTGCTCCAGTGGCTTCTTACATCTACTAATATACTTTCCCTCAAGTTATCATCCATTTCTTTAACTTTCCCCCTCTAACTACCATTCTATCCTTGCTCATTTAGCTCTAGCTACCCTGGCCCGCTCCTTGTTCCCAGAGCTAGCTGAACGTACTGCCACCTCAGGGCTGGTTCTGTCCTCTCTATCTGCTACATCCTCCACTGTAAACACCCAAAGTCCACAGAGATGGTCGCAGTTACCTTCATGCTGTTCTCATGCTAGTGAGTTCTCATGAGATCTGATGGTTTTATAAAGGGCAGTTCTCCTGCATATGCTCTCTTGCCTGCAGCGATGTAAGATGTGCCTTTGCTCCTCCTTCGCCTTCCACCGTGATTGTGAGACCATCCCCCGAGCCATGTGAAGCTGTGAGTCCATTAAACCTCTTTTTCATTATAAATTACCCAGTCTCGGGGATGTCCTTACAGCAGCCTGAGAACAGACTAATACAGATGGCTTCCTCCCTGCCTTTGGGTCTTTCACAAGAGTGGAGAATACCTATCTTTGGTGATGGTTTCCAGAAAAAGAGGCTGAGAAGAACGTTTGCACTCAGGAAGTTTACTCAAGACTTCTGGCAGGAATAACACCTCTAAGAGTGTGAGGGAAGCCAGAAGAGGCAAAGTGAGGTGTTGAACCACAATGTAGTTGCATGAGAGGCCTCAACTGGCCCTGCAAAAAGATCTGTAGCAAGTGATGGCCCCTCAGTACAAGGCATGGGGTCCGGGCCTTTGTACCCCCATGTCCACTAGGTATTAGAGACTGGTGCTGGGAAGGGCTTGTGCCTTGGGGTAGGCAGCTCTCTCCAGGTGAGGAGGATCAAATAATCCATGAGCCTTCTGACAGTGGTAAATAAGTCCTGGCCTTTCGTCTCCTCTGGTCATAAAGGAACGCCTTAAAAGTGGCCATATGTGTGAGCTGAGAGAGGGGCCCTGGGTAACATGCACCCAGGCTGGATGACATGGACCATTGTTTAGCGGGCTTTACTTGTATCCTCTAGCCCTGCTAGAGGACACAATCCTGTATGAGCAACTTCCATCAGTGCTTCGGCCCTGCCTACCATGACTTGGAGGGCCTGGTGCAATCCATGTATCTAAGGGAAACTTTGGCCACAGAGTTTGTTGTTGCCCTGTGATCAGGTATTTCTTTTCTATCAGGGCCAAATTCTATCCCAGGGTCTGTTTATTGGCATGGTCTTGCTCCATACACAATGTCTACTCTTATATGGCCTGTGATTCTCCTACTAGGACTTGCCATAGCCTCACATGGCATCTTTTCCTGCCAAGGATACCTTTAGTACCTTAGGGTCTTCCAATTCATAGGGCCCAAGTGGCAGGGCACTGGTACAGCAGCCTGGACCGGCTTCAGAGCACTTTCCTGGTCTTGGGCCACTCAAAGCTGGCAGCCTTCTGTGTCACATGGTAGATAGGCTGGAAGGGTACTCTGAAGTGCATGATATGCACTTCCTCTAGAACCCGATGAAGACTACTGGACATTATGCTTGTAGTGGTGGGAAGTCCAGATGCAATAATTCAGCATTTTCTTTGATGGGAAAGTCCCAGAATACCCCAGACCGCTTGACTCCCTAAAAATGTCACTGATATGGCAGACCCTTAAATCTTAACATGGTTTATTTTCTGCTCTTTAGACCACATTTCTTACACAGATCTTCACCATTCTTGCTATATCTTGCTATCCAATTAGCAAGATGTCATTGATGGATTGAGTTAATGTGATGTCCTGTGGAATGTACAGGTAGTATGGGTCCCTTCAGATTGTAATGTTTTAGCCCTGCGCAAGGCTGTCTTGCTGTAATTATAGGCAGGTGTCCTTCTCAGATGATTCAGAACAGGTTTTAGCTGTCATCCCTTATAGGACAGAGAAAACCAAAACAAAGGGCCACATGCCATGCACCTGAAGTACCACTAAGGGCAGGAAAAGTCAACCCACAGGCTGGGAGAAAATTATGAAGCCTGTATCTAACAAGGAGCTCATATCGAGCAGATTAAAAAATACTCTCCTAAAATCAATAAAAGTAGAAAGTAAGCTCTATAGAAATGTGAGCAAAAGACTTTGACAGAGACTTCATAAATGACTAGCAAACATAAGAAAAGATGGTCAACTTCGTTACTCATCAAGGAGATAAAAATTAAAGACACTATAACACCACATACACACCAGGAAAGGCTAAAATGATTAATACTGGCATTACCAGTTGTTGATACCGATGTAGACCAACTGGAACTTTCATAGGTTACTGTGGGAGCATAAGCTGGTTCAACCATTCCACACATCGACATACTTTATGACTCAGCTGTTCTAGTCTAACGTATGTTCCTGAATTATGTGTGTGTATATATGTCATATATATACACATCATACATATATACTTACACACTCACAATATATATTCACATATATTTGACACACACACATATATATGTCAAATCATAATAACAATCATTTTCAAAGCAGCTACTTTTTGTAATTGCCCCAAACTGGACATTTACAACTCAAATGAGCATCTGCAGTAGAATGGATAAATAAGGTGATAGGCTTATTAAATAGATTTTGTACTAAAATGAGAATGAATGAGCTATAACTATAGACAACATTATGGATAAATTTCACAAATGACTTTGAGGAGAAAAAAAACCCATACACAAATGAAAACATACTCTGTGATTCCACGTGCATAAAGTTAAAAAATATGCAAAACTCATCGATGGTGTTTGAAATGAGCAATGTGAGTACACTTGGGGGATGAATAGTGATTAGAAGGGGGCATGAGGCATTTTTTAGATTCTGCTAATGTCTTCTTTATGTGAGTGTTGATAACACATGTGTTTGGTTTAAAATATTTTATTGAGCTAGATATTGTTCACTTTTTTGTATATAGGTTGCATCCTGATAAAATCTGCTGTTAAAATGTGACCTTCTTACTGCATAAAGTTATCGTGCACTCTCCTGCTTTACTCCTTGCAGTGGTTTTATTATACTTAATAACATAGGTAAACCCACTGGTCAGGTCTCTACTGCTTTGCAGGGCTCCGTGCAGCCTGACTCGGAATAATGAAGGCAGCAGAAGAGGTCAGGCTCTGGAATACATTGGCTGACTTGGAATTCCAGCTCTCCCATGCATTAACTGTGTAGCCGAGTTACTTAACGTCTCTGTATCTCAGTTTACCCTGTTGTGAGATTAACTCTCAGAGTTATTATGATGACTAAAGTGAGATACTACATGCTAAGAAAATGTCAGTTCATAGTAAATACTCAATTAATATAACCAGCCTGGTTTCCTTTCCTGGTTTCCTTTCCTTTTCCTGAACACATCAAGCTTTTTTTTTCCTCTCCGAAGATCTTCACAGTCTGTTGCCTCTGCTTGGAATCTTCTCACCCCATATCAAAAGCAAATCTTGTGGAAGAGTAGTTTCCTCTTGACAAATAGTTCACAGAGGCTAAATAACGTATCCAAGGTCATATGGTTTGAGTGGCAGAATTTAAACTTGAACTTTCATCATTGGTGTTCTAGTCCAGTGCTCTTTCTGTAGTCACATGTTCATTCCTTGAAGGAAAAGACAAGTCCAACTTGTTTTTATAAATTTTCTTGTGGCTTAAAAAAGCATAGGAAGAATTTTGATGAATTGAACAGCTTTCTTGAATTGACATGGTCCCTGAATGAGCTTTCTGTTTGGTTTAGGAAACAATATGTAAACCCTCAAAATAAAATTACAAATTTATGTTTCAATGCCACAATAGAAGAGGTTTCATGCAGCATGATTAATTGCCATGTGACTGATACAGACAATGTTCAAGTTCAGAGCAATGAGAAATCTGTGTGGGCTGGGCTGCTCAAGGAAGATTCCCTAGAGGGGTTGGGACACTGAACTACATAGGATGAGGAGGAGCTGGAAGGGAACCTCAAGGGAAAACAACTTCAGACAGTTAACTAACATGAAGCAAGTAAGTCCAGTGGGGTATTGTTGGAATAGTGCAGGAACTAGTTTGGCTGGAGCCAAGTATTTACCCCAGAGAGTAGATGGGAGATTTGGTTGGGAAGTAGGAGGAAGCCTAGTTCTTGGAGAAAGGTTGGATGATGGAAAAAGAAGTTTAACATTATTGTTGATTTGTACATTTTTGTTTTATTTTATTTTTCTATCTTTAACCGGCTGTACTGAGGTAAAATTGACATGCAAAAAAACAGTACATGCTTAATGCATACGATTTGATGAGTTTGGACATATGCATGCACCTGTGTGATACTATCGTTACAATCAAGATACCACACATATCCATCACCTCCAAAATTTCCTGTTGTCCCTATATAGATATGTATGTGTGTGTGTGTGTGTGTGTGTGTGTGTGTGTGTGTGTGTTGGGCAGGGGGGGTAAGAATGCTTAACTACTCTCCCAACAAATTTTTAGTGCACAATACCATGTTGTTAATACAAGCACTGTGTTGTACAGCAGCTCTCTAGAACTTACTCACTTTGCATAAATGAAACTTTGTATTCATTGAACAACTCCTTATTTCCCCTCCCTGCCTTCTAGCTCCTGGAAGCCACCATCCTATTCTCTGCTTCTGTATATTGACTATTCTGAATACTTTATATAAGTGGAAAGCCTTCTTGACATTAGTCTTGGCAATGATTTCTAAATATAATACCCAAAGCAAAGGCAATAAAATCAAAAATAGATAACTGGGACTACATCAAACTAAAAAGCTGCATAGCCAAAGAAACAAGAGTAAACTGAAAATCTATAGAATGGGAGAAAATATTTGCAAACCATTTATCTGGTAAGAAGTTAATATCCAAAATATATTAAAAAATTTCTATAACTCAATAGCAAAAGCAAAACAAGAACCCAAATAAACTGATTTTAAAATGGGCAAAGGACTTCAATAGACATTTCTCCAAAGAACACATACAAATAGCTACCACATATTAATATATGGCAACGTGCTCACTATCACTAGTTATCAGGGAAATGCAAATCAAAGCTACAATGAGATATCACCTTATACCTGTTAGAATAGCTATTATTAAAAAAAAAAAGCAAAAGGTAAGAAGTGTTGGTAAGGATGTGGAGAAATTTTAACCTTTGGACACTGTTGGTGGGAATGTAAAATGGTATAGCCACTATTGGAAACAGTATGGAGGTTCCTCAAAAAATTAAAAATAGAATTCCCATAGGATCCAACATTTTTACTTCTGGGTATCTATACAAAAGAATTGAAAATAGGAATCTGGAACAGAAATTTGCATGCCCATGTTCATTGCAGCATCATTCACAATAGTCAAGATAGGAAAACAACCCAAATGTCCATCAACAGATGACAGATAAAGAAAATGTGGTATATACATATAATGGAATATATTTGCTATGGTTTCAATAGCAAACTCATATTGCTATATATTCAATACCAAAACTCACAGTGAAACTTAATTCTCAAAGTGGTAATGTTGAGAGGTGGAGCCTTGAAGAGAGATTGGATCATGAGGGCATGAATGGATTAATCCATTCATGGATTAATGAGCTATCATGGGGAGACAACCGGTGACTTTATAAGGACAGAAAAACATGAGCTAGCATATTATACAGTATGCTCAGCTGACTCACCACATGATGCCCTTCCTGCCTCAAGACACCTCAGAGAGTCCCCAGCAGAAAGAAGACCCTCCCCAGGGGTGGCCCCTTGACCTTGGGCTTCCCAGCCTTCAAAACTATAAGGAATAAGTTCCTTTTCTTTATAAATTACTCAATTTTAGGTATTCTATTATAAGCAACAGAAAATGAACTAAGACAATTATTCAGCCTTAAAAAAGAAGGAAATCCTATTATTTGCAACAACATGGATGAAGCCCGAGGGCATTATGCTAAGTGAAATAAGACAGTCTTAGAAGGACAAAAATGATTCTTTCGTTTGTGTTAATTGAAGCTTCAAACAGATCACATTACAAAGTCTGGTCCTGATTTGAGTATTGGTGGAAAAGTAGAGGTGAATTGGGCTGAAGTGACTTTTGCTTGGCATTACAACTAAACCTGCCACAAAGCAATGCAAAGGTGTACCTAGAACAATAGTAACTTACAGTTGATGAATGTAGGCTATGTTCCAGGTATACAATACTTCACATATTACTATTATTTTTTAGTTCTTATTTCAGCCTTATGAGATTAGGTAGTGTAGTAATGAAGAGAGTTGATGTTGGGACGTGGTTGCTTGGGTTAAATCCTGGCTTCACCACTTACTAATTTCCCCAGTTGTTGCATCCTGAATCCAACCACAGCTTTTTTACTGAGACCACATTTCCTATGAGCTTCTCCCAGCTCATTAGTGAGGGTTGCAGGAATTCCACTGCAGGTGCATTCCTGCAAGAGGCGCCACTCCTCCGATGGGTAGTGCTGGCTGGAGAGCATGTGTTGCCTGGCCTAATTTTTCTTATAACTGTGCTGCAGTATGAACCTCTTCCTGCCTCAGCTACAGTAATGGAAGACAAACTGGCCCTTGTGCTTTTTTTTTTTTTTTTTTTTGTTTGAGATGGAGTCTCGCTCTGTTGTCCAGGCTGGAGTGCAGTGGCGCAATCTCAGGTCACTGCAAACTTTGACTTCCTGGTTCAAGTGATTCTCCTGTCTCAGCCTCCCAAGTAGCTGAGATTATAGGCACGTGCCACCACGCCCAGCTAATTTTTGTATTTTTGGTAGAGATGGGATTTCACCATGTTGGCCAGGATGGGCTCAATCTCCTGACCTCGTGATCCGCCTGCCTCAGCCTCCCAAAATGCTGGGATTACAGGCATGAGTCACTGCGCCCAGCCGCCCTTGTACTTTTAACAATGAAACCTAAGTGAGAGAATTTAAGATCTAAATACTTGTGAGATATACCAAATTCATAATTGGAAAACTCAGTTTGGTCAATCCCCAAATTATCTGGAGATTCAATGCAATCTCAAAAAGTCATAATTTATGTGGAAATGCAAAGGACCTAGAATAAACCTAGACAAACTTGAAAAATAAAGTTGGGGGACTTATTGTACATTATTGTCAGACTTATTTTAAACCTAGAGTAGTTAAGACAGCATGATATTGGTATAAGGATAATACACAAATGGAAAAGAAGAGTGTCCAGAAATAGACCCACACATATATTGTCCCCATAGGCTTATAATATTATTGGCCATATTATCTGCTTTGTGAAATACTAATTCAAGTCTATGTCCATTTTTTATTGTTGCTTATTTGCATATTAATTTGTAAATATTACTCATACCCATGAAAGTATCTCAGCATTTCACTGAACAAGAGATTTTTTTTCAATAAATGATGCTGGAACAACTGGCTATCTATAAGTAAAGCAACAAACCTTGATTCCTACCTCACACCATACATGAAGATAACTTGAAATAAATATATCCTAAACCTTCATGTAAGATGTAAAATATAAAGCTTTTAGAATAAAACAAAAGAGAATATGTTCATAACTTTGGGTTTCTTGAACAGAACACAATAAAGCATTAACCAAAAATGAAAAAATACATATATAATCATTTATATATACATGATTTAACTTATGTGTGTGTATACATACAGTCATACATCGCTTAATGGTGGACATCCGTTCTGAGAAATGCATCATTAGGTGATCTTGTCATTGTATGAACATGGTAGAGTGCACTTACACAAATGTAGATTGTAGAGCCTACTATTCTCCTAGGTTATATGGGGTAGCCCATTGCTCCTGTGCTACAAACGTGTATGGCATGTTACTGTACTGAAACTACAGGCAATTATAACACAATGGTAACTATTTGTGTATCTAAATGCACCTAAAAATGGAAAAGGTACAGCAAAAATATGGTATTATAATCTAATGGGACCACCATCATATATGTGGTCCATTGTTGAGCAAAATATGTGGTGCATGTCTGTACACACACACACACACATACAAACACACATATATGAAGTGCTCTGCTCAAAGACATAAATAAATCAGAAAAAAAAAGACAAGCTGCAGATGAACAGAAGATTTATAATACATATATCTGACAGGGAAATATTTCAAATATATGACTAAGACCTACAAATTAATATGAAAATAGACAACAGTAAAGAAATGGACAAAGATTTGAATTAGTACCTCACAGAGCAGGATATGCAAATGGCTAATAATATGATAAAGGTGTCAAACACCATTATTTTTCAGGGAAATACAAGTTAAAACGATTTTAGACAATAGTTTGGCATTATCTATTAAATCTAAGCACATACCTATTCTATGACCTAAGACTATTACTACTAGGTATATACCCAAGAAAAATAAATACATATGTCCATATAAGAAGAAATGTACACAAATGTTCATAGTAGCTTGATTTACAATAGAATAAATGGAAGCAATGGAGATGTCTAATAGAATGAAGGAAATTAATTGTGGTATATTTATATGTTGGGAAACTGTATAGTCATTACCAGAAGAACAGACTTCTCTTACCAGGAACCTTATGAAGAATTTCACAGCCAGTATCTTCTTCTTTTTTTTTTTTTTTTTTGTTACCGAGTTTCCCTCTTGTCACCCAGGCTGGAGTGCAATGGCGTGATCTCGGCTCACCGCAACCTCCGCCTCCCAGGTTCAAGCGATTCTCCTGCCTCAGCCTCCTGAGTAGCTGGGACTACAGGAGCACGCCACTATGCTTGGCTAATGTTTGTATATTTAGTGGAAACGGGGTTTCACCATGTTGGCCAGGCAGGGCTTAAACTCCTGACCTCAGATGATCTGCCTGCTTTGGCCTCTCAAAGTGCTGGGATTACGGTCGTGAGCCACGGCGCCTGGCCACAGCCATTATCTTGAGTGAGCATGAGGAAAGCTTTTGGCCTACAAGGTAGAGGTTACACAGGTGAATTCCCCTTGTGACAATTATTGAGCTAACACTTAGGGCTTGTACAGCTCTCTATATGATGCACGATTGCCATGGGTTGAGTCAGTCAGAGGCTGACACTGAGATCAAGTTTTGAAGTGAGACGTTTATAAGGAATCACACCAGTGAAAGGAAGTGTTAAGAGAAGAATTAGATAGAGGTAGAAGATGGACAGCAATACAAGCCCAATGCAGCCTCCTCAATGCAGTGGGGCAATGGGTGCAGGCATGGGGATGGGTAATCCTCAGCTGGGGGTGCCATGTAACCAAATCCCACAGACTGTGTGGCTTATACAACAGATATTTATTTTTCTCACGCTTCTAGAGGCTGGATGTCCAAGATCAAGGTACCAATAGGGTTGATTCCTTCTGAGGCCCATCTCCATGGTTTCAGGTGGCCATGTTTTCCCTGTCCTTCACCCAGTCTTCCCTCTATACCTGTCTGTGTGTCCTAAACTCCTCTTTTATCAGAACACCACTTAGACTGCATTAGGGCCCACCTTAACTGCCTCAATCACCTCTTCGAAGGCCCTATCTCCACGTACAGTCATATTCTGAGGTCCTGGGTGTTAGGGCTTCAACATATGAATTTTGGGGAGACATAATTCAGCCCATAAGAAGAACCTTCCCATCTCTCTTTCATTCATCTGTTGGGCCTCTGCAATGGACCATGCTGAGCAAAGTTGGGATGCCAAGTCCAGAAATTGGGCAAGGTGTTGTGATTCAGCCTCCTGGTCATATATCCTTAGTTTGTTCTGCTGGTACAAGCTGGCTGGACCCCTAGTTGGCTGCTGATCTATTTTGCCACTAGGAATGCCATGCTCTGTCAACCATCTCCACAGTTCTCTGAGGGTCCAACCCCATTAAGAGCCACCTCAGCCTTGCCAGTTATTGTGATGATTGTGACCCCCTGCTTTATGGTGGTCAAGTGCTGTCACATGACCCCAAATATTTCAAGGGTTCCATTATCACTGTTGCTATCAGTGAGCCAAGTTCTATAACAGCCTCTCCTTCCATGTTATAGGGGAGAAGCACTATTGGCATTTTTGGAACATGGTGCCCCTGCTACTGTCACATGCCTTATTGCCTTAGGAAGTGCTGTGTCTCCTCTAGGCCTGCTCTCGGAGTGTTGTCTTCTGGTGGGTCTTCTGTCTGTACACCATGTGTACACTCCAGCATGCACCTGCTTACTGAACCTTTCACCCTTTCCCTCCACGGTCAGCCATTAGCATCCTGACATTGCAGTGTTGTTTAGTGGGGGTTGTCATGTTCTCCAGGTGTCTCAGAGCCATCCTTGCTGGCTTATGCTGTGCCTTAACCCTAGTTATGAGCCTAGTGGCCAGGAAGGGAGATAGGGGTGGCCCCTGAGGGGTAATGTGTTGCCTTAAGGGCAGAGGTCTCTGCACTGTCCTCCAGCATGGGGTGTGTTGTCTTACAATAGGGAGGGGTGGCCCATGTCTGCAACCTCAGAAGATTCAGAGCAGTTTGAAAAGTCCAAATCTTTAAGGAACCAAAGGGACCGGGGACCAGGGGCCAGGGACCCAGGTTCTCCCAGTTAGCCTTACAAACCTAGCTTGCTGGAGCCTTGAACAGTCTTTGAAGTTCAGCTGCCTCTGACTATTAAGTCTTGAACTTGGTCCTTGGCTTTCTCTACCCTCCTGCTGCAGAAGATGAGAGTTTCTTTGCTTCTGAAAGAGGCTTTCTGGCTTCCACACCTGGCTTTCAGCTGCCCATTTCTGTTTCCAGCTATTTGTTATCTTGCTGCAGAACATCAGTGGCACCCAGCAACAGCCATTCCATATGCCTATTCTTATTTTATTTTTTTTTGAGACGGAGTCTTGCTCTGTCACCCAGGCTGGAGTGCAGTGGCGAGATCTCTGCTCACTGCGAGCTCTGCCTCCTGGGTTCACGCCATTCTCCTGCCTCAGCCTCCTGAGTAGCTGGGACTACAGGCGCCCGCTACCACTCCTGGCTCATTTTTTGTATTTTTTTTTTTAGTAGAGACAGGGTTTCACCGTGTTGGCCAGGATGGTCTCGATCTCCTGACCTCATGATCTGCCTGCCTCGGCCTCCCAAAGTGCTGGGATTACAGGCGTGAGCCACCGTGCCCGGCCCATATACCTATTCTTATAGGTTCTTCATAGTCTCAAATGACTGACATATCCCATGAGCTAGGATATTTCCTTCCACCTGAACACCCTCTCTGGATTTTCTCAATACACTCCCAGTGGCAACTAGTACATGTTGATTTTACAGAAGAAGATGCCAAGACAGAGTGTGGGGTTCAAGATGTGTATCAGGGACCCCCATGTGTGAAAGGAGGTGTAGGAAGCAGGATTGGGAAGGGAAAGGTCACACTGCAATGAACACCCGACAGTGTTCCTTGTCAACCCTTGGAGCTGTTGCTACTGCCCAGCCTTCTCCCCATGATCTCTAATCTTCCTGTGGGTTCCTTTCAAAAAAGGGAGGGAGGGAGACTTTGGCTGACATAGGGAGTAGAGCGGGGCCACTGGAGTGTTGCCCATTGAAGTCTCCCATGGTGGGCAGGGATGTCAGGACCTTTATGCTCCTGCCTCATTCAGTCATTGAGTATGCACTGTCCTCAGAAGGACATGGCCTTAGACAAGATGGCTCTCTGCAGCTGGGGTGGACCCCAAGGGAGCTGAGAGCTACAGGCTGCCTGCTGATCACACTCCCTGGTGCTAAGCAGGAAGTCTTGCCTTGAAGACGTCTGGGGGTGCATCTCCATGTTGCCACAATGGTTTACTTGAATTACATATTTTTCTTGCCAAAAAAATTACATGTCATCACTCATCACGGTACCTGGAGTCCATATGAGGTATGCATGATGTGTGGGTTCTGTACATTCAGGCTGGAATCTTACTGAGCTCCTCTGAGGCAGAGTTTGCTGGTGATGCAGTGAGTGTTTATAGAAAGAGAGAAAAGTTTTGTCACGAGCTCTTAGAGCTGTAGGGCCCTTTTGAAGCATTTGAGAGGGAAGGTAAGAATGTCTGGAGGCAACAAGAGCAGACAGAAATCTGTCTGCTCTCAGGAAATTCTTTCGTTTCTTCCTCTCTTTCTCTCTTTCTTCCTTTTTCTACCTCCCTCTCTTTCTCCCTCCCTCCCTTTTTGGAAAGACACCCACAAGAAGATTAGAGATCATGGTAAGAAGGCTGGGCAGTAGCAATAGCTCCAAGGGTTGACAAACCACAGAAAATAAACATCATTAACTCTGCAGTGCTTCCTGACAGACCACTTGCAGGGCTGCCCAGGGTGGTGGCTCTGTGGCTACCTGTCCTGGGGCCCAGGAAGATGACAAAGCTCTTTGGAGAGGGGTGGATTTGAATAATGCCTCATCTAAATGCAGGCTTTGGCAGTGCGGGGATAATTATCCACCACCTGAGTGCTCTTCAGCCCCAGGCTTTGGTGCACAGGGCGCCAGGCGGCCAGCCAGGGAGGCTTTGGGGCCCGAGCAGCTGGTGTGAGCTTTGGGTCCCCTTGCAGCTAGGCTGGAGCTGCTGTCTGGAATTTGGCTTGCAAACGTTTTTGGAAGCATCAGAGTCAGGGATGGCTGGTGTGGCTGCCAATTCTGCCAATCAGACTAGACACATGCAATGACTGCGGGTGGCCCAGATGTGGTGGGCAGAAGGGCTGGAGCTTTGGAACAAAATAATAGTAAAGATGATGATATTTCCCAGCAGCTACTGAGCCTGCCAGGCTGCAAGCCAAGCTCGTAAAACTCCCTTCACAAGAGCTGTGATGTGAGTGTTAACCCTACTTTAAGATGAAAAATGACCAGTTTATTGAGTATTTACTACTAAGATGTACTGTGCTAGCCCTTGAGATGGGTTATCCCATTCAATACTCACAGCTCCATGATGTAGATACTATTATGGCCCCATTTAACAAGACGAGGAAATTGAGGCTTAAAGATATTAAATAAATATCCGTAATTTAGGTAGATTTTGAAACAAGGTCCATGTGATTCTGAACAACTGGAGGAAGTCAAAGTGTGGTGAAGGGTGTCATCCTGAAACCTGCTGTCCTGTGGAAGACTGCCTGGCTGAGAATGGAAGGGGGACCTCTGCTTTAAAGAGAGGCCTTGAGATAACCAGTTCACCTTTTGTCCTCTCATTTTCTTACTTCTTTAATGGCAGCAGTCCCAGCTACCCTGACATCACCAAAACTGTTACTACGCAAAGACCAAAGAAGTGTCCCCCCAGAGGAGAGGCCTGGACCCACAGAGAGACTGCTAGTGTCATAACCTCTACGTCAGCCGATGCACAAGGTGTCACACATTGGTTTGCCCTTTTAAAAATGGGGGAAGTGGGTGAGCATGGTGGCTCACGCCTGTAATCCCAGCAGCACTTTGGGAGGCCGAGGTGGGTGTATCAACTGAGGTCAGGAGTTCAAGACCAGCCTGGCCAACATGGTGAAACCCCATCTCTACAAAAATTAGCTGGGCATGATGGTGGGTGCCTGTAATCCCAGCTACTCAGGAGGTTGAGCAGAGAGAATCACTTGAACCTGGGAGGCAGAGGTTGCAGTGAGCTGAGATTGCACTGTTGCACTCCAGCCTGGGTGACAGAGTAAGGCTCCATCTCAAAAAAAAAAAAAAAAAAATGGGGGAACCAAGGGTCAGGAGTGATGGGTCCAAGGAGTATTTTCACCAAAAGGACCCAAGATAATAAAACCTTCATATGCCAAAGCATATGAGAACATGTAGAGAGATTAGGGTTGTTTATTACTATTTATAAGAAATAGGTAATGACAATAATGATGATGATGAAGACAACAAAGATGTTCATGATGATGATAAGCATGAAGGCATTGATGATGATGACATCATTAGCTAACACCAATGGCGAAGTCATTGTAAGCCAGGAGTATATTATGTAATGGAATTTTCACAACCACCATATAAAATAATCACAAGTATTACTGTTTTGACAATTTTCTTGATGGGGAAATTGAAACTCGGAGAGGTTAAGTGATTTGCCCAAGGTAGTCACAACCTATGTTATTTTCCCTAGGGAGAGTAGTGAGAGTTGGAGGGTCCCTTGCTATACACAAAAGGGCTGTCCGTAGAAGTGTGTAAGCAGGCAGCCCTTTGGAGGCGAGGAGAAGGGCATGGGGTGGAACTGGGATGAGCAGCTATCCACTCACAAAAGACAATCTCTGGCAGGTGCAGTTGTTCAGGAAGACAGTGGTCCTAGAGGAAGAGTAGTGATCATCCATCCCCTGTGGAATGTGCCTGAAGAAGGCCCTAGCACTGAGCAGGTAGGAGTTGAGAAAGGGACTCTGGAGGGTGGAGGTTAAAGTCCCTATGCCTCTTGCTCTCTGGAATTCTGTCCTAAGGTTTCAATGTCTCCAGTGAAATTTCACGTACTTTTTGCAGGAAGCAGAATTGGGGTTAATCTTTCCCACAAAAAGGCAACCATTTGCATGTTCTCTCAGGGAAAATGCAACATTTGCAAAGTCAAATCTGATTATGACACACAGACTTTCTTAGGGAAACAGTGATTATCCATCAAGATGAAAGGATAAACAGAGCCCAGCATCTGGAATTCTCCAATTGTTTTTCACAGCTGGGCACAGAAGTCCCCCTTTGATACCAAGCCTATTGTCTGCATGTATACATTTTCCAAGTTCTCCCCCAGTGGCCTGGCAGAAATAAATAAGAATCATTTATTTTTCAAACCTGAAATGAAAAGGAGTCTCAGTCTTCCTCTGAATTTTGGCTTAGCAAAGACTCCTGTCTAACATTGTTGTTACCCCAGGGTCTCCCCAGGGAAACAGATTTACTTCAGAGGAATTTATTGTCTTCTAAAGAAGAGGAACAGGGACCCCAGCTGAGTTGGGACATAGCTGTCAAATCAATCATGTCATAATTAGGTTAGTGGCATCAGATTTCTCACGGCTTCTCCTGTATCCCTGCTAGGACAGTGTTTCAAACCCCATAAATTCCACAGGGAGAATGGGAAAGAAAAGAAGGGTATTCTTATTCTCTTCTGTGCCATCCCCTAGAGTTTGCACATCTGCAGAGAAAGCCTCTAGAGCCCCAGGGACATATGCTTAGGTATAGCAGTGACTCTCCCCTCCTGAACTCCTGCCTGCCCTGGCCCCAGCTGAAGGATTCTGCTCTTTCAAGCACTGGTGCACTGCACTTTTGTAGCCTCTGATCTGTGACGAGAACCCAGCTTCTCCAAATTCCTCCTCATCAGTCTCTCAACCCAAAAGTCCTAGTAGGCGCCGGAAGCCAGGGCTGACCTGTTCTACTTCCTGTTCCTACTTCTCACCCCATTCTCCTCATCTCCTGTACTTTCTTCCCCCACCTGGGCTCCAGCCCTGCATTCAGGACTTGGCCCATGTCAGTCCTTCTGCTTGGATGACTCTGGCTGGACCCTTTGAAATCCTGACTTCTGCTCAAATTTCAGGCCTCACTCCAATCTCACTTCATGGAAGACATCTTGCCATGGTCACCTAACCCAAAAACGCCTGCCCCATTATTCCCTCTGGTCACACCCATATCTGCTTCCTCTTGGCACAAAGATCCTTTACAGGGACATAGGGATTTGTGTATGTTTGATGTCTATCCCCTCCAGGAGCCTCCAGTCAGCACCAGAGGGCAGGAGCCATGTCTGTCTTGTTCCTTCCTCTTTTTTCAGTGTCCTCACCTCTGATCTGCCAGGTGAGCTTGGGCGTGTAGGCTTTCCCCTGCTTCCTCTTCCATGGCGTAGGCATTATTATAGAACCTACCTCTCCTGGGGTGGTGGTATGAATTCAACTTGTTGAATGAGAGAGTGAATTGCTTTGTTGCCCATTCAGCCTCAAGGATAGAGGTAAGAAGATGGTTTCATGCCATGTTGCTCTCCTAGGGTGATCACTACTCACATAGCAGGGCTTGAGACAAATTCTACAACATCATATGGTTTAGGTGAAGGAACAGGCTTCATTTGGAAGTAGAGAGACAAATAGCAAGAGTTAGTAAGTATGGGGAAGGCAGGGACCCCTCCATCCTCCTGTCAGCCGGTTAAAATGATGAACTGCAGGGTCCAGTAAGCTGAGATGGCCCTGGTGTCTTCCCACACAAGCAAACGAAACTCAACTCAGTTGTAAACCTCAACTTAACCAATCAGAAATCACCAACCAACCTGTAACTAGAGACTTTACGCATCAGAACCTGATAACTAACCTCTAACTATGGGCTTTCTACAGTAACCAATCACATATTTTCTTTGTCTTGCTTCCATTAACACCTTATAAAAGTTCTTCCCTGTAACCCCCTTGATGGGATGCTGAACAATTTGTGATCTGGTACTACCAGATTCATGAGTCACTGAATGCTGAAATAAATGCATTAAAAATGTAATGTGCCTAAGCTTATCTTCTTTTATTATTAAAAATTTTTTATTTTAATAGTTTTTGGGGAACAGGTGGTTTTTTTACATGGATAAGTTATGTAGTGGTAATTTCTGAGATTTTGGTGCACCCATTTTCTGAGCAGTGTACACTGTATCCAACAAATAGTCTTTTATCCCTCACCCCCATCCCTGCTTCCCCCAGAGTTCCCAAAGTTCATGGCATCATTATTATGCCTTTGTGTCCTCATGGCCCTAAACTTATCTTCTAACAAGATGTGGGCCCAGACTTGGTGGGCCACACACTATGCACCAGGGTCAGCATCAGTGCATCCATGGAGGGACTTGGCCTTGACATTCTGACTTCTGACAGGACAAGAGCAAGAGCTGCTCTATCAGTGAATGGTCAAAAACCTGCTTTGGTGCCAGGGAGTCTGGCTTTGGGTACATGTTTTCAGAGTTGCCAAGGAATACCAGCTGCCGACTGCTGCAGGCCTGAGGGCATGAGGAGCTTGGCAAAACCAATAGTCCTTTGAGAAGCTGAGCCTAGTGCAGCCTCTCCCACCTGGACGAGGGCCTAGGGTCCTAGCCACACCATGGTCCAGGCAACAGAGTAAGCATCGTGTGCTATTGTAGTTACAGACAATCCCGTTCCTCACATCATAGTGGTTATTTCCCTACTCTTTATTTCCACGAGCTCCATTTTTCCAATCAATTTAGTAACCTGGGTCCATCATCATCATCATCATCATTCTCTACCTCTTCTTGAGCACTCTGTGTTGGATGTTAAGTCCACTTGGGCCATCTCTTTATCTTCACAACATCTCTGTGAAGCTCTATTGGCCTTGTTCTCTCCATTCGTTCAACACTGGCCTCTCACCTGTGGGCCCACTTGAGGCCACATGCTTCCAGTGGCCCAACACCATCAGTAAAGTTCACCACTCACCTGCTTACCTGCCTGTCTTATACTCTGAAAGAGGAGACACTTGAGGTCAGGGATAGTGTCAGAGTCTTCCTGATTCCCTATCACCCCTTGTGGGATGGGCACAGAAAGGAAGTTGCTTTGGATTCCAAGCATGTTGAGGGATCACTTTCCTGAAGATGAAAAAGGAGAGAAAGAGAGAGATCTCACAGTGAGAGGGTGACTAAAGGATGGGAAAGATGCCCCAAGAAGCCCCTCCATCTTCCTGGCTGGAGGACAGTTGCCCACAGGCCTCTGAATCCTGACCCTGATCCCATCTTCTGCTCTTCAGCCTTCCTAACCTCAGCGGCCCCAGGGCATGGCCTTCAGTGGGAAGTGAGCTTTGATCTCAGAGCCTCAAGGTCCTCTCTTCTTATGGATGTGCTGCAACCTGAGAGACCACACTGGAGAAGTGAGACCCAGGTCGAGGGTGAGTTGGAAGAATCCAAGATCGCCTGCCCTGACCTTCTGGGGAACATCACAAGGTCTCCACAGAGTCCTGGCCTGGACTTACAATTTCTGTGCCCTCAGCCCATGGTGACTCAGAGCCACTGCCAGCTCTAGGAATTTTGGGTCTCCTGGGCGATGGATCAGCCTTCAGCATCCCCACACGTCTCCATGGAGGCAGTGAGGTACTATGGGAAGGCTCCCAGGTAGGGCACCCAGATATGCGGTCAAACCTGATTCTCCTACTTGGGAATTCTTGATGTTGGGCAACTCCCTTAACTTCTGGGATCCTCAGTCTTCTCATTTGAAAAATGGATACAGCAAAGCCTTAGCCAGGCCAGGGGTAGCCAGGATGTTAAGTGAGATCACATATATCAAAACCTTTCTGATGCTTTGCACATATCAGGTGCTCCATAAATCATGATGAATTTTGTGGATTTTCTCTTCAGGCCTTGGCTGTTCCCTCCCTTGCACCTTTATCATTTGTTCTCTAGATTTTCTTCTTCACCACTCTCTGAATTATCACAAGGGAGGGAATGTACCTTTTCACATAGCAGAGACTGTATAGATCATTTTCCCAAATTTTCTTTCATTTACTTTGGCAAGAACCATGCTGAATGGAAATTATGGCCTCCCCTTTAAATGCGAGAAAATGGAAGTTAGGAGACATTAAGTAACTTTCTCAATGTCCCAAGGCCAGTTAGTGGTGAAGTCAGGATTTGAAGCCAGGTCCCATGCTAAAGACTGAATTCTTTCTATTACAACAGCCCACCTGCTTTAAGAATTGGACAACATTTAATTTATATCATTCTCTCTTCCTAGGCCAACTCAGTGTCACACATGCAGACATCAGCACTCACAGAAATACTAAAGCCAGCAGATGAGTCATTAGCAAATGTGAATAGAGGCCACGGTGGTTTTAACGTTTAGATGAGGAAAAGAATGTTGTACAATGAAATGGTTTTGGAGGCATCGTGTAGACATGGAAATGGATCTTGAAGGAAAAGAAGAATTTGTGAAAAGGGAATTTTCCATGCCTGTGGGTCATGCATGCCTACTCCCAGCTCACTTCCGATTTCTGAGCTTTGATTTCCTTACCTATTAAGAAAGGGAATTGTTTTCAAGTACAAGTTACAAGTTCAAATATATAGAAGTGTTAGTTGCTTCATAAATGTGAGAGAAGAAGCCCTGAATAGAGGCCTTAAATACCAAGTGACACTCATGGTTTGGGGGGGCTATGACAAATGAAGAGTGCCCCTTCCACAAGGGGCAGTGGCTGCAGCCTAGGGTGGGCCAGTAGGAAGATACAGAGAGTGCTGCCAGAGTGCCTTGCTTCTGAAGACAACCTTGAAATCTGGATTCTTATGAGAAGTCTTTTCATCATTGAATATTGGCCACTAAATCAATTTATTTTTTAATATCCAGGACACATGAGTCCTAATCTTCGAGGCCAGTTTGATCTCCAGGCTGCCAGTTTTTGAGTGGGACTATGTATTTCCTGTCCTAGAGGCTAGGAAATGAGCTTCTGCCAAGACGGGTTAGCTTTGAGGCCAGCAAATCTCCCACGGACCCCACTGGTCTTCTCTGCCTGTGGGGATGAGTTCATGTGTGTTCTGTTTTTGCCCTCTGGAATGCTGTGAGCAGGTGTGTGTGTACGCACATGTGTATGCATCTCCTGCTGGACACAGGTGCACAAACTCAAGCCAAAGAGATTTCCACTCTCCCCTATGTTTGCCAAGGCTCCATAATTAGTATCCAAATGGCTGCTTAATTATTCTTTCAGTTGGCTTCGGGCAGCATTTGGAGGAGCTGACACCAGGTGAGAGGGCTGTGTCTACCAAGAGCTGATATTCTAAGTGTGCTGCTCAAGCTCAGTAAATCACCTGCGCTCCAGGTGGCAACCAGGAGGGAGCGGGTCAGGAAACAGAGATCAGAGCTGAGATATGGGAGAAGGTCAAGAAAGGTGAGTGTGGGTAGCACCGTCTGCTTACCACCAGCTTTCCCTTGTCATGATGGTGATGCTAACAACATCAACATCAATAACAGTATCTCACATTTATGAATGTGTCAGTACTTGACACACATTATCATAATAGATCTTCACAACCACCTCAGGAGTTAAATGGCATTACTATTTTCAATTTATATATCACCCCATTATTGATGTGTACCCACATATTAAGCCAACCCATTCATAAACCACGCTTGGCCATTTCCACCTCTGTCAGCTGGTCAGAAGGAGCTAGGGTGTTGTTGCATGTGTGAGCTGAGGAACAGGCATTAGTGGGGGATAGTTGGGGCAAGGGGGTGGCTGGGCTGCCTGCTTGGGTTATGGGCTAATGCCTTCAGTGCTGCTCATGCCCATTCCCTCATGGAGTATCTCCCGCCCAACTTTACAACTTGATGAGTTTCATGATGGTCTGTTCTGGGAGTATCATTACTTCATGTCCCATAGATAGGCGTCTCTACCAAAGCCCAATTTCATGCCAGGGACTATGTTTTGAAAGATATGTGGTTCTCCACTAGAGATGGCATGACACTCCATTGCGGACCCAAGGGCCTTTATTGTAATTTCTCTAGGGACTTTCCACACACTCTACATAGTGTCTCTCCCCACTGCAGTTGCCTCTGTCACAACAGGGTCTGCCAGTTCACATAGCCCATGGCACCTGCACTTCAGCCCATATCTGCTGGTGAGCCCCTTCCTGCTCTGACCCCACTCCAGGCTGGCTGGCTGCTGTGTCACCTGGTATATAGGTTGAAGCAGTTAGTTCCAGGTGTGAAATGTGCTGCTGGCACAGGGAGCCGCTCAGGTGTTGTACTTCCTTCTTAGTAATAGGAGGTGCCAGAATTTTACTTTGGAGGGGAATCCTATCATGTCCAAGGCAACTTCACTGATGTAAGGCTCTTGAATCTTCATGAGGTTTATCTCCTTGCTGCTGGAGCACATGTGTCTGCCACGGCCTTTAGTGTACTTGCCACTTCCTGCTCGGCTCATGCAATTCACATGGAGTGCAACTCATCTTGGAGTGGAGCAACATGATGATCTGCAGAATATCTGGGTGGACCATGTTCCCTGGACTATCTTAGGACAGTGGGAGGTGTCAAGGCCTGGGGAAGACTGGAAATGCATACCTGGAGATGTCAGTTCCAACTGAAGGCTTTTGGGTTCTTCTTTCTCATAGGGATGAAACGGGAACCATTTGTCTAATGGTGACATCCTATCTGTGTAAATCTACTCTAATAGAGATTCTGTGTCCTGCACAGCAGCTGCAAGTGAGGTGAGTATGTCATGGTTTACTCTCACCCTCCTGGACCTTTTCCTGGAGCAATACTGGTGCATGAAGTGGGGATATGATGGGGACTGTTCCCTGTATCCTTTAAGGGGGCCCTGACATCTGCCAACCCCTGGGTTGTTTGTTTTGTTTGCTTTCTTGGCTCAGGGTGGGGACCCATTTCAGCAGCTTCCACCTGGCCCCTGCTGCTATGACAGCTCTTACCCCACAGGCCAAGAACGCAGTGGCAGTGGGTGCCACCTACCACATGAGTTCATTCCAATTATACATTCAGACAAAGGGGGAAAGACCGTCATGTGGACCCAAGGCTCCAATCTTGATCCCAGGATGCTGTGCTCTATCTTCCATATCCATCGTTCCCTACTGACCACCAGGGCTGGGACTAGGGTAAGGCAAGAAAGGGGCCCAGGGTACAAACCATAAGGAGGAACTCCCTCCCAGGGCCATGGGGACAGAGTCAGGCCCTGAGGTGAGAGCCTCCTTACATTTTGCACCCTGAGCTCCTCTCTTGCCTTGGTCTAGTCCTGGCCCTAGTGCTGGGTAGAGTTCCATGCTCCTTTGCCTCCCTGACCTAGGGTCCAGCACCCACCATGCTTCTGTTAGCTGTGGGCTACCACCTAGACTGTTATTTCAGGATCCTACCATGAGAGCATCTCTGCCCATCAGCCGCAGCCCAGAGAGAACACCGTGGGAGGTGCACCCTGACTGTAGAGTGCCACTCCTGCAGTTTGGACCTCATTGCTTTGCCGACCTGAGGCCCATGCAAGCCCTTCCATGCGGCAGAGCCTCTTGACGGCTCCTCCCAACTCCCTTAGTCATGAACTCCCCCTCCCCCTCCATCTCCAAGGCAGTGCTGGCTTCTCTATTTTGCTCAGTGTGGGCATCACTTTCTCTCTGCTTTTAGGAGGCATCCCTGCAGCATTTTAGCAGCGTCTCCCAGGGAGTTTGCTATGGTATTAAATCCTGCCTCCCAGGGGCGGGCACCGATATTGATACTTTCCCTTATACTACTTTATGTTCTGTCTCCTTGCCTAAGCAGCCTGAGGTCCACTCTCAGGCACATACCCAGGCTCCTCTCAGCATGGACCCTCTACAAACACCTGGCAGCTCCCCCACCTTGTCAGACAGCGGCAGCCCCATGCTGGCCAGGGTTAGGGGATGTTGTCAGCTCCAGTGGCCTGGGCTGGTTGAGTAGCTCTTTCTTTTTCTGGGGATCAGTACTCTGAAGTCCCCCAGGTGCCCACAGAAAGAAGTCACCTTCTCTAGTGTCAGCCTTGGCAGTTGTAAGGCCATGCTGTGGCTCTTCATCTGCTGTCTATTTCTGTTTTATTTTCATTTGGTTCAAAACAGGGCATGGAGAAGAATTCGCCACCCTACAACAGTCTGCTTTTATCATGCAACTTGCTAATAATACCTACCCTTCCGGGTGGTTATGAGGGTGATGATATGGATTGTGTAAAGTGTCAATATATAATAGATGACATGACAGGTACATTTTAGACCACTCTCACCCCAGCACCAAATTAAACATGAGAGTGGAACTACCTGGGCCCCCCAGGGCCTACCAAAAGCCTAGAACTGATCAGCTACTAGCACCAGAATGGGGTGAACCAGGACCCAAACCTAGAAGCAAACTTGCCCTCTGGAGGAACCAGGTCTAAGGAGACACAAGCCTTGACATAAAGGAACAGAGTGGGGGTCTTCTGGTCTGGCCAGCAGAGTCTGCACTCTTATTAGCTTTTTATTTTATTTCATTTCATTTCATTTCATTTCATTTCATTTCATTTCATTTCATTTCATTTTATTTTATTTTATTTTATTCTATTCTACCTAATAAACTACCTCAAAATCTCAGTGGCCTCCAGAAGCAACTATTTCTATTTTTCACTCACAGGTCTACCTGTCTGCAGGCGTGCTCCCCTGCATGCTGTGGTGAGGCTTAGCTTGGCTCCAGGGTCTCTGTCGCCCTTAGGCCAGGAGCTGCCCACTGAGTCTGCATTTTAGGATAGAAGCAGGGGCATGAGAGAAGCAAATGGAACCTTGCAGTGCATCTTAATGCCTGGTGCTGAAATGGATTGACCGCCATGCCCCACATTCCAACAGCCAATTTCATGGCAGGGGGCAGCACTCTTCCCCCTCTAGTCAGTGAGACGGTCAGGTCACGTGACAAAGAGCATGGCTGCATCCTTCTGATACTGAGACAGGTGGAAAGTCAGGGGCAATGGTCCAACTCCCTCAATATCCGGTCATGCAATAACAATACACCTGCCTCTGAGAGTCGGAAGGACCCTCCTGGCTCCCCACATCGCAGCTTCTCACACTGTTATTATTCTCTGTGCACTGTTTTGGTGACTCTTTGAGGCAGAAACTGGTATTTGAATGTCTGTTTCCATGGCCCCAGAGCCCAGCATGATTGTGGGGGAGAGGCCAGTGTTATAAGCATTGCAATTACGCCCTCAAACCAGCTGGTTGTATTTGTCTCTTTCTTTTTCTGTTACTCCCTCCAAACTGAGAGATTATCCCTTTTGTTTGCACATATTCTGAATCACCTACTCGAAAAGAAATTTTTCTCGCTCAGATCTATGCATCTTTGTATGCTACTTAAACCTGAACAAATGAAATGCCAAAAAACTGTGAAGGTATGGTTTAAATGGCTTGGAACTCCTTAAAAGCAGGCTCTGGGTGTGTGACTGGTGCATTCTCTATGCTTTTGCTATGGACTATCACTCAGGATGAAATAATACGTGTCTGGTGAGTGTTATACAGAGGAAGTGACCCTCAGGGTGGTACAGCCATTACACTGCGAACTGCTGTAAGCCTCTGCCTCTATCTGTATAAAGGGAGCAGAAACACACATCTCAAAGTGGGCCTGTGATAATGAATAAAAGACAACACTGCACAGTGATAGAAGAGTGGTGTTGGAATTAGACAAAGAGTATGAATCTGGGTGGGCAACTACACCATCTCTCCATGCCTTAATTTTCTCATCTATCAGATAGGGATAATAGCTCCTAACTATCAAGAATATGACAGATTTGGAAGAAATTTTGCAAAGCAGTAAGTGTGAGGCATTTCTGATGGGGTTTAGCAGTATTGATATAATTGTCTCAATTTATTTTTTAGACCATAACAATAAACTGGCTTGCAAATCTGTGGTGAGTAGTGGGGGTATTTTTTTGTCTTTTTACTGATCCAGCTGCTGGTGACAGTGTGCCCCAGGCAGGGACTGTCAAAAGAAGTGTGATGAAATCAGCTGGCTTTCAGTCACCCCATTCATAACCTGCTGTTACTCTTCTCTTCAGGGTTTGGTAGATAGTAAAAATGACTGTAAATTCTTCCCTTTTCTGTATCCACACCCTCACAATGTGATGTTGCACCATATATTTCTCCATTCCTTGAACCTGAATTAGCCGTGTAACTTGCTTTGACCAGTGAGATATTAGCAAACACAATACCAGCAGAGGCTTGAAAAGGGCTGCATAGTGGAGCTTGCTTCCCTGCTGACCTTGGAATCCCACTGCCTGCTCTGTGACAAGCCAGAGTTGGCCTGCTGGAGGGAGAGAAGCATATAGTCCAGTTTCTCCCCTTGCCGTTTCTGGATTCCAGCCAACCCTCAATGCAGAGCCACTCTGACAATAGAAGGAGCCCAGGGAGCAGAAAGACAGCCTGACAAAGCCCAACTCAAATTGAAAGATACAGAATCATGAGCTAAATAGTTACTGTTTTAGGCCATTCATTTGGGATTATTATACAGTTGAAGTTAGCTGATATAATCAGTATGCTGGTCTAGACCATGTGCTTTCTGTCTTGACAGAGCACCTCTGCTGGCATATAACATGGAGCAGAGGGCTGTGTCTGGGTCTCCAAGACACCTTCAGTTTTGATGATTCACTATAAGGACTCACAGAACTCAGAAAACCTGTATATTCATGGTTACAGATTATTACAGCAAAAGGATACAGACTAAACTCAGCAAAGGCACATAGGGAAGAGTTCAGGAGAGACCAGACTCAAGCTTTCAGGTGTCTTCTCCCAGTGGAGTTTCGCAGGCGGTGATTGATTCTCTGAGGAATGACGTGTGACAGCCTGTGCAGATTGACGTCAACCAGGGACCCTCACCTGAGCCCTGCTGTCCAGAGTTTTATTATGAGTCAGTCACATGGGCATGCAGTGACTTTAAGACTGACCTCAGCTATTCAGACCTTCACCCTCCGTCCCCAATGTTAGACTGATAACAGTGTGCCCCAAAGCCTCAAGCATACACAAATGGCATTCACAATAAATACCCATCGTTAGCCTGACCTACTTGGCATGACCCAAAGCCTCTGGTCAGACAGGATACTCCAAGGACTTCCTGGACCAAGGGCTAGTCCTGAATACCCTGGGAATGTGCAGGGTTTGAAGAGCCCAGGTCTGCGAAGTTAACCCTTTCCTGCATAATGACCAAGGTGAGAATGTATCCTGGTTAATGGTAAGAGAACTTCACTGGTAGGAGATTAAGACAGAAATCTTAGACTGCTCACAGCTTCAAAGAGAGCAGGCATTGCTGTGTTTAGGAGCTTCATGTGGTTGGAGCACACGTTCCTGTGACTATTATAGAATACTCTCATTTAGGCGAAAGCTAATAATCCAATCTCCAGGGCAGTTCTTCTTAAAACTTCTTTCACAACATCTCCTCTCCCCTTGGCCTCAGTCCCCTCTATTATAGAATGAGTAGATTAAATGAAATCACTTTCATGGGGTCATTTGTTTCCATGGTGCCATGACACTCCAAACTTGCTAATGTCACTTGCAAGAGGCATTGACTTGAGGCCTCAGATTCCTGATAGTGCCCTTTAAATGCCGTATATTGAATTTCCTCAGTCATTATTCTAATGATTTGCTTGTCTTCTTCTTCATTCAAAACAGAGATGGAATCTGATTGACAATCCCCAAGATAAACAAGCTTTTAATGTTCACTGTGGAAGAATGACCCAGTGGCATAAATAAATCCATACCTCTGCCATCCCTTGAAGGTGTGAGAGATGTGATCATCACGTTTGATTGTTCATTCATTCATTCATTCATTCACCGAAAACACAGATTTATCCCCTATTATGTGCCAGGCAAAAAGCTGCATTCCAGGGGCATGTAGACCAACAGACATAGCTCCCAGTTGCTTACAGGTTAAAGGAGGAGAATAGCAATAAGTGAGCAGCTGCAATGCAGGATGATCAGTGTTCAGCTACAGGAATCGTTAGGTGCTATGAGAGCCTGGGTGAGGCTGCCCAGTCTGGGAACCCAGAGAAGGCTTCCTAGAGAAACAAACTGAGTGTTCAAGATGAACAAAGGCCAGCCTGTGTATTGGGTGGGGAAGATGGATGGCAGGCTACACCAACCAGGGAAAGCAGCACATGATGTTAACACCAACATCAACCCAACTGAATGTGAATGGGGTACTTATGATGAGCCACACAACAATCTAGGTTTCTTACCAATCCTCACAAGAATCCCAGGATTTTGGTGCTCTTGCTATCCTCTTCTTAAACAAGAATAAACTGAGCTCAGGGATGTTAAAAATAGAACCCAAAGAGACCAACTAACATACATTAAGTACGATTCTTGATGCCAAGATTCTCTGGCTCCAAAAAACAGCAAGTACATATTTAGGAAAGTGCTTCCATGAGGCTAGAGAACAAGACCAGAAAGAAAGGAGAAAAGTGGAGCAAGTTGAGGCTAAAGAAACAAGCATGGGCCAGGAGAATGGGAGGAGCTTATGTGAGAATCTGAGTTTCCTGGAAACATTAGTGCAGAGCAATGAGAACAGAGCAGTGAGTCCAGACAGATGCCTTCCATGGAAACTCAGGGGAGAAGCCAGTAACTCAGTGGCAGTGGGTATGAAGAAGATGCAATGGATGAGACACGTAACCAATGAGTCATGCTTGGGTTTGCATATAGACTCAGATAAATCATGGTCCAGAAGGTAAATAGGATTCCTGCATTCTAGACACAGCTCAAAATATACTGGCCCTCTGAGCTTCACAATGTTACTTGAAATCTTCATGCCTCAATTTCCTTATTGATAAATCAAGCTAATAGACTCTATATAGGATTTTTGAAGTTTAATCTATGTTAAGCAGGGCATCTATTAAATAGTGCAGAAACAGGCTGGGTGTGGTGGCTTACGCCTGTAATCTCAGCACCTTGGGAGGCCGAGGCGGGTGGATCATCTGAGGTCAGGAGTTCAAGACCAGCCTGGCTAACATGGCAAAACCCCATCTTCACTAAAAATACAAAAATTAGCTGGGCATGATGGTTGGTGCTTGTAGTCCCAGCTACTCAGGAAGCTGAGGCAGGAAATTGTTTGAACCCAGGAGACAGAGGCTGCAGTGAACCAAGATCATACCACTGCACTCCAGTCTGGGCGACAGAGGGAGACTCCATCTCAAAAAAAAAAAAAAAAGTGCAGAAATAATATAGGGCAATTAAATAAATCAATATGTTGATGGGTGAATGAATGATTCAATGGATGAAAACTCTTGAAGGGAAAAGAACCAAGGATAGAACCTTGAATTACACCAGACCTCCCTCCAGGTCATCAGTGATACATTAGTCAATATCCTGCTTTTTAATTTCAGCTGCAATATTAAGAGGCAGTCTGGAATTCGTCCTAGACTCTAATGCTTGGTAGCTATGTTACCTTGGCAAAGAAACTCCCATTTCTATAAGGTTCAGAGAACAGGATCATAATGGTATCTATCTTATAGGATTGAAAAGATTAAATGACATAGTATGTGTCAAGCACACAGTACAGCAGTCCTTAAATGCACACTCCTTTGGAGACCTAAAAATACTTTCCCGGGCCAGGCGCGGTGGCTCACGCCTGTAATCCCAGCACTTTGGGAGGTCGAGGCAGGCGGATCATGAGGTCAGGAGATCCAGACCATCCTGGCTAACACGGTGAAACCCTGTCTCTATTAAAAGTACAAAAAACTTAGCCGGGCGTGGTGACGGGCATCTGTAGTCCCAGCTACTTGGGAGGCTGAGGCAGGAGAATGGTGTGAACCCGGGAGATGGAGCTTGCAGTGGGCCGAGATTGTGCCACTGCCCTCCAGCCTGGGCGACAGAGCAAGATTCAGTCTCAAAAAAAAAAAAAAAAAAAATGTTTCCCAAACGTGAACTCATGTGATTCTCACAGGTTCTCTTTGGGGTATGTCGGTCAGAACTTACCATAGGTGAGAAACAGAGGAGCACATGTAAAGTTATTTCCTCTAAGGTCAGGAACACCAGGATGAGGTCCTTCATTCCTTGACCCCCTCAAATGTGCCTTTTAGCACGTTCTCCTGGCGGGACAGTCCACATGTCATCTTGAACAAATTCCTACTCATCCTCCAAGATTAAAGCCTCAGGTCATTTCTCCTGTGAACCTCTGTATGACACCCCCAAAAGAAGTAATTTATCTGAGGTTCATGTAGATAAAATGGGGAATCCATGTCTGGAATTCAAATCTTCTTTCTCCATAATCAGTGCTCTTCTAATTATACTGCCAAGAAAAATTATGAAAGACCATCTCATAGTTTGTTTTGCCATGAAAGACTTGGAAATGGAAACAAAATACTAGGTGTTCTTTCACTAGAATGCTGGGCATTATCAAGCATTATCAAAGTGGGGCTATCTAATTTTACAGGGCTCTGATCTCTCCAGGGCCTTTAAGGGGGATATATCGCTATGCTATAAGTTAATTTGAAAATCTTGAGAGTAAAAAATATAATTTTTCCATAGAGATGCAAATGAATTTTGTCTGGTGGTGAGGGCAATTAACCCCCCACCCTGTCCCAATGGAAGAATCTATTTCAAAAACAGCACTGTGGGTAGTGACTAGTGTTGTATCTAGTATGGAATTCATGTCAGCATTCCCAATTCCTGGTTATACGTGTCTCTTCAGATCATCTCTTGAAAAGTTTTAACATCTTACTGGTTTCCTCATTAACTGATTATTTGATTAAATCTTTGATATGAGTTTATTTATATTTGTATGAAAGTCAGAATTTTTTATTATTTTGCAAATTATTATTTAACAACATCATAGCTGGGTAGGGTGAAAGGAAACAAATGTATAATTGAAACAGAGAGATACAGGTATATGTTAAAGAGGCATATACAAATAAATATTTGCAGAAAAAATAAATTCACCTGTGCATATCACTAAATGTTTATTTAGATAAATGCACACAGATGCCTCTAAATAATAAGCACACTGCCTCAAAATTGATTTTTTGGTCAAAGATTGCACATTTTATGTCTAATTGATATTGTTCTCCAAAAAAAAACTGTGGTATTTTATATTCAGATAACAATGAAAGACATGTATGCTTCCTTACTCCTTTTGACATAAATTTTTGTAACTAAAATATGTTTATACATACATACATACCTTGACTTTATGAAATTTCTGCTCTACTTACAAGCCACAAAGCCAATATGCAGTGGCTATTTACCTATTGAGCTATCTGGAAATGAATGCAGATAGCCGTAACCCACCCTAATTTATTTTCACCCCTTGGAGATCTCACAAATGACTCTGCCTGCCTTCAGGTCAGGAGCTGTTCTTGGTCTGGAGCTGAAGTCAATTGGCTCCGACCTTCTGTCCCAGTTCCTAGGGAATCCATTAAATGTAATCGAAGCTGTGAGGAAATTCATTAATCTGGGAGAAATGAAGAGAGGACAGAACAATGGTTGGGTTCACAATCACTCTTCAACTCCACCCAGCAGACAAGGATTTGAGGGTGTTTTTCAGACACAGGAGTTTTCATATTCTCTCAACTCTTAAAGACAGGGATCCCCAGTCTTCAGGACACATAGATTCTGAAAGAATACTCAAACTTTGGTGTGCATCCAAATATGTTAGAGGAAAGAGAATAAACGTGGAAGAAAATCGTGCATATGTTTTGCACAGTTTCTGTGGTCAGGCCCCGAGAGAGACATGTTTTTCTATTATCTCAGCCATCCATCTCCCCATTTAGACATGAGAAAGCTGAATACCTGTTACCTAGATGATGGTGTATCCATGTAATAAGGTGCCCAACAGCTATCAAAAAAAATCATGTCTGCTAGGATTACTTAGTGACATCAGAAAATGCTCATGACATCATGGAAGGTGATAAAAGTCATGATGTAAAATGACTACAATATGATTTCAGTTTTGTAAAATATAAGGAAATAAATAAAAATAAGTACAGAGAAACCATCCTCCTTCCCATCTTTGTATCCTATCCCAGGCTGGAGAGGAGAAAGGCTCATCTTCCACCAATTTTATCTCATATTCTTTCTTCTTCTGAGCAAGCCTTAACGGTCAGAAAGAGACAAAAATGTTTCAAACATTTAGAAGAAATTTTAAGAGCTAAGCACTTCATGTTTAGTTATTAAAATGGTAAGAGGCCATATAAACATTTTGAACTTTACTTTCTCAAGAAAACAGTCTGGTTTTTGATGTTGTTGTCAGGCACTATAACCCTTTCTCCCATGTGGAAGCTGATCATTAGCCCTTTTTAGCTTTGTGCTCCTTCTAGAGAAAATGCTAATCTAAGAGTGAAGATCATACTCAGATGAGGAAGGAGAAAAACATTAATAAGCTTAATGGTATGTATTTGTTATGGAGACATACTTAGCTTTTCTTGAGATGGTGTCTCGCTCTGTCACCAGTGATCTCAGCTCACTGCAACCTCTGCCTCCCAAGTTCAAGCGATTCTCCTAACTCAGCCTCCTGAATAGTTGGGGTTACAGGCATGTGCCACCATGCCCAGCTAATTTTTCTATTTTTTTTTTTTTTTTTTTTTAGCACAGCTGGGGTTTCACCATATTGGCCAGCCTGGTCCTGAACTCCTGGCCTCAAGTGATCTGCCTGCCTCGGCCTCCCAAAGTGCTGGGATTACAGGCGTGAGCCACCGTGCCTGGCCTTAGCTTTTCTTTTGTTCAAAAAATATTATCTTATGCCTGTTATGAGCCAGGCATTAAGTTTGAAATATAAGAATAAAGCTTACCCATCATCACTTCTTCTGCATAGCCTGGTGGTAGCACAAAGAAGTGATTAGAAAAATTGAAGTAACAAAAAGCTTGAAAGACACTTGGTAATTGCCATGACAAAGTCCTCTGGGGGCAGGGCAGACACTTCAAATCATTTGGGAGGTCATATTAGGCTACATTTCCTGCAATACAAATATACAATATAAATAAATCATTATAGCCACTAATGTAGAATGTTGAAGAAGGGAAACTGTAGAGATGAGCTTGGACATTAAGCAACTTTGCATTGAAAAAGGTATAAAATGCTATAAACCCATGAAGGCAAATAAATTGGGCAGGCTTATGATCAAGACATTTCTGGAAGATGGAAGTCAGACAGTTGAGTGGTAGCTAATATAGCAGCCTAAGAAAAGCCATAGAAGGAAAGATTGGTTAATAAGGGATGCAATTTAGCCTTTCAGAGAAGCAAAGAGGATTGAGCTATTAGGTGACAGATATGGTGAAGTCCAGTGAGGAGACTGGAGCTTAAGCCAAATCTGTTAATTGAAAGTAGGTAACCAGATAGTTTGTTTTCTTTTCATAGGAAGTTGCTGAAGGACTATCATCCAGAGATACTAGGAAAAAAAATGAAGAACATGGCAACACATTTAGGAAACAGTGGGCCAAATCCAGGGGAACTGTAAGAGAAACCACCAGGTAAACCATGCAGCAGCCCTGGAGGGAATGAGACCCAGGAGTGAGTTTTCCTGAGAGTCTGATTTAGGAGACTGAGGAAAATAACCAAAAAGATGTGGCTTTGGGGAATCATAAAAAGGGAGGTTAAGTAGAAGGAAGAAATTACAGGAAAAAAAGTAGAAAAGAAAGCTCAGGAAAAAAAAAAAAAGCTAGGTAAGGAAGTATCATTCCAGCATACCGCTTAGTTCTGCAGTGAGAAGCATTGCTAGTATAAATAATGTAATCAGTATAAATAAAACAATCACTATTGTTTACTAACAATAGTGCTAAAACAATATTAAGAGAATGGAGATAAGTAAGGGCAGGTTTATGCTAGAGAGAGAGCCAAATGCTTATGGCTGTTAGCAGAAGTACAATCACAAGAAGTCCAGTTTGGATAAGTCAAGGAGAAACAGAATAAGCTGTTTCTTTCATAGGTAAATACATCTCTAGGTATGCATACCATGTGAACCAGCAATCCCACTTTTAGGTATTTATCCAAAAGAAATGAAAAACATGTCCACACAAAGACTTTATTCATAATAGTCAAAGATTGAAAATAGCCCAAATGCCCATCAACTGGGGGAATGGATAAACAACTTGTAATAGATCTATATAATGAAATACTTCTTAATAATAAAAAGAAATGGAGTATTGCTAGATGCAGCAACACAGATAAATCTCAAAAGCATTACACTAAGTGCACAAGTCCAGACACAGAGCCCACATATTGTATGATTTCATTTACACTAGATTCTGGATAAGGCCGACTCATATGACAGAAAGCTGATTAGTGCTGGGGGAAGAAGGAGAGCTTGCTGGCAAATGGCAAACAGGAAATTTTTGGGGTGATGGAAATGCTCTATAGCTTGACTGTGGTGATTACACAACTTTAGACATTTTTCAAAACTTATTGCATTACATACCAGTTTTGCAAATAAAGTTGATTTTAAAAATAACTACAAAGATAATGAAAGCTAAATTATTAGAAGTGAAAAGACACTTTTTGAAATGAAACAACAGATTAGAGGTTAACAGATTAACCTCTAATCAGGTCCCATGAGCTGAAAAAGACTTAGTGATTTGGATTATGGCTTCAAATGCAGACACAAGAAAAGAGGAAGAAAATACAAGGTGAGTTTATGGAATATGAAAGGTGAAATTAGAAATTCTAACACATAGCTAATCAGCTTCCATGAGTGAGAGTAACAGAAAGTGATCTGAAGATAAAATGACTGAAAAACTTCCACATTTGAAAGAGACTAATCCACATAGACAGAAGACATAATTTATACCAAGCATCATAAATAAAAGGAAATTGATACCTAAGCCTATTGCATTAAAGCTATAGAATGACAAAGATGAGGTTTCAAACACCTGTACAGACAAGGCATATCATTTACAAAGAAATTAAAATTAAAATCAGAGAAGCAAAGGAGTGTTAAAATATGCTGAGAGGGAAAAAAATCTGTCATCTTAGAATGAGTACTAACAAACTGTCTCTCAAGAACAAGCATAAAATATACATACATTTTTGGATAAAGACAATCTGAGTTTATCTCTAACTAAATTTACTCAGAAATTACCAAAGAATATACTTTAGAAAGAAGAAAAAATGATCCCCAAAGGAAGGTTTAAGATGCAAGAAGAAATAATAAACAGATGGGTAAGTATATAGATAACTCTCAAAAAACACTATTTTTAATAAAAAGTAAAATATATGTAGTCAGAGAAGGCGCAATAAAATACCAACATAATTGCATGTAAGTCAGTAGGAGTTTACAAGAATCAAACTGCTATAATGTACTCATATTATTTAGGAAATGAAGATGCGTTTTTGGGCTGGGCATGGTGGTTCACACCTGTAATCCCAGTACTTTGGGAGGCCGAGGCCAGTGGATGACCTGAGGTCAAGAGTTCAAGACCAGCCTGGCCAACACGGTGAAACCCTGTCTCTACTAAAAATATGCAACAAGAGTGAAACTCCGTCTCAAAAGAAAAAAATACAAAATTTAGCCAGGAGTGGTGCCACGTGCTACTCGGGAGGCTGAGGCAGGAGAATTACTCGAACCTGGGAAGCGGGAGTTGCAGTGAGCCCAGATTGTGCCACTGCACTCCAGCCTGGGTGACAGAGCGAAACTGTCTTAAAAAAAAAAAAGATGCGTTTTTGATTAATTTTAGAATTTATAATTTTAATAGTAAAACATCGAGGACAACCTGTAAATAGAAAAAGTGTGAACAAGTGTCAAACTGGAAGAAGTAAAACAAATAAACAAACAAATAAAATTAGAGGAAGAAAAACCCCAAAAGATTTAGCAGAAGCTTCCAGAGCCCACTCACAACTTTTCAGCCTACTCTGGAGTTCAGCTGCCGATTTCCCCAGAGGCTGATGCCTCTGTGCTTCTCTCTGCCTCAGGTATTGCAGAGCCAATGCCCCAGAAACCACCCTCAGTCAACAAGCAAGGAAATTGGTAAACAAATATCTGGCCTTCCTCATCCCTGGGTGGGACAATTCTGAGATGTCTTTTACACATCTCGGAGAGCATCCACTGGAAATAAACCCACTGCTTTAGTGACAGCCCATAATTAACATGCTCTTTATTGGCTTCTCTCCCTTCCTAGCTCCCTCAGGACGTTTTGGAATAACTCCTCCCAAAACTACTTACCCCTAAATCTTTGTTGCAAAGCCTGCATTACAGGGAATCCGAAAATAAGGGAAAGGCCAGTAAATGAGGTAAAAGGAGGCATACATAAAAGCATGAAAAAAATTTTAAAAACACTAATAAAAATTATAACAATTAATGCATACATATAAATCATGACAATAAATGAAAAATGCATTAATTTCACAAAATAAGACACAGGTTGTCAGATTGGATTATAATGAGATTATGGCCAGCTTTATGCTGTTACAAAAGACCCACCTAAAAAACTAAAGATGCAGAAGTACTAAAAATAAAAGAATAAAAAGCATATGATAGGCAAAAAATAATCAAGAATATGTCTGGTAAACAAAGTAATAGCACGCAAATATATTTTAAGACAAAAATAATTATCAGGGATAAAATGGCCATTGTATGATAATGATGATAAACAGTAACATCAAACAATCACACACTTGTTTATGCCTAACAGCCTCAAAATAAATACAATACGATTATTTCCTCAGGAGACGGCCCAGAGAAAAAACCTCCTCCCACTGCCATTTTGGAAATTGTTTCTCACTGGCCAGTTTTTATATATATTTTTATTATTTTTCAGGACGAAGTGTGTTTAATTTCCATTGTGATCACTTATTTTATCCATCAATTTATTAATCCATGACAATGTGATACTATCATAAGGATAGATACATAGATCCATAAAATAGCATCAGAAGTCCAGAAATAAGCCTTTACATTTCTGATAAAACTATACAACTTTTTTTTTTTTTTTTTTTTTTTTTTTTGAGACAGAGTCTTGCGCTGTCGCCCAGGCTGGAGTGCAGTGGCGCGATCCCAGCTCACTGCAAGCTCCGCCTCCCGGGTTCACGCCATTCTCCTGCCTCAGTCTCCCCAGTAGCTGGGGCTACAGGCGCCTGCCACCACACCCGGCTAATTTTTGTATTTTTAGTAGAGACGGGGTTTCACTGCGTTAGCCAGGATGGTTTCGCTCTCCTGACCTCATGATCTGCAACTCTTAGAAGAAAATATAGAAACATGGTTCAACGCACTACTTTTTGACTTTACAATATTGCAAAAGCTCTATGCATTCAGTAGAAAGTGTCCTTCCAGTACCCCTACAACCATTCTGCTTTTCACTTTCAGTATAGTACTCAATAAGTTACATAAAATATTCAACACTTTATTATAAAATAGGCATTGTGTTGGATGATTTCACCCAACTGTTGGCTCATGTAAGTGTTCTGAGCACATTTAAGGCAGGCCAGGCTATGATGTTCAGTAGGTTAGGTGTATTAAATGCATTTTCTGCTTAAGATGTTTTCAACTTTTGGTGGGTTTATCAGGATGTAACCTCATTGTAAGTCAAGGAGTCTCTGTTCAAATGGCCAGCAAACATATGAAATGATATTTAACATTGCTAACCATTCAAGGAATGCATATCAAAACCACAGTGAGAGATCACCTCACACTCATTTGAGTGGCTGCTATTAAAAAAAAAACAAACAGAAAATAACAAGTGTTGGCATGGAGGTAGAAATACTGGAATCATTGCACAAGGTTGGTAGAATTGTAAAATGGTGCAACTTCTATGGAAAACATTATTGTGGTTCCTGAAAAAATTAAAAATAGAATTACATATGATCCAGGAATCCCACGTTTGGGTATATAACCAAAGAAGTTGAAGCAGGGACTCAAAGAGATATTTGTACACCCATGTTCGTAGCAGCATTGTACACAACAGCCAAGAGGTGGAAGCAACCCAAGTGTCCACTGTTGGATGAATTAACAAAATGTAGTATATACCCACAATGGGAAATCGTTCAGCCTTAAAAATTAATTCTGTCATAGGCAAAACATGGATGAAACTTGAGGACATTATGCTGAGTGAAGTAAGCTGGTCAAAAGAGAACAAATGCTATATGACTCTATTTATATGAGATACCTATAGTAGTCAAATTCACAAAGATAGAAAGTAGAATGGTGTTCTCCAGGTGCTGGGAGAAGGGAGGACTAGGAGTCATTGTTTAGTGGGTATTGAGTTTCGGTTTTGGAAGATGAAAAATTCTAGATGGTGGTGATGCTTGCACAGCAATATGAACGTGCTAAATGTCACTGAACTGTACACTTACATGTGATTAAAATAGTAAATTTTATGTTTTTGCCATAATTTAAAAATATTGTACAAGAGATATAGAAGGTATGTATATATATATATGTACACACACACGCAACTTGTAGAGTACAGCCACGTTCCCTGCATAACAATATTTCAGTCAATGACAGTGGTCCTATAAGATTATAATACTGTATTTTTACTGTATTTTTTCTATGGTTAGATATACAAATACCAACCATTGTATTACAATTGCTTACAGTATTCGGCAGAGTTATATGCTATACATGTTTGTAGCCTAGGAGCAATAGGCTATATCATCTAGGTGTGTAGTAAGATAGACCACCTAGGTTTGTGTGAGTACCTTCTATGTTTGCACAATCATGAAATTGCCTAATGAAGCATTTCTTAGAACGTATTCCTGTCATCAAGCAATGCATGACTCTATAACAAACAAACAAACAGCCAGAACTTATCACCCTCCAAAAAAAGAGTGACAACATTGCCAATACTGTTGTATCCACCTGTGAACAGAACTCTTAAGTCCCCATGCCTTGCATTTTGCACGTCAACATACTGTTTTTAAGAGATTTACCAAATATATGAATCCCTAAGTAACATTGTTAATTGTTTGTTTTTAAGCTTTACAAATCATTTTTGTGTGAAATATAGCATTCTATGGTGTTCTACACTGCAATTTCCTCAGCATTTTAAAATGCTCACATGCCAGTCATGTGTAGCTATAGCACAATCTCTACTGCTTTGTGTACTCTGTTGCGAAGTGTACACTTTTAAGTATCTAAATTTAATGGATTGTTTCCTGGTCTGTTTGTGTGTTTCCTACTGTGAAAAATGCTCCCTAGCAGGAAGGTTAAGAGAACTGGGCTTTTTCTCTGCAATCTTTCCAGCATCTGTATTTTTTGGCTTTTTAATAACAGCCATTCTGACTGGCATGAGATGGTATCTCATTGTGGTTTTGAGTTGCATTTCTGTAATGATCAGTGGTGAGTTTTTCATATGCTTGTCGGCTGCATAAATGTCTTCTTTTGAAAAGTGTCTGTTCCTGTCCTTTGCCCACTTTATAATGGGGTTGCTTTTTTCTTGTAAATTTGTTTAAGCTTCTTATAGATGCTGGATATTAAACTTTTGTCAGAGGCATAGTTTCCAAAATTTTTCTCCCATTCTGTAGGTTGTCTGTTTACTCTGATAATCATTTCAACCTAAATGCTTATCAGTGCTAGACTGGATAAAGAAAATTTGGCACACATAGTATTCCTTGGTACACCAAGGAATACTATGCGGCCATAAAAAAGAATGAGAGCATGTCCTGTGAAGGAATATGGATGGAACTGGAAGCCATTCTCCTTAGCAAAATAACACAGGAACAGAAAGCCAAATACTGCATGTTCTCACTTATAAGTAGGGACTAAATGATGAGAACACTTGGACATGTAGAGGGGAACAACACACACTGGGGCCTACTGGAGGGTGGGAGGAGGGAGAGGATCAGGAAACATAACTAATGGGTACTAGGCTTAATACTTGAGTGATGAAATATTCTGTACAACAAACCTCTGTGATGTGAGTTTACCTATATAACAAACCTGCACATGTACCCCTGAACTTAAAAGTTAAAAAAAAAGTGTACCGGGCTTGAAGCATACCGTGCCTCTTCCTGCCTGCTGTGTGACCTCACAGACACTTTCCCTTACTCCTTTGTTTCTTCATCTGTCACCTGGGAGTAACAACAGTGGCTAACTCATAGCTTTCCTGTGAGGGTCGCTTGTGTGTGTGATTTTTAATTTTTTTTTTTTTTTTTTTTTTTTGAGACAGAGTCTCACTCTGTCGCCCAGGCTAGAGTGCAGTGGCGCGATGTCGGCTCACTGCAAGCTCCACCTCCTGGGTTTACACCATTCTCCTGCCTCAGCCTCCTGAGTAGCTGGGACTACAGGCACCCGCCACCACCCCTGGCTAATTTTTTGTAGTTTTAGTAAAGATCGGGCTTCACTGTGTTAGCCAGGATGGTCTCAATCTCCTGACCTCGTGATCTGCCCGCCTCGGCCTCCCAAAGGGCTGGGATTACAGGCGTGAGCCACCACACCCAGCCTAAATTTATTTATTATACTTCAAGTTCTGGATACATGTGAAGAACGTGCAGGTTTGTTACATAGGTATAAATGTGCCATGGTGGTTTGCTGTACCCATCAACCCATCATCTAGGTTTTAAGCCCCACATGCATTAGGTATTTTTCCTAATGCTGTCCCTCCCCTTGCCCCCCACCCAGTGATGTTCCCCTCCCTGTGTCCATGTGTTCTCATCGTTCAACTCCCACTTACGAGTGAGAACACGTGGTGTTTGGTTTCCTGTTCCTGTGTTAGTTTTCTGAGGATGATCGTTTCCAGCTTCATCCATGTCCCTGAAAAGTACATGAACTCATCCTTTTTATGGCTGTGATCACTTGTGGTTGTACACATATTTTTACAATGCTTCAAACAGTGCTTGTCACATAGCGCTCTGTAAGAGTGTATTCAACAAACAAATGCCACTATGAAATTCAGGTGTGTGTTTCTCAGCTCACCTACAAGAGATTCTCAGTGCTTTACAAATTGTCAGTTGTTTTGATTTGTGGTTTGTGCAATCAATTTAGTGAAGTATCAGGTATCAACCAGCCTTTTTTTAATGAAACTGTAAAGAATAATTTTTAAAAAGACAGCACAGTACAAAGTAAGGATAAAGACTTTCACCGTGTTTCTATCATCTGTATTCGTATGTGTATGTGTGTTACGGCCACAATTTCAAATGCATTTCTTGCTACAGACATAACCAAAAATGGTTTGAAAACCACGCTTGTAGGTGAATGACTCCACCATGGCTTCCAGGCCAGGGAAGGAGTGGCCCTTCGGCCATCTCCCACTTGCCTCCCCCTCTCCCTGGTGGCGAGACAGTTTCTCATGGCCTCCTGGGTTCTGACAGGATCTGGGAATTCCTGTCCCACTCCCTCTGAGCTGCAGAGCTGCAGTCCAGCATTGGCTCCTCAGCACCGGGGTGCCCCCAGCTCACACGGCAGCCACACAGTGCCTCTGTTTCAGCACCGTCCTTCTTAGGGTGTGGAACAAGAACCATGTGGAGCTGGCATCTAGCTGTACTTTCCTTTCCACCGCCTGTATAGGTAACAAACCATATGTTGTATTAGCATCCTGGGGGCTGTCCTAACAAAGTACCATACACAGGTGGCTTAAACAACAGAAATTTATTTTCTCTTAGTGCTGGCAGTCCAGAGTCTGACATCAATGTGCCAGCGGGTTTGGCTTCTTCTGATGGAGGTGAGGGAGAGTCTGCCCCACACCTCTCTCCTAGCTTCTGGTGGTTTGGTGATACTCTCTTCTAGCTTCTGGTGGTTTGGTGATACTCTCTGGCATTCCATGGCTTATGGCAGCATCGCTTCAACCTTCACATGGTATTCTTTCTGTGTCCAAATTTCCTTTTTATAAGCATACCACTTATATGAGATTAGGGCTTACCCTAACAACCTCATGTCCACTAAGTACATCTGCAAGGTCCTAGTTCCAAATAAGGTCACATTCGAAGGGACTGGGAATTAGGGCTTCGATGTGTGAAATTTGGGGGGACACGTTTCAACTCATAACACTCTCTAAATCTAGAAGCTGCCATTTTTACTTGACCTCCATTGAATCAGCCCAGTCTTGAGCTTGCCTTATCTTGTGTGTGAGCTGGACATGGCTCTTGGCCACCATGTCTGGATCACCCTGTAGATACATGGTCACCTTTATAAGATAATGCCAACTTATCCTTGGAGACTGTGGTCTTAGTCCATCTGGGCTGCTATAACAAAACGCCATAAACTAGGTGGCTTCTAAACCACAGAAATTCTTTTCTTGAAGTTCTGGGGCCTGAAAAGTCCAAGATCGAGGCTCCAGCAGATTCAGTGTCTGGTGAGGCCTCCCTTTCAAAGCCATAGATGGCAACTTCTAGTGGCATCCTCACACAGTGGAAGGGGTGAGGCAGCTCTCTGGGGCCTCTTTATGAGGGCAGTAATCCCATTCACAAGGGCCCCACCCTCATGAACTAATCACCTCTTAAACACCCCATCTCCTAATACCATCACACTGGGGACTAGGGTTCAATATTCAAACATCCACAAACATCTAGATGCATAGCAGCAGTTTACTAATGTATTACCACTAGCTGCATACGAGTCTTCGTGACTCCGTATCTTTCCCAAGCCTTGGTGTTATTGGGTTTCTCAGACCTTGGATCTCAGACTAAGACAGTGGGTGGTCTTCAACTGCATCTCCCTGATGACTATCAAGACTGTATTTGTATACCCTGTTTTATGAAGTGCCCATGTATATTTTTTGCTCACTTTTTTTTTTCTACTTAGGGTTTATTTTAAGGATACATGTGCAGGACATGCAGGTTTATTCCATAGGTAAATGTGTGCCATGGTGGTTTGCTGCAACTATCCACCCATCACCTAGGTATTAAGCTCCACATGCATTAGCTATTTATCCTAACACTCTCCTTCCTCTACTTAGGATTTGTTGTTCTTTTTTTGAGATGGAGTCTTGCTCTGTTGCCCAGGCTGGAGTGCAGTGGTGCGATCTTGGCTCACTGTAGCCTCCCCCTCCTAGGTTCAAATGATTCTCCTGCCTCAGCCTCCTGAGTAGCTGGGACTACAGGTGTGTGCCACCATGCCCTGCTGATTTTTGTATTTTTTAGTAGAGATGGGGTTTCACTATGTTGGCCAGGGTGGTCTTGAACTCCTGACCTCAAGTGATCCACCCACCTCGGCCTCCAGTGGGCCTCCCCTTTTGAGTGCTGGGATTACAGGTGTGAGCCACCGTGCCCTGGCCACCTTGTCTATATGAACTCTCTCACACACCTTCCCCTTTCCCTGCTTTATATCTAGGCAAAGAAAGATAATCTTTGAATATGACATGTAATTGACCTATTTACATTGTCGTCTATTGGTTGTTCCTTGAAAGCTTCATTTTACTTGCTTATAAAATAATCAGAGCTCAGAACCTTCTTTAAGGGGAGATTTTTACCATAAATTAGATTTTCCTTAATACAGATAGCACAATTAAAATTTATATTTCTCCTTGGGTGAATTATGGAAAATTTTTCTTCAAGACTTGTCTACTTTACCTAATTTTAAAGATATGGTTGGCATGAAGTTGTTTATATATCCTTTTAGCTTTATGTAATATATTTTTTATCACAAAAAGCACATAACAAAATTACCATCCTAACCATTTTTAAGTGTTTAGTTCAATCGTGTTAAATATATTCATGTTGTTGTGGGACAGATCTCCAAAACATTTTCATCTTGTGAAAGTGAAATTCTGTATCTATTAAACCACTCCCTCTGCTCCCCTCCTTCTAGCCCTTGGTCAGTACCATCCTGTTTTCCGTCTCTACGAATTTCATGACTATTTTTATTTTATTTTTATTTTTTGAGACAGAGTCTCACTCTGTCGCTCGGGCTGGAGTGCAGTGGGTGATCTCAGCTCACTGCAACCCCCACCTCCCGGATTCAAGCGGTTCTCCTGCCTGAGCCTCCCAAGTAGCTGAGACTAAAGGCACACGCCACCACACCTGGCTAATTTTTGTATTTTTAGTAGAGACGAGGTTTCACCATGTTGGCCAGGCTGGTCTCGAACTCCGGACCTCAGGTGATCCACCCGCCTCTACCTCCCAAAGTGCTGGGATTACAGACATGGGCCAACGTGCCCGGCGAATTTCATGACTTTCCATACCTCATATGAGGGGACTCATGCAGCACCCGACCTTCTGTAGCTGATTTACTTCACTCAGCATCATGTCCTCAAGGTTCTCCATGTTGTGGTGTGTGACAGGATTTGCTTCCTTCTTAAGGCAGAATAACACTCCATTGTACGGATGGACCACGACATGACGCCTTTTGTTTACTCATGGCTGGGTGTTTCGGTTGCCTCCACCCTCATGCTTCCGTGTGGATTGCTGGATCATCTGATAATTCTATTTTTCCTGTGTTTGAAGAGCTGCTGTACCGTTTTTCCATAGCTACTGCACCATTTTGCATTCCCACTAGCAGTGCACAAGGGTTCCCATTTCTCCTGTGTAATATTGCTAAGGAAGGATTCTGAGGCTTTCTTTAGTGACAAAAGGAGAGGAAGCCACAGTGGACTGGAGCCATCTGCCATAGACGTGGTAAGGGAAGCCGCGGTGTGCATGTGGGGGCGTGAAGTTCCTGACTTACAGGCACTGGCTTCTCCCTCCTGCACTACCACGGTGACCTTACCAGCTGCTGCCTCAGCAGCAGGAGTCAGCTACATGCCCAACCTCACTCAGAGTCAGGGACACGGGAACATAATTAACTATGAGATATGACTTCTTACCATCCAATTGATGAAAATTAATAGGATTTATAAAATTCATGGCTGGCAAGGGATTAGAATAAAAGGACTTTTCATATATTGCGGATGGGATTATAAATTACTCTAGTCATTGCAGAAAGTAATCTGTTCTATGAAAATTAAAAATGCGTCTAACTTTTGACCAATGATCCACTTCGGGGAATATCTACTACAGAAATAAAATTGCCAGCATGTAAAAATATATGCACGATGATGTCTTTGTAGCATTCTTTGTGGCAGGACAAAAACTCAGAAGAATGTAATTACTTATTACATTGCAACTTGCTTATTTCTCTTGATAGAAAGCAGCCAACTTGCACATCAAACAATGTGTATCACAATATATTGATTATAGATTAGCATGATTATATGAGCACAGAGAAAAGTCTAGAAGGTACACACACAACTGTTAAAATAGCACCTGAACATTGTGCTCTTGGGCTTGCTGTAATGAGTTTGCCCTACCAGGGGCTAGAGAGTGAGTAAAATCCAATATCCACTGTTAAGAAATGGGTGCTCAGCCAGGCATGGTGGCTCGCGCCTGTAATCCCAGCACTTTGGGAGGCCGAAGCGGGCGGATCACAAGGTCAGGAGATCGAGACCCATCCTGGCTAACACGGTGAAACCCTGTCTCTACTAAAAATACAAAAAATTAGCTGGGCGTGGCGGTGGGTGCCTGTAGTCCCAGCTACTCAGGAGGCTGAGGCAGGAGAATGGCGTGAACCCGGGAGGCAGAGCCTGCAGTGAACCGAGATCGTGCCACTGCACACCAGCCTGGGCAACAGAGCGAGACTCCATCTCAAAAAAAAAAAAAAAAAAAAAAAAAAAAAGAAAGAAGAAATGGGTGCTTATTACAGAAGTCTCCAGCATATGACATAGAGGGGTGGGCTGTAGTCCTTGGCAAAAAGTCCTGATTCAAATCCTAAATCAGCTACTCATTAAGAGATGCTGCCTTCTCTCTGGGACTATCCATTAGTAGCTTGCCAACTTTAACATTCCTTTTTATCCTTGGGGTCCCAGCTGGAGCATCTCCTTCCTTGTGAACATCTCTTGATCCTATTTCAGACAGGATTATTCCCTTCAGAGAAGGCTCCCTCTATCAAATCCAGGACTCAGCCATAGCCCTGGCTGCCCTGAGTTGCAGCATGAATCTTTTATGTAAACTTCATGAAGTATTTTTGCCAAAATGGCACTAAAACCACACAAACTAATCCTCAAGATGCCAAATGTATTATTTTTTCCTGAACGTATTTGGAAACTACAACAATAACAACAACAACACACAAGGGAAGTGTGAAGTGGGAATTCCTCACCATCTCTTCTCCCCCATTCACAGGACTGGGAATCACTCCCCCACATAGCTGCAGAAATGGATGAAGGAAGAAGGCCTTTCACTTGCAGAGGCCCCAGCAGCTGCACCATTGACACTGGACAGAAGAGGCCTTGAGGTAGATGAGATAGGGAGCTGGTCACTGGGAAAAACAGAAGGGGGAGAACAGAAGGACCTCTTACTGGACCAAAAGGTCTACTAAGAAATCTCAAGCTCCTGTAAGGGATGGGGAGATGCAGCAGCTGGAACAGAAGTGGTACAGCAACCAGAATCTTCTCCTCCTTGTCAATGGTTTGGTTTAGTTCTGGAGCCTTTGTGGCTAGAACTTCTTATTTCAACTTAATGGTGGCAAAGGCCATATTTGGCATAGGGAAGGGCAGCTGACTTTCTTCAACATCCCCAACAGGCTCCCCAAACCCCAATAATTGAGTCTAGGACACTTACAGACACGGGAGGGTTGGTACCTCCTGAGCCTGCCCTTCACCAGGGCTTACCAGAGACATGCCCTGTAGGACACAGAACAACAAATGAATCACAATGAAAACGACACTGTTTCAGTATTTACTATTTGCCAGAAATGGACCCACGTGGCGGGGAGAAAAGATAGATAGATGTATAGGGAGCATTTATTTCATTTCCTCATTGTTTCTAGCATTAAGAGTCATCACCTCTCCCCTACATTCCCTGGTGCCTAAAAAGATGCTGACTCCAATCTCAGCTCCAGGGCAGGCCCTGGTCCTTCAGGACAAAACCATATATTATATATGGTACTTTGCTGGTGAGTGGTTCAAGAAGAAAGGACTTAGCTGGTCCACAGTGTGATTCCTCTGGCTAAAGGATCTGTGACTAGTTAAAAACAATTAACTGTAAAGAGGACGCTTTTCTGGATGCTTTTGAAAAAGAAGCATTGTGGTTCTTGAGGGGGATACCCCAGGAACCCACAGTCACTGTTTCTCTGGATGCGGCCACTCTCTACCCCTGTGGAGGGAGTGTCTCCTGGATGCGGCCAGGGGTGACCCTGAACCAGAGCCCTGCCTGACCCAAGCCTGATCATGTTGATGCTGCCTCTGAACGTTTTCTGTTTTGTGTCCAGGAATTCTCCCTGTAGAATCAGGGAGTGTGTGAGGAATCAGTAGGTAAGGAGGAACCGAGGAGATTTGAATGCAAAGCCAGGCGGGTGAGTGCTCCAAGGAATTCAAAGGAGGGAGTAGATGGGGGTGAATCAGGGAGAGCAGAGCTTAGTAGGCACTCTGTGTTTGTTTAGGAAATGAGCATTAGGCTCCTGCCTTTCTCCCTGAACTTCGGTTTTCTCCTCTACAAATGCGGAGAATAGTTCTGATGTCATACAGCAAGGATGCAAGTGCTTCTGGTTCCCCAGGCACGCAGTAGGTGCTCACAGAACAAGCCCCAGGTGGGGGCTCTCTACGTTGAGCAAATGGGACCAGCACCTTCCATCCTTATGTTCCCATCTTGGGCAGAGGGCTCTGTTCCAGGGCTACGGTGTAGTTGAAGGCTAGGGCTCCTCTAGGGCTTGCACCTATGGTAAATGTTGAACAACAGCTCTTTAGAAGAGAGCTATTTGTAGCATTTGCCAATGTCTATAAGGCAAATGTTCCCACCATGGACAAATTCAAGCTCCTAAAAGCTGTTGTCACTGAATATGGAAGTTTGGAAGAGATGCATCCAATGGCCCTTTCTGAGACAGTGTCTCCAGCTCGCCGTGGGTTCCACAGTTCCATCCCTCTTATTCTCCATTCTCTAAATGTTTTCAAGAGCCTTTCCTTCTCCTGGCAAAGGTGGGTGAGTGAGAAGCCAGGCAGAAGATACCAGCTCATGCAACTTGTCAAATAATCAATACTGCCCAGCCAGTGGACCAGGGCAAAGGATGCTTGCACAGCAGAGAGGGGAGGAAGAGTAATACCTACAGTGCAGAGAGGGATGTGCAATTTAAGAAAGTTGATTTTTTTTCTTGAGCAAGAGGGATGGGTAATGCTACTCCATAGCTCAGGGCTCTCTTTGGAAGTCACTGACATGACTCTTTCTTGCTTTCCTGGCTCTCACTCTACAGACTTCCATCATGAGAGGCCAGCACTGCAGGGAAGCCCCTACTCATCTCCCAGCCCCAGGCTCCTTCCCTCTCACCTGTCCTGCAGGTGCACATATTGGCCTCTGGACAGCAACCCTATCATGGGCACTGATATGGTTTGGCTGTGTCTTCACCCAAATCTCATCTTGCATAGAGATTCCTATAATTCCCATGTCTCATGGGAGGGACTCGGTGGAAAGTAATTGAATCATGGGGGCAGGTTTTTCCCGTGTTGTTCTCGTGGTAGTGAATAAGTCTCACAAGATCTGATAGTTTTATAAAGGGCAGTTCCCTAGGCCAGGCGTGGTGGCTCACACCTGTAATCCCAGCACTTTGGGAGGCTGAGGGGGGCAGATTACCTGAGGTCAGGAGTTCAAGACCAGCCTGATCAACATGGAGAAACCCCATCTCTACTAAAAATACAAAATTAGCTGAGTGTGGTGGCACATGTCTGTAATCCCAGCTACTCGGGGGGCTGAGGCAGGAGAATTGCTTAAACCTGGGAGGCGGAGGTTGCAGTGAGCTGAGATCGTGTGGCTGCACTCCAGCCTGGGCAAAAGAGCGAAATTCCATCTCTAAATAAATAAATAAATAAAGGGCAGTTCCCCTGCACACACACAGTCTTGCCTACCACCATGTAAGACATGCCTTTGCTTCTCCTTCACCTTCTGCCATGATTGTGAGGCCTCCCAGCCATGTGGGACTGCGAGTCCATTAAACCTCTTTTTATTTATATATTACCCAGTCTTGGATATTTCTTCATAGCAGTATGAAAATGGACCGATACAAGCAGTCTGGGTGGCACTGAGCAAGGTTTTCCACGTCGGCTCCAGAGTCCTCACCTGCAGAATGGTGAGAGTGACGTATCTCACACTGGTTCATTTAAAACCACTTTTTTATACCTATCGAGTTGTTCCATTTGTTGAGAGGCAAACATTTGGTAATCTATGGAACATGCCAAGTACTTAATTTGTGCTTATTATGCAGTAGTTTCCTACCTTTTCTTTTTGCTATAAGCCCCGCTTTACAAACCAAATTCTTTGTTCCAAAGTCACCCCCCTTGGCTTCTTCCCCTGCATAGGAAAAAGCACACAGTTCTTTATTGATTGAACTCTACCAGCGAAGACATTCAGGGGGAAAAAGTCTTGTTGAAGTTGAAGCTGTGTTTACCCTCTGAGCAAATAATGTCATTTCTAGGACTTTATCTCAGAGACATACAACGAAGCAATACATGCATGGTTGACTGCTGTGGTATTGTTTCTAACAGGAAAAGAAAATTCATCAATGGGGAATAGAGAACTAAATAGCAACATATTAAACTGTCTGAGAATAGCTTTCTGGTGCTCAGTGTGGCCCCTGGCAAGAAATTGGCAATATTCCATAAATGTTGGATAAATACATCTATAAACATATAAAGTGCAATGTGGCCACTTCAAATAATAAGGTAGATCTAAATTAGCTGAAACTGGTGCCCAAGATGCTTAAGTGGAAAAGGCGAGTGGCAGAACAGTGTGTATATAATCTGTTCCTGTTTGATAGTTTCTCTCTTTATTTCTCCTGTGTCTGTGTCTAAATACTTTCAAACATGCTGAAAGGACCTGTATAGCTATAGAAGATACACGTCGGTGTTAATTTCTAGAGAACAATATGGAGGGACTTGTTCTGTAATTGGTCTTTTACATTCAGCAGTATGCATTAGACAAATTCACATGGAAATCAGCACAGCACTGCATCATTAGTCCTGATGATTGCTCAATATATCATTATAGAGAGTTTTCATTATTTGTGTTGATGTTTAGGTTATTGCCAATTTTTCATAATTATAAATAGTGCCAAGATGAACATTCTGCACATACATCTTTGTCTATATAGACTGTGTTACTAGGTGCTAGAAAAAAAATGAGAAGTTTTCATGTTTACATTTGACATTCTGTGTTTCTTGATTAATTTCAAAACCATGAAATGGCTCAGCCACTTATTAGCTGTGAGACTGTGGACCAGATAACCTCTGAAACTCAGTTTCCTTCTCTTAAAATAGGAATATTCATGCTGAGGGGTTGTCATGAGGATAAAATACGATTAATGAATGTAAATCGTTCAGCTCAAGAAGGCTCACAGTAAGCATACCAGGGACAAGAAGAACGAGGTGATGAGAGCAAGTCACGCTGTATCCCTCTGAGCCTTGAGGCTCAAAAAAGGGTAGGAGAGAGGTCAGATGTGCAGCGTGACCCAAGTGGCAAAGGTGGGACTGGAAAGGGAGCCAGAGTGCAGATGGCGGCCCCCTGCTCCTCCTGTCTTCTGCACAGACTTTCTCCTTCTCACTTCTAAAGAGACAGGCCCATGAGGATCATGGGGACGATGTCCTTGGGCAGTGGGGATGAATCTCTCACTCAGGGAACAGCAAGGCCAGGGCACCATGGCAGCCTGGATAGCAGGAACCGCATGACAGAGAGGCCACAGAAGCCTCATCATCACGGCATCAGGTCCGGGTGCTGTGGAGGCCTGAGGTTGCCAGTTGGTTGTGAGAAGGGCAGCTGATCCGTGATGTGTGTAGGTTACTCATAGGGATGCCAGAAATCCCAGAAGGAGGGAACACAGCCAAGGGCAGGAGTGGGCAGGGGGCTCAAGATCTGAGAGTCTTTTATTCATCTTGATGTATCCTTCTATCCTCTTTTTTTTTTTTTCTTTTTTTAAGACGGAGTCTCACTCTGTCGCCCAGGCTGGAGTGCAGTGGTGCAATCTCTGCTCACTGCAACCTCCACGTCCTGGGTTCACGCCGTTCTCCTGCCTCAGCCTCCTGAGTAGCTGGGACTACAGGTATCTGCCACCAGCCTGGCTATTTTTTTGTATTTTTAGTAGAGACAGGGTTTCAGCATGTTAGCCAGGGTGGTCTCAATCTCCTGACCTCATGATCTGCCTGCCTCAGCCTCCCAAAGTGCTGGGATTACAGGCATGAGCCACTGCGCCCGGCCCCTTCTATCCTCTTAAACATCTGGGCTGCACGTGTGCAAAGAAACTGACCCTAAGTGTGTCCAGGTGGCTTTGAGAAGTGCGAGTTAGTGGCAGTCCCTTTTGGTTCAGTTAAATTGAATGGGAAATAGGAAGAGACACTATTTTTTCTTCTTCAAGGCAGAAGGGAACTCTGAACTGCTTGAATTTTAGTTTTCAGCTTTCTGTCCCACAAGCTTTTTAGAAATCAAAGAATCTTAGAAGAAAAAGAGGATCTTTAAAACCTTCTTTCAGAATTAGCTGTGTGTGGTGGTGTGCGCCTGTAGTCCCAGCTACTCGGGAGGCTGAGATAGAAGAATTGCTTGAACCTGGGTGGCAGAAGTTGCCATGAGCTGAGATCATGCCACTGCACTCCAGCCTGGGTGACAGAGTGAGACTGTGTTTCCAACAAAGCAAAATGAAAACAAACAAACAAAAAATATATTGTAAGAAGTGATGATTACTGTAAAGGAAAGACAAACAGGGTAAGGAGATGGGGTGTGATGTGGGTGTTGGTGAAAAAGGTGGTCAGGGAAGGAGACCTAAACAAGGTGAAGGGGGAAGACACTGGAAGACAGAGCAGCAAGCGAGACTCTAGAGCCGGGAGAGATTGGTGTCTGGGAAGAACAGTGGTGCTGGAGCAAGTCGAGTGTGATGAGGTTGAGAAGGGGCCAGGGAACAAATCATCAGCGCCAGCTCTTAGGGATCTCACATTCAACTGGAGATTTTAGATGATGAAAAACATATTGTAAGAAGCCAGGTACACTGGCTCATGCCTGTAATCTCAGCACTCTGGGAGGCCGAGGCAGGCGGATCACTTGAAACCAGGAGTTCGAGACCAGCCTGGCCAACATGGTGAAACCCTGTCTCTACTAAAAATACAAAAATTTGCCAGGCGTGGTGGCAGGTGCCTGTAGTCTCAGCTCCTTAGAAGGCTTGAGATATGACTTTCTTTGAAAAAGGAAGACTTTGACTGGTTTCCACTAAGGGTGATGCAATTTGGTTTATATTTTAAAAGCATCCTTCTAATGGCTGGTGAGAGCATGGCCGGGGATCGAGTACGGGTGAGGGATTTCCATGACTTGATCACGATCATCCATTCCAAACTCTTCTCATGCCCCACCTCTGGAGGAAATTGAGGCATGGCTGCCCTTTATCCCATTAAGGCTATCTTGTCAGGTCCCTGGAGAAAAGCATTTTATTCAGGATGTGGTCATAGCTTCCTTTTCCCAGACATTATCTGAAGTCTCTGCTGCATCTACCTTTATGTGGGCCCTAACATGAAGATTGGTGGAGGCTGCTCCAGAGCCTGTGAAGGACGCCTTCCCCATGGCTGACCCCCTGTGAGCTGCTGCCTCTGACCCAGGCATGGAGCAAGGCCCTGGGCAGGTGAAGGCTGGACATGCACGAGATCAAGAACACCAGATAACTGATTATTTGCTCCAAACTGGAAGAGTCCGGATTTCAGACACAAAGAGGCATTGCAAATCCGACCTTATGTTTTGCTAGACATAGATGTATTTTCTTAAAAGAGAAGAGTGCAATTTTCTGGAAAGAAACAAATGGATTTGAACCAAAAATCTCATCTTTATGTGCAATTTTCTCTACTCTTGAAATGAAAAGAAAATGTAGCAGAGAGGAAGTTGGTATTATCAAGGAAAACACACTGAAATCATGGGCTTTCGAGGCTCTGAGGCTTAAACAAAATCCTCTGTATAAGATCCATTGTTTTAAAAGGTAATTACCTTTGTTGAAGCCCCCAGGGGCTGTCAAGACCACCAGGGGAATTGATAGCCATCTAAGCCAGGCTTAGTGTGAGTACCATGGGAACAAAACGTCTGAACCATCTCAGAACGGGGAAGTGTACAGGTGGTTTCCAGACAAGGCTTAGTTATAGAGTGATTCAGATACAGATTGGCTGGAATTTGTAAATTCGGCAAGTTTATATGAAAGCAATTTATGCTTACTTTGTGTGGTATTCATAATTCAAATAATTCATAATTTGATAGAATTTGTCAATTTGGATACAGTTCATTTGTACATTGTGGTTTCCGTTTCACTTCTTGCTATATTAGGGAGATTCATTCAGCTTATTTCTTGATTTTCCTTTCTATAAAACAAGGGGGAAGGATGATTTTATCTGATGTCTAAGAAACAACCCATGCATCCTAATGCATTCTGTAAGTTAGCTAAAAGTAATAACTTTCAAGTTCTTATGAAGCACCTGCTATGTACCTTGCAGTTTTGCTAGGTGTTCTGGGAGATGTATGCCTTCCCTCTTCTATATGGTTCATGAGTTTATTGGGCTATGCTATAGTCATAGATGATTAAGGACAGCAAGATACTACAGGCTGTCAACTGAATACACCATTGATTAAGTTCAATCACTCATTCATTCAGTTGTCCATTTATAGAGTAGTTATTTATAGACAGGTCTACCCTGTGCCCAACTACTTTGCAGGTACTGAGAATACAGTAATGAGGAAAAGAGCCACCTGCCATGTGAGGGGACAGATATTAAAGTAATAAGTGCACAAATAGATTGCATCATAATTGCCAATAAAGGCTAAAGAATAAAACAAAGCAGGCTGGGGGCTAAAGAGCAAATAGGGTGGTGGTGCTGTTTTATGGAGGATGGTGTTTGTGCAAGGCCCTGCAAAGAGGCTGGAAATTTGACCTGGAAGAAGGAAAGGCCCCAGTCTTCCATAACTCACAGCCTCACAGACACAAAGGACAGTGGTGGGCAGGGGGAAGGTTGACGGGGTGTTCAGATGTGGCCTTTTTGCCTCAGCAACAGGGCTGTGTTGATGCCATCCCAAATAAACAAGGTTTGTGGTTCAGTTTTCCCTTTTTACCTTTAAGTCTTGTGTGCAGTAGACATTCTGTCCCAGCCCCACTTCCAGTGTTAAAGCCCAGGTGGGGGTAGGGGATAGACCAAGAATCAGGAACGGAGTGAGGTTGGGCTGGGGCACCTGTCAAGAGTGGATGCAGCAAGAAAAGTCAAAGATGAGATGGTGTGTTTCCTACAAAGGCGGGGGTCAATGCATCTGTGATATCAGAGCTTCTCCGAATGGTCAAACGTCCTGAAGAGGGTGAAGGTGGTGGTGCAGGGGTGTTCTGGGCATGTGCTCTTGTTAGAGGGAAGGACTGAGCTGGGTGGAGACAGTGAGGGCAGTGGTTGGGGGGATGGAGGAGCCAGGCAAGGAGACCTTGGGGAAGACAAGCTGTGGCTTGGGGGACCCCATGCGGAGGCCCACATCCAGAGTCCCTGTTCTCCCCCAGGCCTGTGCGCCTGCTTGCAGAGGTGCAGGGCGGCAGCGTGGGGCTCCATGAAGGTGGCATCAAGCGGTGCCAGGGTCTCTCTTCTGCAGTCCGTGCCCCTCTGATCTGTCGCCTGCTCTTGGGCCTCTCTCTTCCCTTCTCTGCGTCCCGGGTTCCTCATTTGCAAAATGAAAGAAACTAAAGTATTTGCAAGGTCACCTCAAGAGTGGCCAAGCTTAGTTCTCTGAGAAGTGTCTATTAGGCTGGCGTTCTCACCCTTGGAAGCTGACTTAGTGCCCAGTTAGAACCACTGGGGCCCAAACATGGAACCTCTGGCTTCTGCTTCAACCACGGCGAGATACTTTCCTTCCTGTTCCCCCTTCTCTGAGAAACCTGTTAACGTATTAGGTTTGTCATAGAAACCTTTTCCTATGAAGTTGGGAATAGCTAAAAAGTGAGGCTCGGCCAAACCCTGGCAAGACCTAGATTTTACAGAAGACAACCTCTATCCAGCAAGCTTGATGAAAAGCAGAGCCCACTGTATAGAGAGGCTGGGTGCCGCAGTAAAGACAAGGGTTGTCTATGCCATTTGAATATTAATTTAATATATGGAAATGGTCTACAAGGGTATACTATAAGTCAAAATTATGATTTACTTTTTGGTGATGGGGTCCGGGTGGGATAATTGTTTCTTTTCTGTCTGAATTTTGTAATTTTTCTGCAATGAATACATATCACTTGTAGATATGCTAGTGAGTGAAAATAACTTTAGAAATTTCTAATGCCTGGAATTTGTATTATGGCTTAGAAGTGAATCTAATCACATTTTTTTATCCCTTGTGTCTTAGCACCTTTGGTGATTCCAGATAATCTGCAGCCCCACACCTCACTGTTTGAACCAAATGTTGTCTTTGTTTTTTAAAACATGAAAATAAACTCATGGGGAAATTGCACATATGTTCTTTATGTTTGTAATCATTTCACGTATATTTTTTCTTTTTCACTGACAAGATGACAAGAATCCAAAGAAGAGGTGAGTCATAATTTATTTTGGATGTGGGGCCCTAGTAAACAATTTATGTTGATCTCTGGGGTTGCAGCTCCTTCCCCCAGTAACAGGCTCTGTTATAAGCATTTCAAGCCAATTTGACCAATCACTTCCTGATTTTAAGCCTGTTCTGTTCTTTTAAAAATCAACAATTCTATTTTCTTTCTATTACTACATCTCCATTTCTCATTTTTGCAGGTCCCACATGAATTGACAAACTCATGGAATTTCTGGTTCCTAACTCTAGAAATATGTATACCCTTTTACTATGGAAATTTCCAAACATGAACAAAAGCAGAGCTAATAGGACAGTGTTCCCAATACCAAGCTTCAGTGATTATCATTACTCATTTTGTCCCATCGTCCCCCTGATTTTTTTTTGTGGGGGGCAGGTGTGGGGCTGTACTGAGAGGCCAATCCTAGACATTGTGTCCTTTCACCTGCGTGTTTCTCCAGTAGACAACCAGTCCATGGCATTTCAAAACTTAGATTTCTTATTAGATGCAGAGTCCTCCTCCTTTCCTTTACCCCCAGAGTAGGAGAGTGTGGTTCTCTGCTGGGGTCTGTCCCACAGACCCTGACCCAACAGCGGATGAATAACATACACTGACACAGATACTATGCTTGTCAGTCCAGCTGAGGGTCCAGGCCACTTACAGACTCCAAGGAGAGTACTGTAAAGAGTTGCAGCTGCTGCCCTGACTAGCTGGCCCTGCTGGCATTTATTCAGCACACATTAAATGACAAAGACTTTGAGTCAACACCATTAGAGGGTAATCAGCCTTCAACCTGGTCGCCCCCCAACCCCAACAGCGAGAGAGCCATCCTGCCCGTGAATGATCAAAGGTTAGTTTTAGGACCACCAGAGTAAACAATTTATTTAGATAAACTCCTCTACATTCCTATGTATCTACTCTAAGTTATTTACTCAAGGTAAGGATTAGGCTACTTTCAGCCATAACCCTATCCTGAGACTTCTGCAGAAACCTTCTGGCCTTCCAAGAAGATTTGTGTCTATATCCTATAACTTCACCTTAAAATTTTTCCCATCAGCCTGACTGAACTCCCACAGGTCTCCAGCAATTTGGCTTGGGAAGGAAGAACATGCCCCCCAACCCTCCACCACCGACCCCACGAACACCTCTTGTGTCCTTCTTCCCTGTGTGAATCCATGTGGACTGCAGGAGTGGGGCAGGAAAGAGGGAGGGGGAAAGTCAGGTGACTTCTTGCATGGTCACCCTTGACAAAGGCATCTTTTCTCTGCTGCTTGTCCCTGCTCCTTCTTGTTGGCACCGAGGGCCCTCTGTTCTCTCCTCATCATGGGCATCTGAATGCTGTCTCAACAGGGACAGTTACCAAATCTGTTTTCTATTGATGCTGTAACAAATCACAGACTCAGTGACTTAAGCCAATACATATGTAGTATTTTTCAGCTCTGGAGGTCAGAAGTCCTAAACAGGTGTCACTGGACTGAAATCAAGGTGTTGGCAGGGCTGCATTCTTTCCAGAGGTGTGAGGTGAGTGGCAATTTCATTTTTCCATCTTCTGGAAGGTACCTGTGGTCCCTTCCTTTAGCTTCACCGTCAGCCTTAGCATCTTCTGCCTCTCTCTGGCTGCTGCTTCTATTCTCACGTCTCCTTCTCTGACTTCCACCCTTCTGCCTCCTCTTTATGAAGTTGCCTGTGATTACACTGGGCCACCCAGATAATCCAGGATAATCTCCCCAACCGCAAGATCCTTAATCACTTCTCCACAGTCCCAGTGACCCTTTGAGGGTACCTGTATGTACAGGTTCTGGGAATTAGGGCATGGATAATTTTGGGAGGGACTTTATTCTTTCTAACATACCAAATGTTCCCAACAGGGCAGAGTTCCCCTATAGGGACCTCCCTCTGCAGAATGCCTGGATCATGGTAGTCTCTTTTCTGGTTTGGGTCACTCCATCCTCATGGGGTATGGCCTGGTAACATTCATTATTTGGGTCTCTGCTCTTCTTACCCTCCCCACCCTGAATCCAGACCCACACTGGGGTTCACTCAACAATGCTATCTCCCCCATCCCCAGATGGTAGTTTGTGACTTTCAAGAGGCCAGGTGGACCCTCCAGTCTCAGGCTGCCCCATGCCCCTCTCTACCTTCTGTCACACTGCAGCTCTCAACACCAGCTGAAATTAATCTTGTTCACATCTCTGCTTCCTTGCTTATTGTCTGTCCACCCAGATTTCCACATTTGAATATGAACACCTTGAAAGCTGGGTCCCTTTTCATCTGGTTCACAATTCTATTCCTTGCACCTGGAATAGTGCAGGCACATGGTAGCTGTTCAGTACTTATTGCTGTGGCCTGAATGCTCGTGTCCCCCAAGAATTCCTATGTTGAAACCTAATCCCCAATGTATTGGTATTAGAAGGTGGGACTTTGGAAGCTGATTCGGTCATGAAGGCTCTGTTCTCCTGAATGGGATTAGGACCTATAAAAGAGGTCCCAGAGAGCTAGCTAGCCCCTTCCACCACATGAGGATGCAGCAAGAAGGCATCTTTGAGCCAGAGAGCAGGCCCTGCACAGAAACCAAATCTGCTGGCACCTTGACCTTGGACTTTCCCAGCCTCCAGAAGTGAGGCAATGCATTTGTTCTTTAGAGGCCACCCAGTTGGTGGTATTTAAGACACTTATTATTTGTTGAATGAATGGATTTTACAAAGACTGATTTAATCTTGCCCCATAGTGTTTTAGGCTCTTTGATGGGTACATTAGTACAATGTTTATGTTTAAAAAGTCATCATCTGACCAGGCTCCCCAAGCAGATATTCTTCACTGGCAACTTATAGGTGAGTGAAACCCTAGGAAAAACAATTTCTAGAATGAAATTTCCCTGCAGAAATGGAGCCATGGGTTCTGAAAGCATCCTGAAGCTCTAGGAGACCTTTACTTAGTCCATTTCCGTCTCTCTCGATGGGAGCTGATAAGACAGGAGGCAGAGACAGGAAGCCTCTGGGGAGATAGTGACTAGAAGCTCTCACCTGGCTGGTAAGACCCAAACCAGACAATAAGGCTGCTGTGATGAACAGAGTTATTCCAGTGGGAGCTACAAGAGGAGCAGGGGTTGGATGAATCACTTTGATTGAGGCCAGGTGACCAATATACTTCATCCTGTCTTCCCAGCAACCTTGAAGAGCAGTTTTGCTGCAATACCCATTTTACAGAGGAAGAAATGAGGCTCAGGGGTCTAGGAAGTATCAGTGGCTCAGCAGGGCCATCAATTGACAAATTTGACCACATTTCCCTGTAAACAATAGAGCCATAGATTCTAAAAATGTCCCGAAGTTAGTGAACTCAATCTCTGACTTGAAGACATTTCAGAACCCATGGCTTTATGTTTGCAAGAAAATTTCGTTCTGAAAATTTCTGTTCCTTCGGTTTTCTGCACCTTTCCAAGCCCAAGTCAGCCTGACTCAGATACTCGCGCTTTTCTGAGTCTCTCATTGTCTCTTGTAAAGGAAGATATGGTGGCGCTCATTCCACAGAGCTTTGACTCTTGCTGGAAGGGAAGCCAAACAAAATTAACCAGAAGTCAAACAGTCAAACAGCAGCAGCAAGGATAAACAAAAAGCTTGGCCCACCTCATACCCCTACCCCTGATAAATCCCACAGAGGCACACATCCACACAGACATACACTGACTTGTGACTGACCACAGCCCATACATGGCTTTCCTTCTGCTTGTTTCCAGTAATCAAGTGTTTTTATTAATACTATTTTTTCTTGCTATTACTATTATTTTACAATAATTTTTTGAAGATTTACCTTGGCATCTGGGAGAAACAGAAAAAATGTACATTTGTCGGCATCTCCTTTTGCTTTAAAAATATATAAGTTATTTTTTTATTTTGCTTTAATTTTTAAGTTCTGGGATACATGTGCAGAATGTGCAGGTATGTTACATAGGTACACGTGTGCCATGGTGGTTTGCCGCATCTATCAACTCATCATCTAGGTTTTAAGCCCTGCACGCATTAGGTATTTGTCCTAATGCTCTCCCTCCCCTCACCCTCCACCCCCCAACAGGCCCTGGTGTGTGACGTACCCCTCCCTGTGTCCATGCGTTCTCATTGTTCAACTCCCACTTATGAGTAAGAACACGCAGTGTTTGGTTTTCTGTTCCTGTGTTAGTTTGCTGAGGATAATGGCTTCCAGCCTTATCCATGTCCCTGCAAAGGACATGAACTCAAGAAACATATAGTTTTTAAGTGTTTATGTGTACATGTGTGCACACACACACCGGCAAATGATTTTTCAACTGGGATCAGCCTGGAAGGAGGACGTGAGAGTTGTATGCCCTGGTAAGGAGGGGCATGTGGCTGTGCTCCTCTGCGTTGGTTCACAGGCACAGACAGACCCTGCTGGTGCCAGCGAGGTGCGCGCTTCCAGGCAGTGTCTCCCTAGAGGCCGCCTGTCTCTGCCTCCTGTCTTACCAGCTCTCATCAGGGAAGAGACTGAGATGAACAAAGTAAATGTCTCCCAGAATGTCAGGACATTTTCAGAACCCGTGGCTCCATTTTTGCATGGAAATTTGATTTTGCAAAGAGAGGAGTGAGTAGAGAGCACACAGACGGTGAATATCCCCCAGGCCTTCAAGGAGCATTTCTCTTTGGCAGGCGTCCAGTTATTCACTGGTGCAATGGGGAGAAGGAGAGGCTTGGTTTGGCTCTGGACCTTGGTATCTCTGTCTCCATGGGAACAGTGAGGTGCAGTGGCTTGTAGACTGTTGAGGGGACTTGAGCTCTGTCCTCAATGGGGCCTGGAGATGCACAGCCAGGACTGAGGGGTTGGGACCTGGAGAAGGGGAGAGACCTGAGGGCATCAAGCCTGCAGGAGCCTTTGGGATAGAAGCTGCCCTCCTGTGCCCTCCTGCTGCACCTGCCCTGGCCTCAGGGCACAAGGTCTGCAGAGAGGAGAGGTCTCCCGGGCACCCTGTCATAGATGCTGCTCAGACAGGGCCCAGACCATGCCCACACCCTCTGCAGGCCTTGCCAGCCTCCACATCTGTGCCCTGTTCCCCACTCTAGCTTCATCCCCAGCCATAGCCCTGACAACCTCAGGCCACGAGGTGTCCTCAGCTCAGCGCTCAGGTCCTGCTCTCTGCTCCAAAGGCCCCAGCCCTCTGTCCACTCCCAGTCATCCTCCAAGCCCTGACTCCTCCTTTGCAGTGGGGGCTTCCCACCACTTCATTAGTTTAGTGTCTCCTCAGAGAGGCCTTTCTTGGGCCTTGAATTTCAATTCCCCACTCCACCCCTTTCTGGGTTATTCTCTGTCTCAACTCGTTCTTCTTTATACAGAACACACATCCTACAGCTTGGAGTTAGTAGACGGGTGGGACTTCTTTGCTGCCTTGTTTTCCAGCCCATCTCCCCATCCTGATGCCGGCCTCCTGCCCAGGGCACCCCAGCACCTGACTCAGCCCTTGACACAGCTGCACAACAATGACCTGTGCAGTCCCTGAATAAGGACCAAGCATGTGTAATCACACCCTCCCTCATGTACCCCCACAGGTGACTCTGATAAGTTGGGCGCTCGTCTGTCTGCATCACAATGCCATGTGCCAGTGCCTGTCTTTCCAGCACACTGTACAGGCAGGACCTGGCACTGAGCCTGGCATGAGTCAGGAGCTCTGCAAACCCTTGTGGGATGAGTCGTCAATGAAGTGGCTGGAAGAAAGGCAGGAGAGAAGCAGCAGAGGCCAGATGGCGGAGAATTCTGTGTTCACAACAGGAGCCCACAACGTCTATTTGTGAATCTGTTAACATGCAGGAAGCAGTCAAAGAAAACAAACAAACAAACAAACAAACAAACAAAAAACCACTTATAATTTTAGGAGCCGGATTGCAAGTGGCATGGGCTGGGAGGGTCATTTCAATTAAGCCATTTCCTCATCTAATTTAAAATACTTCTAGAAGCTCCTTTTAAGGACTGAGGGTTGAGGACAAAAGTTCCCTGAGGCCATCCGCGTGTGTCCTATTGAAGGAAGTCCCTGCACTGCTGTGTGGCTCAGGAGGTGCTGTCATGGCTCTCTCTGACCCTTAATGTCCTTATCCAAAACTAAAGGTGTGGCATCTACCCTCCCCTGCCCCAGGCTACCTATAGGAAGAACCCCTGGCAGATAGCCAGTGCCCTGTACATGGGTCAGGGCAGCCTGTCTTCACTCTGCTGTGACAAACAGAGGCTGCAGAGGGGCTGGGATTGGGGTTCTGAGGCCCAGGTAAAGAATAGATACCTGCTACCCCCTTGTTTCCTAACCACCTCATGCTGGCCTCAAACTTTCCAGTGGCCTGAAAGGGAAAAGGTCATTTCACCCCATGCTATAAAAGGACCCAAACTACCACTTGACAGGGAGCTGTTACCCCTCTCCCCAGCTTCTTTGGGTCACCCAACTCCCCCGATAATGCACTCCCTCCCTTTCCTGCCCTGTTTCTTTCTCAGAGACCTGCTCATCTTCCTCCTCCCCACAGAGGCCCACCCCTGCCCCTGAGCGGTTTCAGGACCAGCCACCAGCCTTCTGCAGGGCTCAGTGGCTCTCTTCTCCCAGCCCCTTCCCACCTCCTCTGCTTTCTCCAGATCCTTCTGAGGATGGACTCAGCTTTGCTCTCTGGAGGGTGGTAGCTGCTGCTGTTGCTGCAGCTGCATTTCCTCTCAAGGGAAAGGTTTTCCTCTTTTTGCTTAAATGTGTATGTTTTGGTACCTGGTGCTCCTGCTCTGTGTCTCTGAATCCTTTTCCTGCATTTTAAACTACTTTCTGTGCTTAGTTATTAGGTTTCTAAGCTATTTCTCTCTATGCACCCTGTTTTAGGGAGTACTTACTAGAAATTCTCTTGAAAGGTGGAGTTTGCAAATTTGAAGGTGGTGGGGGATATTCCAGCAGGTGACTCCCCAGGTGGATGCCTGTCTCTGGGGCTGACAGCCTCCCCAGGATACTTCCTGCTAGGTAAGACCTCTGGGTTCTCTTTTTTGGAGAGATGGGCTGGGGCATCCGAAAGTGGTTTCACATGTTTGTTCTATTGCTGGGCTGTCTACACCCCAGAGCTGACCAGTATATGCGTGGCATAAAGTTCAGGGTAAAGTGGAAACTCGGTTAGTGGAAGTGCACCCAAGCATACTTAAAGAAGTGAACATTGCTTCCAAGTTTCCAGTAAGAAATTTGGAGTAAAATTTTAAGAGGCATGCCAAAAAGAAGAATGGACCCTCCTAGATTTAGGATTTATTTTCAATGCACTTTGCACACTTTGTCTAAGTTTGGAGCTCTCACCTAAAAGACCCTCCCAATGGTGTCTCAGCCACAGAGCTTTCTTGTACTGTTTCTGAATCATCATCACTGTGGTTGATCAGATTGTCTGGTGTTACAAGCCACAGGACACTTTCTCTGCCACTTTCTACTCATGCTGATACTTCAGGAGTGACCTCGAAGACTCTGTTTTTGCCAGTATCCTGGTACAGTGCTGCTTTGCCTGCCTCTACAGGATGGAATTCGATTTGGCCTCTGTCAAGATACTACCATCTCTATCTGAATCATATCAACCCCAAACCAACCTGACCATAGTTTTCCTTACATTGAACATTTCTATACCTGCAGAAATATAGAAAGCCAGACTTCCACCTGTTTGAATAGCCTGGCTTCTTGATCTGCTGATCTCTTCTAGTTTAATTGGAAGAGTTATATTGGGGAAATTTTAGACTGTAGAGCTTCCTATTTGTTGATGAACTTCTAAATGGTGTGTCCAGCCACAGACCAGTAGGATACAATCAAATGAGCATGAGCTTGAACTCTGTCCTTTGCTAGCTTGGAGACCTATGTTTACCTCTGTGAACCTCACTTTCTACATCTATGAAATAGAGGTAATGTAGCAAGTAGGGAAATTGAAAGAGAGTAGAGGGTACGTAAGTGGTCCTGCAGCAAATGTTTCCTTCATGATTCAAAAATCTGAGCGCTTCCACCAAAGAATATACACAGATGGCAAATAAGAGAAGGAAAAGATCCTTCACATTGTATGCCATTAAGGCATTGCAGATTAAAACATTGAGATGCCATTATACACTTGTTAGACTGGCTAAAATCCAAAATACGAAACGCTGGTGAGGGTATGGAGCAACGGGAATGCTCACTCAGTGTTGTGAATGTAAAATGGAATGGCCACTTTGGAAGATAGTTTGGCAGTTTCTTACAAAACAAAACATGCTTTTACCTACCCAACAGTCATGCTTCTTAGTATTTATCCAAATGAGTCGAAAACTTATGTCCACCTAAAAACCTGAACAAAAATGTTTATAGCAGCTTTACTTATAATTACGAAAACTTGGAAGTTACCAATATGTCATTCAGTAGATGAATAAACTGTGAAACATCCAGACAGTGGAATACTCAGCACTAAGAAGGAATTAACTATCAAGCCACAAAAAGACATGGAAGAACCATAGAAGTATATTACTAAATGAACGAAGCCAATCTGAAAAGGCTGCACACTGTGATTCTAACTATATGGCATTCTGGCGAAATAAAACTATAGACATAGTAAAAAAGATGAGTGGTTGGTTGGGGCTTGGAGGGAAGGAAAGGAGGGGGAAAAGGTACAAATAGGTGAAACACAGAATGTTTAGGGCAGTGAAAGTGTCCTGTACGATGCTATAAAGGTGGAATCATGTCATTATACATTTGCTCGAACCTGTAGAATATACAACATTGACTATGGACTTTGGGTGCTGTTGATGTATCAAGGTCTGTTCATTGATTGTAACACATATACCACTCTGGTGCAAGATATTGATGATGGTATTGAGGGGAGGGTGCATGTGGGAACTCCGCTTTCCTCTCAGTTTTGTTCTGAACCTAAAACAGCTCTAAAGAAATAAGCTCTATTCACTTAAAAACGAAACCAAAGCAAACAAACACATAAAAACTAGCTGTGCTTGTTCTAATCACTTGATACATGTTCAGTACTAGAAAGCTTATTTTTAAATAGGAAAAAATTTAACAGTATCAATTTAAGCCAAATTAAAGCATTTTCATTTAATCAGTAAGCAGGATTAATTTCCAGAAATTCCACCAGTAAGGAGGCGAGTTCCACAAACAATAAAGAAGAAAGCCAGTAATTATTTAGAGTGTAGAGAATCAGACAGCTGATCTGAATTACTCAGGTTTTAAAAATTACACTCCACTGAAATATCAGATGTTAAAATGTATTTATATAACTGAGTAAATTGATTGTTAGGGAATAGCGTTTCTTTAACCTTGGAACCAAATCTAAAATTTAAATGTCACTGTTTACTATTAGTAGCATAAGCTCAAAATCAAGCTAAAAATATAATATCCTAATTAAACGTATCATCTTGATAGCTTTTTGTAAAAGCTATGGATACACTTTCAACAACATATTTATGAAAGGATCTATTATGACCCCAGAATTCACGGTTAAAAAATAGTCACCTGCTGAATAGGTGACTATTCAGTTGCAGCACATCCATATAATAGAATATAACCTACTGAGAAAAATGGATGGAACTACTGACTCACAAACCCCGTGGATGAATTTCAAAATCATTATGTTGAACAACAGAAGCTGGACATAAAAGAACATATATTATATGACTCCATTTATACTCAACTAGGAGAACAAATCAAATTTGTAGTGACAGAAGGCAGATCAGTGTTTGCATGGGCTGGAAGGCATAGAGGGGTGGGGATTAACTGGTTAACTAGGTAGGGTCAGATGAAACTTCCACGGCTTGGTTGTGATGATGGTTACATGACTGTATCCATTTGTTTCAAGACTCTTCAAACTGTATACTTAAAATGGATATGTTTTATGTAAATCATTTCTCAATAAAGTTTATTTTAAAATAACAATTAAAAACTCTAGAATGAGAAATATCATTAGTGACCCCATCTCTTTTATTGAATGGTTACAGCATATCAGGGTTTCTCCCTTATTTTAAGGCTCTTTGAACCTTCAATTGTATTTAAAGTTTGGTGTCATTTTGGTAGTAATTTCTCCCCTGGTGATTGTACAAAGCTTTCATCAAAGAGTAGATACCTTCCCCAACTCCAAAATAAGAAATACTGGACTAAAAGCAAAGTGTTAATGACTTCACATGCTGTTAGAACATTTTCTAAATATACTGCCAATATTTAACATTCAGGATATTTCTTATGAAAACCAGATTTTCTGACTTATCTTGAAACATCAGATTTGCATACTGTGTTCTAATTTCTCAAAGCCAGTAGCCTGCTGGAGCTGAGAAGCTACCCTCACTGTAGTTGAGACCAAGTGCTCTCCATTATCAGCACTCTCCACTCTTCCCTATTGCATTGCACCAAGCCACTTCACTTGCTCCTATTACCAGCTTTGCCCCTTTAGGCAGCTGAGTCACACTTCTGGGTTAGATAATCTTGGTTATGACTTTCTGGTGAAGTCACTGCATCTGGTGGTGTAAGAGTGTAGAACAGCTTGGAAGAGGAGAGCCAAGATGTCCTGGGGAATATAAAGCCACTGCTTTTGAGGTGAGTTGGTGACAGCATAGGGAATAGAAAACTCAGGGCTCTTTGAATGTGGTTGTCACGGAATGAAGGGCTGCCATGTGAAATCCTTATTCTTAGTCTCGTCTTATGTGGGTTTCCTGAAGCTGAGCCTGCAGTGGGGACTTTTTTTTTACAAGTAACTACTTGATGGAATGCTCAGAGGAGAGACTTTGGGGCGTGAGGGTACAGAGTAGAGCAGGGATGAAGCTAAGGTGGTGTTTCAGCTGAAGTCCATCCTCACTGTGATCCTGTGGAGAGCTCTGAATTATAAATGGATCCTCAGAGCTGTCTCAGTTGTGGAAACGTGGCCAGGTATTTGAACTGCTACCTCAGTGAGTGACCGCACATGTGCCACTCACTCCCGTGGGGTGTGGGCCTGACCTCCCAGTTATTTCCAAAGCAAGCGACTTCTATCAACGAAGGCACTACTTAAGAAGGATGCAATCATTTCAGCAGCTGGGGAATAAGTGTATCAGCTCTACAAACAAGAGCTGCTCAGAGCAGTAACTTCCTCTATTTTCAGTCCCCAAGTAGAAGAATCAAGGCCAACGTCTGGAGTTTATTGGCAAATGGCTTCAGTTCGACAGGTAAGCTATTACAAGGAGAGCTGCACATAATTGAAGGGCTAACCTCATAAGGTGATGAGCATCCAATAACTGATGTCCAGAGAGAGGCTAGAGGACAGCTTGGAACTTGGAGAGCTCTTTGAGAGGATGATCCTCATCACGGAGACTGGACCAAGTGTCCGAAAGGAACTTTTAAAAAGTTCCTTCCAAATAAGAGGCACTTTGATTCTGCTACCTTCCCTACTCTAGTGCCTTCTTCTTCTTCCTTTAATCATAACAATGATGATGTGAACAGCAAAAACCGGCTGTGCCATTCCCATGGACCAGGCCCATAGCTTCATCTCATGGAAGCCTCATGACTGCTCTGTGAGCTAGAAATTGGTACTCACTTTTCAGATGACGTTACACTGTGAGCCTACCGAGGCCAGAGGCAGAACCCGCTTTGAATGACACCTGATTCTTTGCCCAGAAAAAGCTTATGCCTCAAAAAAACAAGCAATCAGAAGGTCTCACTAAAGAGCATAATGACATAACATGGTGCATAGTCATGAGGATTATCAAAGGTAAAAGAACAAAATGAAGATGACCAGATGAAGAAAACAAGAACAATAACAAACTAAAAACCAATGCAAAGCCAAAAGAAACATCTTAGTGAAGATGTTACTTGATAAAGAGCCAGAAGCCAGGGTAAGACTGTACCAAACAAGGGAAATCACAGGCAGCTATCTTGGGAGCTTGCAGAAGACAGGCCAGCCTCTGCCATGTCTGTTAGGGTGTGCTTCCTTGGCTGTAGACAAGATAACAGGGATATATTTTAACCCACTTTGCTACCCTCATTCCAGTTCTATCAGTTGACCCATAATGTCCTTCATAGCAATTTTCCCCTCCAGGATCCAGTCTAGGGGCAGGTATTGCATTTAGTTGTTAGTTCTCAATATCTCTTGATTTACTAGATTGAGTGATAACCTCATTGACTGCCCGTCTGCCTCTCCCCATGTGCTGATAGCCATCTCCATGGCTTTCTGTGGGTCAAAGTCCCTGACACTGCTTATTACAATTGTTTCTACCTTGCTTATGACAGTTGAGCCCTTCCATCTGGCCTGTGTTATTTAGGAATCCTATGATTTATTTTGAAGTGTAATAGCATTCTTACCATCATCCTGCCCTCAGAGGACAGCCAAAGACTCCTTGATGACATGAGTACCTCTTGGCAGGCCACATCTCACTATGCGGTTAAATGAATTGTCCTCCAGCTAGCAATTTTTCCATACCTGCATTGTATGTCCACTCCCACACACCTACTTCTCTGAGCCATTTCCAATGTCTGCCATGACTTTTAATACTTCAATAGTTTTTGGGGAACAGGTGTTTTTTGGTTACGTGGTGTATTAGTCCATTTTCACACTGCTGATAAAGACATACCTGAGACTGGGCAATTTACAAAAGAAGAGGTTTAATTGGACTCACAGTTCCATATGGCTGGGGAGGCCTCACAATCATGGCGGAAAGCAAGGAGGAGCAAATCACACCTTATGTGGATGGCGGCAGGCAAAGAGAGAGCTTGTGCAGAGAAACTTCCGTTTTTAAAACCACCAGATCTCGTGAGACTCATTCACTGTGATGAGAACATCACAGGAAAGACCCGCCCCCATAATTCAATCACCTCCTATCAGATTCCTCCTGCAACATGTTGGAATTGTGGGAGTTACAATCCAAGATGAGATTTGGGTGGGGACACAGCCAAACAATGTCACATCAATACGTTCTTTAGTGGTGATTTCAGGTTTGGTGCACCCGTCACCCAAGCAGTGTACACTGTACCCAAAGTGTAGTCTTATCCCTCATCCCCCTCTTCCAAAGTCCCCAAAGTCCATTATACGATTCTTATGCCTTTGTGTCCTCATAGCTTATCTCCCACCTAAAAGTGAGAACATACGATATTTGGTTTTTGATTCCTGAGTTACTTCACTTAGAATAATGGTCTCCAACTCCATCCAGGTTGTTGTAAATGCCATTATTTTGTTCCTTTTTGTGGCTGAATAGTATTCCATGGTATATGAATGCCGCGTTTTCCTTATCCACTTCTTGGTTGATGGGCATTGGGGTTGGTTCCATATTTTTGCAATTGCGAATTGTGCTGCTATAAACGTGTGTGTGCAAGTGTCTTTTTTGTATAATGACTTATTTTCCTATGGGTAGATACCCAGGAGTGGGATTGCTGGATCAAGTGATAGTTATACTTTCAATTCTTTAAGGAATCTCCGTAGTGGTTTTATAGTTTGCATTCCCATCAGCAGTGTAAGTGTTCTCTTTTCACCACATCCATGCCAACATCTATTATGCTTTGATTTTTAAATTATGGTCTGCCATGCCTTTTCTGCTTTACTGTGGACACCCATTTCTTCAAGGTTCCAAGAGCCATGCTGGCAATGTGGAGTCCCTGCCAGTGTGCTAAATGTTGCACTGTGAGTGCACTCATGCTTATCGGTTCTTCTCCAGGCTTCTGTTTCAGCCTCCTCGATTCAGCACCATCAGCATCCAGCTCCATGATGCTCTCCTGGTTCCTGCCAGTATGTGTCAGCAGATGCTGCAGTGGTTGTAGGGTACAGTCCCTCTCCACTCCTAGCAGATGCAGCAGTCTTGCAGTTGTGCTATGCTGTGGCTTAACCCTCGTTATCAGTCTGACAGCCCTGGGGGGAAGCGAGGTAAGTATTTTGCTGCATCGTCTTCAAGCCTTTAATAGGAAGAAGGGAACAAGTGTGGCAGCCCAAAGGTTTTGAGCAATTTTGAGATGCAAGATTTAAGTGTATTAACCAAGATTTTTGTATCCCATATCATGGTGTAGGCTCCCACTTCTTAATCCTGGCTGTGACATTGCTGTAGAAGACTTCCCAAGGTTGAGAATGTAAACTCCTCTAGAGCTCTCCTACTCTTACAATTAAGTCCTGTGCATGATCCTCAGCTTTCGTTCTCATGGCTGCAGGAGAAGAGAGTATCCACATAACTCTGTAAACCATTTCCAAAGGTTCTGGGAACTCCAATTTAAAGATGCCTCAATAAGCCAGTCTGCTTACACATCACATGGCCAACTGCTAAGTCAGGACATCCTCTAGAATCTGAAAGACCCCGTTTCCATGAGTGGTGTATTATTACGTTCATGTCACAGATACAGGAACTAAAGGTCAGAGCTGCAGTGCATATCATGTGGCTTTTGAGCATTTAAATAAGATCATTCCAAATTGAGATGTGCTTTAAGTATAAAATACATGCCAGATTTCAAAGCCTTGGAACAAAAACGTATGTAAAATAATTCATTAACATTTATATTGATTGCCTGTTCACATAATATATTAGACATATCGAGTTAAATAAAATATACTGCTAAAATTAATTTCACTTGCTTCTTTTTACTTTTTAAATGTAGCTTCTAGAATATTTAAAAATACATGTGACTCCCATTATATTTCTATTGGATGGTGCTGGTTTGAGAGAGCTGAAATAGGTTACCCGGGTGAGCATGACTGGTAAATTGTAAAGTCCAGACTGAACCTGGGTATATTAGCTTCCTAGGGCCGCTGCAAAAAAATGCTACAAACTGGGAGGCTTAGACACAAATGTATTGATTTACAGCTCTCAGGGCTAGGACTGGGGTCCAGCCTCAACTCCAGGCTAAGGTGTCGGCAAGGCTGGTGAGGGAGAAACTGATCCACCCTCTCACCCGTCTTGGTAGTTTCTTGCAATCTTTGTCATTCCTTGACTTGTAGAAGCATCATTCCAATCTCTGTTTCTACATAGTGTCTTCCCTCTGTCTCTTCACATCATCCTCCTCTGTGTATATCTGTCTCTATGCCCAAATTTCCCCTTTTTTATATTGACCCTGTCATGTTGAATTGGGGCTTACCCTAATGACCACATTTAAACTCAATTACCTCTTTAAAGATCTTATTCACAAGTCAGGTCATATTGTGCAGTACTGGGGGTTAGGACTTCCATGTATGCATTTTGGGGGATACAATTCGGGACAGGATACCATGTTTTTCTGACTCCAAGGCCCATGCTTTCTGATATAAAAGTAAAAATGAGGGAGTGATAAATTCTGAGAGGAGAGGAAGGGATGGGGTCAGAGAAGTGCTAAGCAAAACTGGCAGGATTGTCAAGGGCTGTGTGAGAGGTGCAGGAATTTCCTGGCAGACGGTGGAATCTGGGGAATGGCTCTGTTCATCTCTTCTTAGCATCCAGCCTTATACCTTCCCCAGGTTTACCCTTTCTTAGTCCATCAGGGCTGTTATAACCAAAAACCATAGACCAGTTGGTTTGTACACAGCAGGGATTTATGGATTGTAGTTCTGCAGGCAGGAAGTCCAAGATCAAGGCACTGGCAGATTTGGTCTCTGGTTCATAGTTGGTGGCTTCCAGCAGCCTCCTCACATGGTGGAGGGGATGAGCTAGCACTCTGGGGCCTTTTATAAGGGCACTAATCCCATTCTTGAGACCTCCACCCTCACGACCTAATCACCTCCCAAAAGCTCCTAACACCCAGCTCCTAACACCATCACCTTGGGGGGTTAGGTTTCAACATATGAATTTCTGGATCACATCAGCATTCAAGTCCATTGCACCTATCTTTTTGGGGCCTCTGTATTCCGTGTGAATTTAGAACCCCAGAATGCTTTGAAAATGCCCATCCCAACTCCGCTGCTGAGAAAGATTTATGGGCATTTCAAGCAAAATTAGCTGGTCATACTGAAACTCAAAGCAGAATATTTTTTTCTGAAATGAAATACCCTCATGATCACTCGCTTCCCCTCTTGAATGCTTCCCAATATAAATTCATTTCTATGCTCGTGGAATGACTGAGGGGCTGTTGGGTAGCTGCTATTTTGGGGTAAGACAGAGATGTACGAGGAAACCCTGGAAAACAGATGATGCTATCTTTACCCCGTTCAGACGCTGTTCATTACAGACACTCAGTGAATGATGAACGGGCTGCAAAGATGCCCGAGCCAGTTTAGTTCCCTTTGCTAATTTGGTTGTATTTTTCAGAATGGTGACAGATTTTGTGGGTCAAAAATCCTGTTTTTCTGTTGTGGCTGTTTATTTGAGTCCATCCATCCATTCATTTAGTACAGCTGCAGGTAGCCATGATAAGCAGTGGGTACTGGGGTGGGGCCATTGGAGAAAAGAATCAGGCTCGTCCTCAGGGACAACTCCTAGTGGCCTTTACTTCTAGGGGGACTGTTGATTAAATGAGGGATTTTGCTAGGGGAGCAGGTTATTCCTGGTGACAACATTTTCCCACTTTCCTGCTTCTCACACATCTTTATGAGCTCAGCTCAGCCATCCCTCTTCTAGGAACCGTTTCCTCATCTCCCTGGCCTGGGTTTGATCATCCTTCTCTTGGGATCCATTGCACCATGTGCTGCCTTCTAGCAGAGCACAGACTTTGTATATTTGATGATCACTCGGCCCGTCTGCCTCCATCACTGGGTTTCAAGCTCAGTGCAGTCAGTGTCTTGTACAGTATGCCCAGCACATGGCATGGGCCCATATTTACTGCATAAATGAATTTGTGAAAAAAAGAAAAGCACTGGAACTCCCAGTGCCACCACCTGCATGCACAGAGTAGCTCAGACTGATATTCTTCTTCTTCTTCTTCTTTTTTTTTTGAGACGGAGTCTCTGTCTCCCAGGCTGGAATGCAGTGGTGCGATCTCGGCTCACTGCAATCTCCGCCTCCTGGGTTCTCACCATTCTCCTGCCTCAGCCTCCCAAGTAGCTGGGACTACAGTCGCCTGCCACCGCGCCCGGCTAATTTTTTGTATTTTTAGTAGAGACGGGGTTTCACCGTTTTAGCCAGGATGGTCTCAATCTCCTGACCTCATGATCTGCCCGCCTTGGCCTCCCAAAGTGCTGGGATTACAGGCATGAACGACTGCGCCCGGCCAATATTCTTCTTCTTAATGTCCCATTATGACAATGACAATAAACCATCATATAATGTACTTTACTTTATAAAACATCCTCATTTTCATTATCTCATGTAACCCTCATGAACCTGTGAGGCTGGGGTTATTGATCACACTATGCAGGTGAAGAATTGAGGACTAGAGAGTAATAGAAGTAATAGAGATGGAACCCTTAGGTATGCTGGGAACTGGCTAAGCTCTTGGAGGACACCTCATTGAATTCCCCCAACAACCCTATGAGGTAGCTTAGGATTCCCTTTCACAGATGAGGGAGCAGAGGTGCAGGGCGTTTCCAAGACTTGCCAAGTTTTCACTGCTAGTACACGGCAGAGTTGGCGTTGCTTTCGTATACCCCTATTCTGGCTCACATATCAGCACATCAGACGGCTTGGAAAAAAGTGCACAGAACATTGCTCATGAGTGCTTAACAAATGTTCATTGAATTAAAGTGACTTGCCCAAAGTCACATAGAGCCAGCTTTGAATCCAACCTTTTTACCCCAATTCTGCAGCTCTTCCTGAGCAGAAAGCTTTGCCCACCCAAGCTGGGGAAGCTGGGCCCTCTCTCTCTTGGACACAGCACAGGAAATTTGCATCATAATAGTTCAGCTGGGCTGGGGCAGAGCTCAGAGCCTGGGTCTGTGACAGGCACAGCTCAGTGGTCTGGACGCAGACACATCGTGTTTTTATGTCACTACCAAATTCTGACCCTGAGCACCACCCATCACCCAGCAACACATCAGGGGTGCCCACGTGCAGTGGGAGCAGACAGACCCTCTGAATCAGACACAGCTTGAACTCTGCCCAGGCTGCCTTCACAGTGTGCTGAATCTCATCGTCTCTCTAAATTGCTTTCTGCTTATCACCCTTCCTTGTCCCAATTCCTGTACCATAAATGCTGGCTACCATGGCAATGGGCTAACTGCTAGAAGGAACCCTGGAGATGATTTTGATGTTTCTGGAGGACCAGAGCCAGATCTCTACCCCCAGAAGAAATCCAAGGTGTTCCCTGCACCAGCTTCTGTGCCCCTACCTGCCGTCAGGAGGAAATGGAATGCGGTGCTCATACTTGCTGGGCTGCAACCTGAGGGTGGAGGGAGGAGGGAGGCGGGAGGGGCAGGAGGGTGGCGGACTTGACAATAAATTCACATTTCCTGAGCACCTGGTTTGTATCAGAGTCTTTGCTGCATACTTCACGTACCATTGAAATATCCATGAGATATAGTTGTCTAGTCCTTATTTTTATTACAGCTCAGAAATAATTGTGTTGCTACATATTACCCCTATTCACTATCAGGCTTTTCTAAGTCATAGGTGATATGAGTACGCTGCCTTTTCTTAGATTGAATGTCATGTCAGTCTTTTATTTGGACACTATCCCCAGAAAATCTTGTTTCTTTCCTCACATGAGATCTTACTCCACCTACCCATAATTGTCTTCCCCAGTGAACCTCCCTCCAGAAACTCAGATTCACATAATCTAACCACATTCCCCTTCCAACTACCCCAGCTCCTGCCACTGTCCCTGTCCTGAGGGTGTGAAACATGACACGTGCTTTGTCTGAAGTGTGTTATGTTAGTTTTATCTGCATTCAAAATCCAGTTTTTGCCTTATTTCTTGGGCAAGTTTCCTCACTGCGTGGGGTCTAAGTGGTGCAATGACTAGTCCCTGGGGTTGCAGATAAAACAGAAATCAATGTGTCCATCACAGAAATTCTCCATCAATCATGGGGTGTCCCCGGTGTGGGGGGCACCTTCCATCACATGTGGCTTGGGAAGCAGGCAGGTCCAGGTGTGGGTCCCAGCCCTGGCTTTGCATTAGGTCCATTTTTTTGAGGAAGTTACATAACCTGAGTCACTGTGTCTTCTCCAAAATGCTGATAATAGTGCTTAACTCATAGAATAATTCATAAATGGAAGACTAAAGATAATTGTTCCCATCATCCCTAACCCCTGGCAACCAATAATCCATCTCTATAATTTTGTCAAGAATGCTAGGTAAATGGAATCATATTGTAGGAAATCTTTCAAGATTGGCTTTTTTTTTTCACTCCGCACAATCAATCCATGTTGCTGCATATATCAATAGTTTGCTCTTTCTCTGCTGAGTGGTTTTTCCATGGTATGGATGAAATACTGTTTAACCATTCAAATTTTAAAAGAGATTGGCTATTTCCAGCTTTTGGAGAATACAAATAAATCTGCTATGAACATTCATGTCCAGATTTTTGTGTGGACGTAGGTTTTCATTTCTCTGGGATAAATGCCCCAATGTACAATTGCTGGGTCATATGGTAAGCATATGTTTAGGTTCTCAAGAACCCGTAAAACTCTTTTCTGTAGTGGTTGTACTATCTTACAATCCCATCAGCAGTTTCTCTCTATCCTTTGCAGCATTTGGTATTGTCACTTTTTAAAAAGAGTTGTCTAACAAATGTGTAGTGATATCTCACCATGCTCTTAATTTCCATTTCCCTAATTGCTAATGATGTTGAAATTTTTCATGTGCTTATTTGCCATCTGTACATCCTCTTTGGTGAAATATTTCCTTGTGTCTGTTGCTTGTTTTCTAGTTGGATTGCTTGTTTGTTTTTCCAGTTGAGTTTTGAGTGTTTCTTGTATACTTTAGATATGAGTCTGTTGTGAGATACATGGTTTGCAAATATTTTTTTCCCAGCACGTAGTTTGTCTTTTCAGCCTTTTAACAGAGTCTTTGGCAAACGTTTTTGTTCCTTGAGACGGGGTCTTGCTCTGTCATCACCCAGGCTGGAGTGCAGTGGCACAATCACAGCTCACTGCAGCCTCAAAGCTCTAGGATCTAGCGATCCTCCCACCTCAGCCTCCCGAGTAGCTGGGACCACAGGTACATGCCACCATGCCTGGCTAATCTTTTAATTTTTAAACTTAATTTTTTCTTTGTTTTGGAGATACCAAGTTTCCCTCTGTTACCCAGCCTGGTTAGAGTAAAAGCTACTAATTTTGATAGTGCCCATGCATCAGTTTGTTCTTCTATGAATTTTTTTGGTCTCATGTCTGCAAATTCTTTACTAGGCCCCTACCAAGGGAGATGGCACCTCTATACTCTGAGCGTGGGACACATACATGCTCCCCACATGGTGTCTTCACTGACACCATGAGGGGGATCTTTACTGCCCAGTGGGGATGAAAGTCTTGGCTTCCTGCTTGGCCTCCTCTGATCCTGATAGGGAGCAGGGAGGGAGGAGGAGGATTGGGATGCTTCCCTATGTCCTGGCAAGAAAGGACTTAAGTTCTCCCCTTGGACTTCGCTGGTAGGGGTAGACATGAGGCCACAGTTTTTCCTGTGTTTTTTGGCTGGAATAGAGCAGTTTTCTGGCTTGCTAGGCTGCCTCTAGCCTGGTCATTAGGTTAGAGAGAATGGGCTTTTTCGTTGTTGTTGAGCTCTTTTTGTATATCTACTTATCGGCATTTCTGAGTTGCCAGTTTCTCCCGTATCTGGTCCAAGATTTTGGAGGCAAAATGAAAACCTGGGGACCTCACTGCCACATTCTTGCTTCGGTCATGAGGCTCCAGCCAGTTGTGTGCATGTGGATGTGGGAGAATGCTTTAAACAAAACATAACAAACCCAACATAACAAAACATAACAAAACCCAAATCCAATTTCATATATAACATTCAGGGTTTTTGGGTTTTCTTAGAGACAGGAAAAGGGAAAATTATGTTCATTCTATCTTCCCAGCAATGTAAGTTTATCTGAAATTTTGACGCAAAGTGCAATGTTTTGGAGAAAAACATTACTGTGAACAAAGTGTTCCTTTAGGCAGAGAAGATGACATGCAAGGTAGCTGCATCTGATGAAGAGCGGGGGCTTTGGTTTTCCATTCCCTGGGTTCAAATCATGGTGCCTCTACTGCTTGCTCTGTGTGTTTGGCCTGATTATTTCACTCAGTTAAACCACTAAGTATCATTCAACTATCAAATGGGGGGAATAGTGGCATTTTTCTCATAAGGTAGGACTGGGAACTAACTTAGATGATTTACAAAACAAACAAAAAATAAAATAAATAGTTCCATTTCCGGAAAAGCAATTACTGAGTGTGAGCTATGTTTGTTAAAAGAAAAAAAAAATACAGCACTGGATCCTAGGGTACTTGGAGGCTGAATAACCTTCCCAATTCTCTATTTCTCTGAATGGGCCAGAGTTTCTTCCATTCCTTCCTTTCTCCTCCCCTCCTGACCTTGCTTTCCCTCTTTCGTTCCTTGCTGTCTCTTCCCTCCCTTCCTCCCATTAACACAAATGGGCTGAGCTGTGTGTTGGGCTCTGGCGGTATCAATAAAGTGGAGCAGGGTCCCTGCCTCAAAGAGACCAGAGGCTGGAAGGGACGACAGAAACACAAACGAATCCTGGCAGTGTGTGTGCTAGGAGCTCTGACAGAGGCCTGGACCAGGTACCATCATGGCTCTGGCTCTTCAAGATGCAGATAAATGCCATGGAATTCAAGCCTCAGATGACTGCACTGGAGTTAGTCACATCTACTTACATGAAGGCATTCCAAATAAAGCCTCCCTGTAATGTTTATAGCCAAGCCCAGAAGCTTGAGGCACTAATCCCGCAGAAACAACCGAGGATATAGGAAGACAGAAGCATTCTTGGATAGGCAGAACTCAGCCAGCTGATGTACAGAGCTGCCATCCAGATGGGGAGTGGGATAATAGAGGCTGCGAGCTTGGATCCAGCAGATATTTGACAAACCCCAGCCAATTGTGTGCATGTGGATTTGGGAGAATGCTTTAAACAAAACATAACAAAACCCAAATCCAATGTGTTTTGCTAAGAACTGTGTTACACATTGGAACTTGGCAAACAGGGTGGATTCACACGTCAGGGCTCTCCTGACAGAGTCTGTGGTGGGAGGAATTTGTTGGGCTGTGGGACTGACTTGCTGGGAGGAAGGGGCATCTCCCTGCATGTGGCATAAGTATTTTACACACCTATAATATTGTATTATAAAGGCGTGTAAATGATCCTTGTTATTGTACATGCCTATATGAGACAGGCATGTAAAATAGCAAGGATTTATTTCCTATAGTTCTGTGTGTTGGCTGGCCTCTCTGCTGGTTTTTCCTGGGTTCACTCCTGTGGCTCTGGAGGAGTAACTGGGCTGGAGGGTCCACGATGTTTCACTCATATGTCACAAGTTGGTGCTGGCTGTTGACTGCACCCCTTGGTTCTCCTCCATGCGGCTGCTTATCTTCCAGTAGGCTGGACTGGCTTGATGACAAGGTGGTGTCAGGGCTGAATTCCAAGACAGCACAAGCAAAATCTGCAATGCCTCTCATGGCCTGGACCCTAAGAGTGGCATGGTGCTCCCTCCACTGCATCCTACTGGTCCAGGAAGGCAGCTCTAATCCACTGTGGGAGGAAACACACGAGTGTGGGAACTCTGGGAGGCATGATCATTGGGCTCCTGCATAAGAATTACTGTTTTTTACCCAACATTAGCACTTGTTTTCCCCGCTTCAGGGAAGTACAGAGATGTTTACTAATTTACACAGAAAACTGGATGAGGAACTCAGGTTAATATTTCTTCAAATTCAAGTTAGTATGCTTGAGCCTCAAAGTAAAAAGCACAGTCCTCACATTTATGTATATAACTTATACAATTTTCTAATGATAAAAAAGTGACATGATGATGAATTGTTCTTTGAGCCTCACAGGCTGTCTAGCTAGTGAAATCTATGTTATACTATGGACATCTCTCTGCATTAGTTTCCTTGGCTGCCACAAAGTACCACAAACCAGTGGCTTAAAAAACAGAAATTTAGAGTCTCGCTGGAGCCTGCATGCTTGAGACGAAGGTGGCAGCAAGGTTGCTTCCCTTGAGGCTGTGGGAGAACCAGTTCCACGCTCACTGTCCAGCTTCTGGTGTTGTGCAAGCTTTGGTGTTCCTTGGCATACAGAAGCATCACCCTCACCTCTGCCTTCACTCTGACATGGCATTCTCCTCATGTGCACGTCTGTGCTCAAATTTCCACTTCTTATAAGGATACCAGTTGTATTGGATTAGGGGCCCGCCATGTTATAGCGGGAGCTCAACTTCACTGAGGGTGTCTGCAGTGACCCTATTTCCAAATAAGGTCATTCTGAGGTACTGGGGGTTAAGGCTTCAGCGCATGAATTTTGGGGGATGCAATTTAATCTATAACACCCTCTTGTACATTCAAGGAGGCTTCATATCCAGTTTTACAAGAAAATTTAGAAAACTGGACCTTCACACTTTGATGCGTGTACACAGTGTTATGTACTTTTAAGGACGGTAGAGGCTGCCTTCTTCACGGAAGGGAGATGCTGGACTCCCAGAGGGATACGGGGGGTTTTCGAATCTCAAACAACCCCTGAAGTCAGCACAGGCACCAGAGGCCAGGATGCCTGATTGGCCTCTTTGAGGAACGTTTTTGCCACGTCACATTTTATTCTAACACACTCATACTTTGGTCCATTCCTGGGCCTCCAGGAAACCATTTTTAAAAACTCTAAAGAGTTCTTTGGCTATAAGGGCTTCCCAAACTCATGAACCCTTTGGAGGCTTAAAACACATTTTCTCTAAGATTATCCAGCCCCCACAATTGAGACCTGCCAGGCCCTCAGCCACAATTATCCTAAAAGCATTGAGAAGTTATTGTCCCCAAGACAAAAGGATATGTTTTCTTGTCGAGAAGAAAAACTTAATTATTTTTCAATGCGATAACTAAGTAAACACACTCAAAACACTCTAATTCTATTAATGATCAAATTTGCTAAAGGAAGCGTTTAGCTCTGCTTTACAGAATGTAGATGTTAACATGATTTGAACATGTTTACTTTCCACCTTCAACAACTAGATAAATGAATATATATGAGGGCAGGAGGGGAAAGGGGCATCCAGACAGTGCCTGGCAGTCACACTAAGCTGAGAACACAGAAAGGAGTTTGGGAGGTCAAGGGAAAAACATCAGCGGGCAGGATGCCAGAGGGAAGAGCGCTGCAATGGGACAACCTGAGGTCTGCATGGGGAGCCCTGTCATTCTGGCTGATTCTGATCTGGGCAGGCATTTGAGGCTCTGTACAAAGAGATCAGTGAAGGATCCCCTGGACATCAGAAGGGCAGACAATCCCTGGAACTCAGACAGGTCTGGGAATAGTTTATGTTTCCACCAGCCTATGTGGAAAGACACCTGGGGCATCTGGAAGAATCCTCTGAAGGGTAATGCTTTAGTAGTGCAGGTAAATTAGCTCTAGTCAAAAGGCTGCAATGGTCCTGCCCTTACATAGCTGAAATGCAAGCTTCAAAAGGATTGAACTGATCAATACCTTAACTCCATCCCAGAACAAAGCCAAACACTATTTAAAAGTATACCACAATACTCAGCACCAAAACAATGTCTAGATCTCAGAGAAACTCGCCAAGCAGGTAAAGAAGCAGGAAAATATAATCAAGACCGGGAGAAAAAAAAATCAATCTGTTTCAATAGAAACAGACAAAAGAATAACAGATGACAGAATGATCAGATAAGGCCGTTAAAACAGCTATTATAGATTGTGCCACATATTAAGGAGGACAGAATAACATGGATAAGGAGACAAGTAGAAGATATACTAAAAATGTCTTTACAAAGTGAAGAGTTGAAAACTATTGTGTCTGAAATGAAAAACATGGGTTGGAATTTACAACAGAATCGACATTGAAGAAACAACCAGTGAGCTTGAACGCACGATAGCAGCAACTATTCCAAGTGAGGCACAGGGAGGGAAAAGCAAGAAGCAAGTGAACAGAGGATCAAGAGCCTTTTCATAATAGGAATTTGTTTCATAAAAATGCAATTCGAGTTATTACAAGCAGCTAGAAAAAGTATTTGAAAAAAATAATGGCTGCAATTTTCCAAATTGAAGAAAAGCATAAACCCAGAGAAAGAGGGTTCACAAACTCCAAAGCAAGAGAAGAAAAAATGAGACATATCACTCAAATTGCTGAAAATTCAGTGATCAAGTGAAAATCTTAAAGCAACCAAATTTGCTAGAAAAGGGCTTCTTACACATTACATACAAAGAGATAACAAAACATTTTTAACCATAAATTAAGCAGATGAGAAGACAATAGAGTGATGTCTTAAAATGCAAAACAAAATTTAAAAAATTAACCTAGCCTTGTATAACTAGCAGAAATATCTTTCAGAAGTAAAATAAAAATTTTCAGACATTCACCAGCAAATCTGCATTATGATAATTGCTGATATGTTTCAGGCAGGAGGAAAATGATACCAAATGAACTCTGGATCTACACAGAGAAATGAAAGAATAAGTGGTACTTATGTGACAAAACATACTATCTCATTTTTAAACACTTTTGAAAGATAATTGCATGTTTAAAGAAAAAGTAATCTTAATTATGGGATTTAAAACAAATGTAGAGGTTAAATGTACAAAAACCATAGCATAAAAGCCAGGAAAGGAATATGGAGGTATACTGTCAGGTAGTTTTAAGGTTCTATGTAATAGAGATATAATATTATTCAAAAACCTGAATGCCTACTTACAAAAAACAAAACCAAGAGGTAGAGCTAAGTCATTAGAGATAAAATGAAATAAAAAATTTTAAGAAGATAGAACAAACAGAAAATAAACAGCAAGATGACAGATTTTAACTTTCCACCAGGCCATGTGGAAAGTATTGATCAATACTGTGATTAGTACTGTGATCAATGCTGTGAATACATAGTGATGAACAACAGATCAGAGTGAGCTTTGTATGGTGGATGGAGGTGCTCCCTATTGTCACCCATTATTGGTGGATTGTATTAGTGGCTTCATGACTGTGTGTATTTGTCACATCTCAAACTACAATTACAATTAGTGAATTCTATATAATGCAAACTGTAACTCAGTAAAGCTGTTAATTAAACAAAACAGCAGGGTACAGAGGGAAGGGAAGAAGAGTGGAATGGACCTGAGACCAACTTGGAAAGTCCATCCACACATGCATGCAAGGGTGCACGTGGAAGTAGCTTTGTTGCTTTTCCTTTTTTGACGTTAATAATTTATTTGCACAGTATATTTAGAAAATGCCAGAAAGCACAAAGGAAAACATTTTTTTTACAATCCTTCCTTTCTACATATTAGCACTATTTTCTCCTGCATATTCATCCAAGCATAATCATACATGCTCACAAAGATACATAAATATATTTTCTTTTTTTTTTCTTTTCTGAGACAGAGTCTTGCTCTGTGGCACAGGCTGGAGTGCAGTGGCACGATCTTAGCTCACTACAACCTCCACCTCCAAGGTTCAAGTGATTCTCTGGCCTTAGCCTCCTGGGTAGCTGAGACGACTATGTCTGGTGAATTTTTGTATTTTTAGTAGAGACGGGGTTTCACCATGTTGGCCAGGCTAGTCTTGAACTCCTGACCTCAGGTGATCCACCCACCTCAGCCTCCCAAAGTGCTGAGATTACAGATGTGAGCCACTGCACCTGGCCACAAATATATTTTCTTAATAAAAGATGGTCATATTATACACAAGATTTTTTTTTTTTTTTTGAGACGGAGTCTCGCTCTGTCGCCCAGGCCGGACTGCGGACTGCAGTGGCGCAATCTCGGCTCACTGCAAGCTCCGCTTCCCGGGTTCACGCCATTCTCCTGCCTCAGCCTCCCCAGTAGCTGGGACTACAGGCGCCCGCCACCGTGCCCGGCTAATTTTTTGTATTTTTAGTAGAGACGGGGTTTCACCTTGTTAGCCAGGATGGTCTCGATCTCCTGACCTCATGATCCACCCGCCTCGGCCTCCCAAAGTGCTGGGATTACAGGCGTGAGCCACCGCGCCCGGCCTATACACAAGATTTTTAATCTGCTTTCCAATCCACAATAATTTGAAAGTATCTCTCATGTTGGAAAATAGACATACATTCTTACAGCCATCATTTTAAAAGCTGACGGAATTCCACTGTATGAATGTGTGGGGGGAGGGGGGGTATATGTGTGCATGGTGTGTGTGCATGGTGTGGGTGTGGTATGTGTGGTATGAGTGAGTGGTGTGGGGTGCATGTGGCATATGTAGTGGGTTGGTTGTGGGGGTGCAGGGCGGGTGAAAGGGGGTGTGTAGTAACTTGTGAGAGGTGTCTTAAGGCTTTTCTGTTGCTGTCAAGGATATCATTATGCTCAAGATGCAGGGAAAGGCGGGACTGGGGCTTCTCTGTAACAACCCTTTGATGTGATGTCTCTGTGATGCTTCATGGCTTAAAACACACCTTCAAATATATAATTTGTAAAACAAGAGTGATAAGGCTCACCTCACAGGTTGCTGCCTGAGTACTAGAAATGTGGTCTCTAATGCTTCATAATGTAGCACTCTTTCTAATAGAAAAATTGGAAACCACTTATGTAGTCAGCCACTGGAAATGAGTCCAATAGCGTGTGCCATCCATAGAATGAAACACTGCAGTCATCCTAACAGCATTGTAGAAACGAGTCTACTGAGCTGGAAAAGTGATTGTGATAAATTAACTGGAGGAAACAGCAGTTTACACAAAGGTACATATGGTATATATATATATATATATATATATTTTACAAATAACCATATACAAATAGAAAATTATCTGAAAACATACATTTTTGTATTAGCAGTGATTGTTTCTGAGTAAGTAGGAACACTTTTTATGCTTGTAACAAGAAAAAGTCAATTTTATAACAGCAACACCAACATCAACATTATTCACAGTGCCTAATAGGTACTCAGTAAATGCTTATTATCCTTTGACATTTTCAGCATCTGAGTGCACGCTGTTATTTTCTCCATATGCCACAGGATGGTTGGGGAAGCCAAGGCTCCAAGGGTGCAAGGAATTGACCCAGTTCTCTGACCTCAAAATGCACATGCCTTGTAGCCTCGCTTGTCATTGCACATCCCATTTCACATTTGTCCTGACTGTCCCTTTTCCTTTAAGCTCTGCTAGTAAAATTTCACTACACCCTAGTCCTCATCTCAGACCCGTGTCTTCCAGCATGGCTAAAGAGGGCTTTGCGAAGGTCCAGCATGGTCCCAACTGCATCTCCAGGGATACGGGGCACTACAGGGACCACCCCACCACAGCCTTCAAGCTGGGCCACTTCAGCCTTCTGGGATGTTCCAAGAGCACCTTCCATGTTGGAGTTGCCTGGTAGCCACCGTGACCACCCCCAAGTGCGACTAAAAGGTTGGCGTGGGTGTGGGCCCTGAAGAAAGAGCCAATGAGACTGCCTCTGAGCCCAAATCTGCCCATGCCTTCCCATCTCAGCCTTCAACACCATTCACAAGGTCCAGGGCAAGCTGTGGCACTGTGCGAAAATAAGTAATTTGGTGGGGGAGAGGATGAAGTTCTCTCCAGGTCTGCATGACAAATCTCAGCAAAGAGTTGATGAAAACTCCTCCCTCTGTATGATATCTAGTCACTTACAAGCCAATTCACCCAGCATGGCCAACCTGAAGAGGAAATTGGGTAGATACATCATTGTACTCATTTCACATAGAGCTTCAGTGATTGCTTAAAAGACACAGAGCCAGCAGGTAGCCCAGGTGGGTTGGAACCCATACTTTCCAGGTTCAAGCAACACATACACCCAGTGAAGAAACAGCATGGTGCCTGCTATCAACAACTCTCTGCCTCTTTCCTCCAGCCCACCTTCCCTGGGAGGCAGCTTTAGGGGATGCAAACAAAGGGCTTCATGTGGAGATGCTCATTCTACCACTGATGGCAAATGGCTTAGCCTCTCAGAGCACAGCTATCTTCTTCAGTAAAGTGGGAATTGAACTCCTAGGATAGCCGAGATAGAGACGGTGAAGCACCTGTTCAAGTACCTGGCATGGCACATGCTAGGGGTGCAACATACATCAGTTCCTTTTCCCTACCAAGGAGGTTGGTGTTGCAAAGGTCTTTAAGTCTGGCAGGGACTGAGAGTAAAACCAGCTGCTACAGCCATTCCAACACCATGAGGACAGCTGGGAGGAGTGAAAGGAGCTCTGGCAACTCTACCATTTGCAGGAATCCAGTGAGACAGAGCTCTCACACTAGGCAGGCTGAACAGATGTGTTCCTTATGGGTACGCAGAAAGAACAAACAGAAGGCTGGGATTCAGGGCAAGCCAGCTGAGGAAAGCTGCTTAGGGTGGATAGAGTCTTTTACATATCCACCAGCTGAGGGGTTCAACAAGTGTCTGGGTTTACATTCCCTCGGCACCAGTGGGCTTGCTGAGCACAAGTGTTGTAGAACACCTTCTTCTTAAGAGAAACAAGGACCAACCCAGGGTGTTTCAGACACTTCTCCTTATCTCCGGATGTTGCATTCTTGGTACATGATGGGATTATTCTGAGAATTGCAAGCAGGAGAGAGGAAGAGCTAGGCAGACCAACACCATGTGGAGACCTGTCCTCCTCTAGGTCTGAAGACAAGCAAGACGATGGCTGAAAATAGCGTTAGAGTTCACAAAACCTGGGTCCAACATTCTCATGATGTCCAGAGCTGTGTTCCCATGAGACCACTTGAGTTTTTGCCTGGAGATGATCTACGGTCTCTACCCTTATTGGTGTAGACTTTGGTCCTAACAGGTGATAGCCCTGTGTCACTGATCAGGCAGCCTTACTTCTAGCAACCTGCTGGGGTCCATTCTGAAAATAGCCAATCCAGGGACAGGGAGGAGGAGGGGCTTGCCTCTGCATAGGGCCTCCCCCAGCTTCCATCTCGGCATGCCTCACTGGGGACAAATGAAGCATCCCTCCTGAAAGTTTGGGTATCTTGCTGTGTTTTCCACTCAGGAGACATCAGGGACCCTGCTCTGTGGGCTAGAAACTCTCTCAGCAGCATCCAAGACTGTTTTCTGCAGCAGGGTTGAGAGGTACACAGAGAACAATGCTTAGCACAGTGTGTATGTGTGGTGTGCATGTGGGGTGTGTGGCAGAAGTGGTTCTCAAGAGCAGCCTCAAAGGATGGAGTTTTAAAGTTGGGGTCCACACTGGCTGCCTGGTGATGAGGATCCTAGTCCAGGAGAAAGAGTAATTATAAGGACTATGGAATTGAGTAGCCAAGTGCCATCGAGATTTTGAAGAGAGCAAATAATAAACTGACTAATTTGGGGTGATGTGTGAAGATCAGAGGAGCTTCTCTGCTGCTCTTGATAACAAAATTGTTGGAAGAGATAGGGACTGTCTGGTGTCTGTCAACTGTATTGATGACATCACGGGATCATGCTTGATAACCAAGGAGTGACAAGTACTCGGGATGCTTTGGTAAGAGTCCCCACTTAGGGGCCTGCCTCACCAAGAAGGTTGTGAGAATGCCAGAACATCCTCCACAAAGTCAAGCACATTCCGTCAGGAGTGGTCAGAAAGCATGACCGCCTGTGTCGCTTGTTGCCGAGCACCAGCCCAGCCCCAAAGGGAAAAGAACAGGCTTCCCGGCTGAGATCCTGCTTTCTGCACCTCTCTCACCACCGTGTGTCTTTGTCCCCCTCGGGCTGTGGCCTGCCCCTGCCACTCCCTTCCCCCACTGGTTCTCAGCCAGCCTGGGGTGCCCCCAGCTGTAACAGGCGTCTTGCCTGAGCAGGGACTGGAGGGGACTGATTCCCACATTTGTTGGGGGCAGGGCTGGGAGGAATGAACAAGAATGGGTCAGAAAAGGTGACTGCGAGGCCCGGATGCCAAGGACACTTCATGTGTGAGGTTGGGGAGACAGGCAGGACCCCACATCTCAGAAGGGCTTTCCTGGGGACACAGATTGATCTAGCCCTATACATGAAGGGCCGGGGGCAGAACAGGGGGCAATTCAGGAAAGTTACAACAGGAGAAAATCTACCCATAACGTTGGATACACGGCCAGCCCTCCCACAGGAGGTGGTGAGCTCCCTGTTTTCAGAAGTGTTCAAGGGAGAGGTGAGGCAGAGCTTGTGCAGGGTGGGCATTGGGGGTCTTTCTGGCCCAGAGACTCCTGTGCTCAGTGAGTGGAGACCCCAACAACTCTGGAGGTGGTCAGCCAGGGGAGCCACCGTGTGGATCACAAGCTGTGTGAGAGGCCGAGAGCCAAGGGGTGACAACACCACCTTTGAAACCCTATGGTCAGCGTTTAAACTCCAGCTCTGCCATGGCCAGCTGTGTGACCTTGAGCAAGGTCCTCTCTGCACCTCTGTTTTATTGCATGTAGCAGGGCTAGTAATTGTATTTGCTTCAGAGTTGCTCTGAGATGAGATAATATATTTGAAATTTTTAGCCAAATTCCCCCACACATAGGAATTGTGAGTTATTATGTGACAAGCTCGGGCATTCTACACATCTTTGCACAACCCTCCACAGCAGGTAATATGCCCATTTTATAGCTGAGGAAACTGAGGACTAGAAAGGTACAGAGAGAACCCAGGTGCCTTGCTCTCCAGCCCTATGGTTCTCACTCCCTCCACCTTGCTCTGAGAAGGGAGGGACCACAGAATTGGGTGCACTTTGGAGGCAAAGCTGGGGCAGAAGAGTGGAATAAGGATGGACTCATGTGGGAACAGTGGGCCTGCTGTTCCCTGGAGCCCCACAGGGTCAGGTTTCCCATCTCTGACTGCAACCCCTATCCCACTCCCACAGGAAGGTGTCATTTCTGAGAGACAGCCAGACTTACGTGTGTATTAGTCTGTATTCACACTGCTGATAAGGACACCCGAGACTGGGAAGAAATAGAGGTTTAGTTGGAGTTACAGTTCCACGTGGCTGGGGAGGCCTCAGAATCATGGTGGGAGGCAAAAGTACTTCTTACATCATGGCGGCAATAGAAAATGAAGAAGCACAAGTGGAAAACCCCTGGTAAACCCATCAGATCTCGTGAGACTTATTCACTATCACGAGAATAGCATGGGAGAGACTGGCCCCCGTGATTCAGTTACCTCCCCCTGCGTCCCTCCCACATGTGGGAATTCTGGAAGACACAATTCAAGTTGAGATTTGGGTGGCAACACAGCCAAATCTCATTCTGCCCCTGGCCCCTCTGAATCTCATGTCCTCACATTTCAAAAACAATCATGCCTTCCCAACAGTCCTCCAAAGTCTTAACTCATTTCAGCATTAACCCAAAAGTCCACAGTCCAAAGTCTCATCTGAGACAAGGCAAGTCCCTTCTGCCTTATGAGCCTGTAAAATCAAAAGCAAGTTAGTTAATTCCTAGATACAATCGGGTACAGGCATTGGGAAAATACAGCTGTTCCAAATGGGAGAAATTGGTCAAAACAAAGGGGTTACAGGGCCCATACAAGTCTGAAATCCAGCAAGGCAGTCAAATCTTAAAGCTCCAAAATGATCTCCTTTGACTCCAGATCTCACTCACATCCAGGTCACACTGATGCGAGAGGTGGGTTCCCTGCTTTCACTGGCTGGCGTTGAGTGTCTGCAGCTTTTTCAGGCACACAGTGCAAGCTGTCATTAGATCTACCATTCTGGGGTCTGAAGGATGGTGGCCCTCTTCTCACAGCTCCACTAGACAGTGCCCCAGTACGGACTCTGTGTGGGGGCTCTGATCCTACATTTCACTTCTGCACTGCCCTAGCAGAAGTTCTCCATGAGAGCCCCACCCCTGCAGCAAATTTTTGCCTGGGCATCCAGGCGTTTCCATACATCTTATGAAATCTAGGCAGAGGGTCCCAAACCTCAATTCTTGACTTCCGTGCACCCACAGGCTCAACACCATGTGGAAGCTGCCAAGGCTTGGGGCTTCCACCGTCTGAAGCTACAGTCCGAGCTGTACATTGGCTCCTTTCAGCCATGGCTGGAATGGCTGGGACACAGGGCACCAAATCCCTAGGCTGCACACAGCACAGGGACCCCTGTGGCCTGGCCCATGAAACCACTTTTTCCTCCTGGGCCTCTGGGCCTGTGATGGGAGGAGCTGCTGTGAAGGTCTCTGACATGGCCTGGAGACATTTTCCCCAGGGTCTTGGGGATTAACATTAGGCTCCTTGCTACTTATGTAAATTTCTGTAGCCGGCTTGAATTTCTTCTTAAAAAATGGGTTTTTCTTTTCTACTGCATCATCAAGCTGCAAATTTTCCAAACTTTTATGCTCTGTTTCCCTTTTAGAATGGAATGCTTTTTAACAGTACCCAAGTCACCTCTTGAATGCTTTGCTGCTTAGAAATTTCTTCCACCAGATACCCTAAATCATCTTTCTCAAGTTCAAAGTTCCACAAATCTCTAGGGCAGGGGCAAAATGCTGCCAGTCTCTTTGCTAAAACTTAAGAGTCTTCTTTGCTCCAGTTCCCAACAAGTTCCTCATCTCCATCCAAGACCACCTCAGCCTGGACCTTATTGTTCATATCACTATCAGCATTTTGGGCAAAGCCATTCACAACAAGTCTCTAGGAGAAGTTCCAAACTCTCCCACATTTTCTTGTCTTCTTCTGAGCCCTCCAAACTGTTCCAACCTCTGCCTGTCACCCAGTTCCAAAGTTGCTTCCACATTTTTGGGTATCTTTTTAGCAATGCCCCACTCTGCTGGTACCGATTTACTGTGTTAGTCCATTTTCATGCTGCTGATAAAGGCATAACCAAAACTGGGAACAAAAAGAAGTTTAATTGGACTTACAGTTACACATGGCTGGGGAGGCCTCAAAATCATGGTGGGAGTTGAAAGGCACTTCTTACATGGCAGCGGCAAGAGAAAAAATGAGGAAAAAGCAAAAGCAGAAACCTCTGATAAACCTATCAGATCTCATGAGACATATTCACTATCATGAGAATAGCATGAGAAAGACCAGCCCCCATGATTCAGTTACCTCCCCCTGAGTCCCTCCCACAACACATGGTAATTCTGGGAGATACAATTGAGATTTGAATAGGAACACAGCCAAGCCATATCTGTGAATGAATCCTCTGTTGTGTCCCAGCTCTGCCTTGCACCTACTATTTAACCTTTCAGTCTCGGTTTGCTCATCTGTAAAATGAGGCAAGTTATACCCCGCCAGAAAGCTGTTGACAAACTAAAATCATCCAGCAAGCAGAAAGCGAACTTCAAGAGGGCAGCATTTTCTATCTTGTTTCTTCACTGCTCTCTTAGCAGTGAGGAGAATGTCTGCTTAGCAGATGTTCAATAAATATTTCATAAACAAAGGGACTTGATGAGGCATGGGCTGGCACGAGAGTGGATTCTCACTAAATGCCAGCTCATTAGCTCTCTGTCCATTCTTTAGTGAGACTAACAGCTCAATTGTCACATCATAACAGAACATAAATGTCTAATATTCCTGACAGGGCATCCCCTCTCATTCCTGTTGGCCACTGGTCTAGGACTGCTTATGGGTCCCACTATCCCTGGCTATCATCAGGCAGAGTCCCACAAATTATGCTTAGCAGAGAGATACTTCCTGGTGCCCCCAGAAGCTCCCTTGACTTTAGCTTCTCAGAAGAAATGGCTCCTCTCACCCTGTGTTGGTCTGGAGTTTTGCTGTGAGTCCTCCTGCACAGTGGCCTCCTGTGCCAGAAAGATGGGGCTTTGGGCATCAGACAAACATCAGCTTGAATTCTGAGGGCACCAGTTATGATACAGCTTACTGCTGGGAGAATCATGAAATCTCACTGAGCCTCAGTTTTCTCGTTTGAATCCTAGAGCTACTTAATGTTTCTGTACATTTGTTGGAGCTAATGCTCTAGAAAAACCTCCAGGATTTAGCAGGAATTCTGCAAGACCCTCTCTACCATCATCCTCCACAGTGAAAGTTTCCCCTAGTCTCTGGTGACACCTACTGGTGCCTGGCCCATGGGGAGGAGGAAGCCCAGAGACGTCTCAAATCACAGGGTATCCAGAACTGGAGCTTATAATACCCCACGTTACAGCCAGTGATGACAATCACACCACACTGAGATCGCCCCCTGCCAGGTTTCTCTGCTTCCACGCCTGTGCCCCACAAACCACTCTGCATTCAGCAGCTGGAAGAATCTCTGAAAGCATACATTGGATGCAAAAGACTGCCCTGCTGCAAGCCCACCCTCGGCTCCCTTACAACGAGGACACACGTCACCCTCCGTGCCTGGATGACAAGACCCTGTGTGACCAGGCCCTGGCAGTGTTCCTTCCTTTACCTCTTATCTCGTTCCCTTCCTTTTTGTTGTGATATCAGCAAGGCCCATGCTGGTGCTTCCACCTTGAATATTCTTGTCCTATGGCTCCTTTATGTCCTTAGCTGTCGGCTAAGGAAGGACACCCCTCCACAGACTTTCCTGACCCACCTACCTTGTGTGAAGCGCCCACCGCAGCCCACACCTCACAATACTCTGCTCAGTTCCTTAACAACAATGATCATTTAGACTATGTCTTCATTCCTTTCTTTAGTTTACATCCCCTAGAATGTGAGCCCCCAGAAGGCAGGGACCTGCCTTTCTCCCTCTGTACAGACACACACAGCATATAGGGGTTTGCAAACTTGTAGGCATGATGGACTTTCAAAAGACATTGCCTTCACTTAGCCTTTACAAAGGAAACCAGTGCAGGAAGCTCAGCATCTCCATCCACTGCAAGGCCCAGCAGCTCTGGAATATACAGTTTCCTTAGGCCTCTCATCCAGGCCATGTCTGCTGGTGATAGACAGGGACAAAGCTGTATGGGGGTCACCTGGGCAGAAAGAAGCTCCAGCCTTGATCTCTCAAATTTTTCCACCCTTCCAGTCACATCTGGCCTATGAAGGGCTGCTGCCAAACAGCCACCTCCAGCCCCGGTAAATTCCCCCTCAAGATCCCATGGTGCACAACAGTTCACGCGTATCTTCACTGTACTTTGAGGGGACAACTGAGAAAAGATGATGCTGTCAAGGTCATTCCCCCAGGCAGGCCAGGGTTGGCCCAGGCCCATCTCATTATCTTGTGGCCTGGTTTGTACTGATGTTCAGTGCTAGGGACTTAATTCAGTAAAAATTGGGGGTCCAATGAATGAATGAAGCTTGTGGTGCACGCACGGCATCATGGGGGAATTTCACAGATGTGGATTGATTCTCAAACGAAGCTGGATGGAAAGTATTTGTAGGTGAGTCGCTTGGCAAACAAGAAAAGAACTCTGGGCTTTAACCTAGGGCTGGCGGACTCAACCTCCTTCCTGACTGCGTGGGGAGAAGCCTATTCTGCTCAGTTGTGCCTTGGTTCCTTCTGGGCCCCAGTGAGCAGGTGTGCGCCTCTGCACCAGGTGAGGACAGACAGTGCTGCCAGGGTATGCTAAGCTCAGGCAGGCCCAGGGCTTAATTTCTTCCTCTGGACTCACCACTCATCACATATCTTGCTAGACATTTGCTTCTTCAGATAAAGACACAGAGACAGAGGAACCCTGGGGGCCCTGTATGGACAGCTGTCAGCAGATTAAGGGTATTTTTTTCCACCCCCGGGGATACTCTCCCTGTTCTATCAGGCTGCCTCTGAAACTTTTATGAAAATCCTGTCATGCTCAGATTATACTGGGAACCGTGGACACACACACACACCCTCCTTCCAGCCTAAAGGACTGGAGGTAGGATTTGCCGTGGCTTTGACAGTATGAGAGTCTGAGGTCACTGCGGAGTGGCCCAAAAGTCGGTAGCACCTTGATCTTGAATGTGAAGGTGTACAAGCGCTTCCAAACATGCCAGAGGTGGCCACAGAGCACCAGGATCCTTCGCATTTTCATTATGTTTATTAAGCACCCGACATGTGCCAGGCGCTGTCCTTGGTGCTGGGTTACATCTGACAAAGCCAATGTAGGGATGCAGATCCTCGTCCTTGAGATGCGTTTCTGGCGTGGCCAAGGCAGTGTTTCCCTGACATCACCAAAGTGGTGCCCTCATTTGTCTGTGCCCCAGCCTGGTGAGGCAGGCACTAAAGTGAATTCTAAGTCTGTAAAATACAGGCGAAAGGGTGTCCTGCCAGATTGCTGCGAGGTTTATATACCCTGCTACAGGTACCGTGCCTGTACAGGGTTCCTGGCATGGTGTAGCTGACTAGCAACTGGAGGCCGATTGCCAGGCTTTGTTCTTGGGATTTCCAGCTCAGACTGCATGAAGGACCAGGATGGAGGCTTTTACTGCTCCAGGGAGCTCCTTAGAGACTGTGGGGTAAGGCCATGCCCCTGCCCCTTAAAACTGTTCTACATTTAAGATTTTGGAAAGATTGAAGAATGCCTTTCTCTCCCCTGAAAACACCAGCTCCCCCCTGCCTACCCCTTAAAAGATGTGTGAATTGGGCACCATCATCTGTATAGGAAGAGCTCTACATCGTGAATCAGAGGGCCTAGTTTTGTTCCTAGTGCTGCTCTGTACAGGGGCTGTGATACAGTTCGGATCTGTGTCCCCATCAAAATCTCCTATTGAGTTGCAATCCCCAGCGTTGGAAGCGGGGCCTGGCAGGCGGTGACTGGGTCACTGGGGCGGATCCCTCACGAATGGCTTAGCACCGTCCCCTCGGTGCTGTTGTCACGATAGTGACTGAGTCCTTGGTGAGGTCTGGTTAAAAGCGCGTGGCACCTCCTTCCCCTCTCTTCCTCCTGCCTTCACCATGTGACATGCCTGTTCCCACTTTGCCTTCTACCATGATTGGAAGCTTCCTGAGGCCTCCCCAGAAGCAGAGGCCTATGTTATCATCTTTGACAGCCGCAGGACTGTGAGTCAATTAAACCTCTTTTCTTTTTTGAGACAGAGTCACACTCAGTCGCCCAGGCTGGAGTGCAGTGGTGCAGTCTCAGCTCACTGCAACCTCTGCCTCCCGGGTGCAAGCAATTCTCTGCCTTAGCCTCCTGAGTACATGGGATTACAGGCACTCATCACCACACCCAGCTAATTTTGCATTTTTAGTAGAGACGAGGTTTCACTCCTGGCCAGGCTGGTCTTGAACTCCTGACCTTGTGATCTATCCGCTTCGGCTTCCCAAAGTGCTGGGATTACAGGCGTGAGACACTGTGTCTGGCCTTCTTTTCTTTGTAAATTACCCCATCTCATATTTCTTTGTAGTAATGTGAGAACAGAGTAACAGGCTGTGACTGTGGGCAGGTCATTTCCATTTTCTGGGGACCAATTTCTTCATCCAAAAACCTTTAATGACTTCAGCTCTGTCTCTGGTATGTGAGGATGAAATGAGATACCCAGGCAGGTGTTCAGTGTCGGTGCAGCTAGATGACCTTTAGGTGGGTGCTCGCCGGGAAGCAGCTTGCTGCTGCGTTGGGAATATGAGAGCCAGCACTCAAGTCAGGACTGTGGTTCTAATCCTGCCTCTGCCACTTCTGCTGTGTAATATTGGGTAAGTTACTTAACCGATCTGGGCCTCCGCTTTAATACCTGTAAAAAAATGCTAAGCTCACAGGGTTGCTGTGCAAATCAACTGAGACCAAAGAGACTAGAACACCTTAACTCAGAGGCTGTAACATACTCCTTGGTGCTTTAAAATATAAGTTCCCTTCTCCTTTTGTCTGTCTTTGAGGCTGTATGGGGCTTTTTTTTCCATCTAGGGAAGTGTTCTGCAACTCCTTTCTCTTCCTTCCTGTTTCTGATACACATCAATGGGCTTTTGAGAAGCCCAGGTCCCTTAGTGATCATCTGTCTTGACATTCTCCCTATTGTCTGGGTAGGGACTCCAGCCACTGCCCACTGGCCACAAAAGCATTCTTCCTGGAGCCTGTGCATCTGCAGCTGTTCATGCACGGGAGAAGGTAGAGTTGCTGTACCCAGAACATGCCTCTGAGGAACACCCAACAGTCAGCTCTGGCAGGGCCCAGTCCTGGGGTCTCCACAGGGATCCCCCCAGCCCCCAGCTTGGCCTTAACTTCCTTCCATCTCCACTATCCTGATGGTTCTGCCATATCTTTGGGAGGTAGGAGGGGTAATGAGTTCAGCTGCAGGTTCTCTTCCTTTCTATTCCAGCTCGAGGAGGTGTGGGGTCTGTAAAAACCCCTCCCAGAGTGAGTGCTCTGATACCTACTGTGGAGAAAATTCTGAGCCAAGACATGGTCTCTCCTTCTTCTAAGAAGAAAGAATCAGAATGTGCCTATCACAAACCAAGCACTGTCAGCTCATAAATGTACTTTATGTTGTTTAATTTTCTGACAATTCAGCAAATTGTAGCTATTATCTCCATTTTTTGGGCACTTATGTGCTCAAACTGTACAAGTGTTAGACTTGCATAAGAAATCATACAAGTAATTTATGCCCATGAACAATTTTTGTTTGAGCAAACGAGAATACAGATACACCAAAACCAGATAAAAATGCCACCACTGTCAACATTTTCAAGTACATTCTTTTCTTTTAGATTTTAGAAGTATGATTTCCCTTTATGCAGAGTAATGTGGTGATTAAGGATGCAACTTCTGGAAGAACATTCCAAGTCTGAATGCTGTTTCAATCACTCACTAGCTGTTGACCTCGAGCAAGTCACCTAATCTCTCAGCCTTCATTTTCTTACCTCATAACAGTAGCTTTAGAATGCCTACAACATAGGGATGCTGTGAGGGTTACAGGAGATGAAAAATGATGGCCAAGGAGATTGATAATGCAATGCTGGTTCGTGAGAGCTCCTTAGAAACCAGCACGTGTATGTATTGTTTGAGCAATCATTAAGTGCCAGATGTCCTGCTAAGGACTGTGATGCAGTGAAGAAGAGAGAGAGAAAAAGAGAGAGAGAGAGAGAGAGAGAGAGTGTGTGTGTGTGTGTGTGTGTGTGTGTGTGTGTGATTGTTTTAGACCTGCATCTTACCATTCACTCTATATGTCATTCTGCATGCATTTGTGGGTGACAGAACTTTGGGGCCAGGGAACCTGAGCCTGGAGAAAAGATGGCTCCTTCCACTCCTGTCTTAATGACTTTCATGAGCAAAATGGTGTAGACCTGCCCTCCTTTCCCCTGTGCTATGGTTTAGATATGGTTTGTTTGGCCCCTACCAGATGTCATGTTGAAATCTGATCCCCAGTGTTGAAGGTGGGGCCAGGTGGGAAGTGCTTGGGTCATGGGGATGGATCCTTCATGAATGGCTGGGTGCTGTCCTTGGTTAATGAGTGAGTTCTTGCTCTATTAGTCCCCGTGAGAGCTGATTATTAAGAAGAGCCAGGCACCTCCCTCCCCTCTCTCACCATGTGATTTCTGAACATGCTGGCTCAGCTCCCATTGACCTTCTGTCATGAGTGAAAGCAACTCTCAAGCAGATACTGGCTCCATGCTTCTTGTACAGCCTGTAGAACCGTAAGCCAAATACATCTCTGTTCTTTATAAATTTCCCAACCTCAAGTATTTCTTTGTAGCAATGCACACAGACTAAAACACCACAAATGGCTGGATGCTGCAGAGGGCAGGCCCTCAAGTGCTTGTCCTTCACTGAGTTCCAGTTCTCAGCTTGGTTCCAGGTGCTTAGCAGGCATACAATAAATGTTTGCTTAATGAAGAAATGAACAATTGAATAAATTAGCAAAGGAATTCTGAGAATAGTATTAGATTTAAAAACTTAAAGGAGTTGGAAAACAAGCTCAGGTTCTCAAAGATCCTCACACACAGAGATGTTTAATGGCGAAACAGAAGGCAGAGCGGCATGTGCTCAATGCCACCCACTATGTGGCTGCTCTGAGAGCTTGGGAGTGCATCAGCCTCATGGAGCCACCTCCTGCCATCCACTCTATAGTGAGGCTGTCATGAAATCTTCTCTGGCCCTCAGTCTCTTATGCCATTGTGATCATTATCACTTCTGATTCTCCTACCAATCCCAGTGTTGGCTGGCTGGCCTCAGAGCAGCGGAGGAACTGGACCTTGTGTCTGCTGGGCATCTGCTTCAGCTCTTCCCTCCTCTGCCTCTTCCCCTTCCCACTTGGATGCCATTCATCTTGTCTGTGGTTAGCTGCACTCAGCAGTGGCTGCTGTGATGTGATGGATGAGCCAGGATTGCTTCCTGTCTGGTACCTGGCAGGGCTGTTCCAGCATCCTTCCCTTGTTTCTATGGGTCTTGCTGATCCCCTACTTAGGTCCTGCTATCTCAACTCCTAGGTTTCAAATGCATCTGAATTTTAACATGTGACTGTCTCTTTGGAAGGATTTATTTACAACCCAGCTCTTCCAACTACTAAAGCTCTGAGCACTGGTTTACTCATAGTGCAGTGAGATAAGAAATCTACACCCCCAAGATGCTGCTCTCTGGAAAGTGCCCATCAGTGCCCAGAGGGCATTCTCTCTGCCTTTATACCCTCCTCTGCTGTCTGACTCTTGGAGGAACAGCCAGGCAACTCAGGCATAGGGATACAGGAAGAGCAGAGATGGGGAATGGCTGTGTGCTCTGTAGAAAGCACTGAGGGTAACTGTAGGTGACGGTCCTCAAAGACATCCTGTGCAAATCTGTGCTTCCCTCTCCTCCCACCTTCACAACTCACATGTTCCCATCTTGCCACGGAGGAAAATGAGCCCCAGTTAGTTAAAAGGGCTTACCACAGGCCACACAGTTGATATTGGATGCTGCAGAATAGCTGTACCTCACAGATACAAAGTTTTTCTCAGAGGAGCAGCCATGAGCAACAGGCATCCAGCGTCTGCTTGATTGCTTCCAGGAATAGGGAGCTCACTCCTGTGTGAAGGCATCTTTTTCACCTCCAGGATTCTAGGAGGGCTTTAGTCACCCAAGATCTGAGGGAAATGCAAGTAACTAGATAAAAAAAAAAATAGATCCCTAGAAAAAGATACTTCCCAGTGGTCAGGCTTATAGTAAGCCATTTATCCCTCATATTATTCAGTGGAGAAAACCAATCCACCAGTAGCTAATTAGATACAATCTTGAGGCCTGCTAACTCTCTCCTCTCAGTAAGAACACTATTTCTCTGATTGCTCCTAAGTGATTGCCAGCTGGATCCAAGGCTCATGGTGACAACAGTGCTCTAGTCAGTTGCTGCTTTACTAGAGAATGAAGCATTTCTCTTTAGACACTCATTAATTGGATTTGGAAATCCAGGAGAAAACTTGGTCCCCAGATCCATTCAGTCACCTTGGAAGTGGGGTTCTGAGGAGGTAAAAGGGCAGAAGACTATATATGTATTCATCTGCCAGTAACAGACATCTCAAATTCAGCGACTGAAACAAATAAGAGTTGGTTTTTCTCACAAAACAAGCCTAGAGATAGATGGTATTGATTCACGTCAGGGCCCACACCTTCCTGATTCTCTTGGTCTTTCTCACGTGGTGGCAAGACAGCTGCTGCAGTTCCAGATGTCACATCCACATTCAATACCTGGAAAGTGGATGGGGACCATGCCCAGCCACTTTTTTTTTTTTTTAAATCAAAAACATCCACACTTTTGGTGGAGTGCTGTGGCTCACGCTTGTAATCCCAGAACTTTGGGAGGCTGAGGCATGTGGATCACCTGAGGTCAGGAGTTGGAGACCAGCCTAGCCAACATGGTGAAACCTCATCACTGCTAAAAATATAGAAATTGGCCAGGTGTGTTGGCACACACCTGTAATCCCAGATACTCAGGAGACTGAGGCAGGAAAATCACTTGAATCTGGGGGGCAGAGGTTGCAGTGAGCTGAGGTTGCGCCATTGCACTCCAGCCTGGGTGACAAGAGCAAGACTCTGTCTCAAAACAACAACAACAACAACAACATCAAAACATACACTTGCTCAGTACAACTGCAGCTAACCTCTGCTGTTTTGTAGATCACATGGCTATCCTTAGCTTTATTGGAGGTCAGGAAAGTTAGACATGGGATTATTGTAATTGGAGTAGACATAGGTCAACCACAACTCATCCCTTGGGGATGGGCACAGTGATATTTTAAGTCAAATTAGGGTTCTTTCAGCAATGGAGAAATTGACTGGCTTTTTGACTGTAAACTCATGGAATCTGCCACATCTCCGTGGCTGGAGCTGAGAGGCTGTGTGCAAAACCTCCACGTAGAAATGAGCACTTTTATTAAAGTTTCCCCTTCACATGGAAAGATGTTCATGGACCCCATGTGTGTTATGGCCATACCTGGAACCTCCCTCCACCTAGCCCTTGTCCTTAGGCTCAGCTACTACTGCTCCACTCAGGTATGATGGCTTGCTTTGTTCAACCAGATGTTTACTTCTGGCCAAAAATGTGCCAGGGCCTGATCTTCATGCTGGAGATACAGAGGTGAATAAGATCCAGTGCTGTCCTTGAGGAGTTTCCAATCCAGTGGGAGACCCAGCATTTCCATCCATCACTTTATTTTTATGTTTTTGAAACAGTTTCTTCTGCTGTCACCCAGGCTGGCATGCAGTGGTGCCATCTTGGCTCACTGCAACCTCCGCCTCCCAGGTTCAAGCGATTCTCCTGTCTCAGTCTCCTGAGTAGCTGGGACTACAGGCATGCGCCACCACGCCCAGCTAATTTTTGTATTTTTAGTAGAGATGGGTTTCTCCATATCGGTCAGCCTGGTCTCAAACTCCTGACCTCAGGTGATCCACCTGCCTTGGCCTCTCAAAGTGCTGGGATTACAGGCATCAGCCATCATGCCCAGCCCTATCCATCATTTTAGGAAGTACCAGGAAACCTGGAAACACAGAAGGTCTCCTACATAGCTTGACATGGGAAGGGAGTGAGGCCCCTGGGCTGATCTAAGGATGAGGAAGAGGACAAGTCTCACGCAGAAGTGCCCTCCATCCCTCTGCAGGCAGGATGTGACAGCAGCTGGAACATTTTATGTCCCTTATGTTTATTGGGTCTGTCTCCCCAGCCAGCCCAAGAGCTGCTTGTGGGCAGGGACTGTAACTTGTGCATTATCCACCTCTGTGCCCTGGCTGGATCCCTGTACGTTATATCTCTGCATTCCTGGCTCAGTGGCTGGCATATAGCTGGAGTCCAACATTTTTGTGTGTGTGTTTGGATAAATGAATTAAGGGATAAGGATATAAATGAAATAAAGAGATCACTATTAAAGCTTTGGTGATTTATTTGTACTCTCAAAGTTTTGGCGAAACTATATAGGACAAAAGCATATAATTATACAGTAAGTGGTGCTTTGGAGGCAGTATCAGCATTTTCCAGAGAAACAGAACCAGTAGATATATATATCTCTCTACTATGATATATATGATACATTCCTATATGATATGTGTATCATATACATTAAAAAATAGATATATAATGAGGAATTGGCTGACATGATTGTAGAGGCTGAGAAATCTCATGATCTGCCATCTGCAACTGGAAACCTAGGAAAGCTAGTGATTCCAGTCCAAGTCTGAAGACCCGAGAACCTTGAGTATTGATGGTGTAAGTCCAGGTCTGAAGGCAGGAGAAGCTGTCCCATCTCAAACAATTAGGCAGAGAGAGCAAATTCTCCCATTCTCCACCTTCTTATTCTATTCAGGTCCACAAGGGATTGGATGACACCCCCCTTCTCCCCATGTTTCAGGGCTATCTGCTCTACTCAGTCCACCAAAACAAATGGGAATCTCTTCCAGAAACACCCTCACAGACATACCCAGAAATAATGTTTAACCAGATATCCGGGCATCCTGTGACCCAATCAAGTTTATCCATAAAATTAACCATCATAGATGCCAATCCTGTCTTCCTGCCAAATATTCAATGAAAAAAACTAATACCTACCCAAATAAAATCTCATGTTTTATATTAAATATCAAATACCCACCCAACTGAAACCCAAATGCATACCGGGGAAACTTGGTGGAGGGTGTATTTCAAGAGACATTTGCTCTGATTCATCCAAGTGAACTGTAAACTGTCTTTTCAGCAACTTAAAGTCAGGAAATTTACCCAGAGCACCAGAAGGCAGATTGTCGATCAATTCAAGACTAAATAAAACATTACCATGGGTGCAACACACCAACATGGCACATGTATACATATGTAACAAACCTGCACGTTGTACACATGTACCCTAGAACTTAAAGTATAATAAAAAAAATAAATAAAAATAAAATAAAACATTACCCATTTGGGGTATAAGATTTAAAAGCCTTAGAAAAGATGTCATCTTCTTTGCTTTCCTATTATGAGGAATGACTTTCCTCACCTGGGTTTGGAGACAGTGCTGGCTCTTCAGGGTGTGTGCAGAGCCATGACTCAGAGGTTCATCTTGGAATGGGGTCTCTAGCTAAAGTCCTCAATGGCTTCTTTGTGGCCAAGTAAAAGAACCTTCTAATGAAATGGCTTTTAAATGACACCTGTTACCAAATCATTTTTTCCGCTAGGCTGCCAAAGTTAAAGCAATGGGTTGTCACAATCAACATATAACCAAAGCCATTGGTTTGCTGGGTCCAAAGTTTAAATATGGCTCCATCTGCCTGAATTACAGGGCCTGGACAAGCAACGTATTGCTGTTTCTGGAACATACTAGTTTGCTAGGGCTGCCATAGCAAAATACCACAAACCGAGTACCTTAACAACAGAAATGTATTGTTGCAAGGTTCTAGAGGCCGGAAGTACTAAGCTCACGGTGTTGGCAGGGCCATGCCCCTCTGAAGGTTCTAGAGAAGGACCTGTTTCTGGCCCCTCCTAGCTCCTGGTAGTCCCTTGTCTCTAATATTCACATGCAATTCTCATGCTGAATGTCTCACATCCAAATGTTTGCAAGGACATAAGTCATATTGGATTAGGGGCCCACCCTACTCTAATATAACTTCATCTAATCTTGACTAATAACCTGCAATGGCTCCATTTCAAAATAAGGGCACATTCTGAGGTACTGAGGAATAGGATTTCAACATATGAATTTTGGGGGCGGTGGGGGAAACACATGAAAGACTATGACCTTTAAAAAAAAAAAAAAGAATTATAGGCCAGGCGTGGTGGCTCACACATATAATCCCAGCACTTTGGGAGGCCAAGGCAGGTGGATCATCTGAGGTAAGGAGTTTGAGACCAGGCTGGCCAACATGGCAAAACCCTGTCTCTACTAAAAATATAAAAATTAGCCAGGCATGGTGGCCCACACCTGTAATCCTAGCTACTCGGGAGGCTGAGGCAGAATTGCTTGAACCTGGGAGGTGGAGGTTGCAGTGAACTGAGATCACGTCATTGTACTCCAGCCTGGGTGACAGAGCAAGACTCCATCTCCAAAAAAAGAAGAAAAAAGTTATAAATAAGATTCTGTCATGGTAAATTCAACATGCATGGCTATTTTGACTTGCTCCACTGGTTTTTTATAATTGAGAAACTTTTGTGCTGTAGAGAACGTGAGAATGAGCTTTGGTGAATTAAAATTTCATTTGTGTCCCTGTGTCTACAACATTTATTCTCAATTCTCAAACAAGCACATAATTTACTATTAAAACATTTGGTCTAATGAAAAGTCTCAATTGATTTGGGTCAATTTAGCTTATGGTACTTTTCCTCAGAGAGACAGTTGCCATAAACAAAAATCTTATCTATATTGAGAATAATGGTGAGTGCTAAAATCACCCCAAGGTATAATGTTGTTTCAGCTCTTTCAAAGATTCTAATATCAATTCTAATTATATTCACAATTTATAATTATTTTCTTCCCCATTCTTTCAGAATTGTACCCAGAGCTCCTCCTTATGGTATGTAAGACAATTTCATAACCTGATGTTTGGTCGTCATTCTGGCCTCATCAGTAGCTTCCTAATTAGTTACAATTCTCCTTGTCCATCTTTGAAATATCATTCCTTTCTTTTACCTTTTGGCTGACATCTATTCTGTTACAACAAACTGAAGCTATGATCTTTAGTGGAGGCATCCCTGCCTTTTCCAGGCTAGGTCAGGGCTTCCCCCGTTCCCTGCATGCACTCTCCATGCATAAAGTTTAATCAGAGTATGTGGAACATGTGATATTACCCTTGATTTACTTTGCTGGGTCTCTATTGTCAAAGGTTACATTCTAAGTCTTCCCCATCACCCCCCAAAATGACATGATGAAATCTTAATGCCAGTAACCTCAGAATGTAACCTTATTTGGAAATAGGGTATTTACAGGGATAATAATCAGGTTAAAATATAATTACTAGCGTGGGTCCTAATCCAGTGACTGGTATCCTTAGGTAAAAGGAAGATTTGCACGGAGAAAGGCATGTGCAGAGGGAAGATGATGTGAAGAAGCACAGAGGCAGGATAGCCATTGCCACCTAAACAACTTCTTTAAAATAGTACCTTCTTTAAAAGAAAATATTTATTTGGGAATAGGGCATTGCAATGGGAATACACATGCCATAATGGTAAACTATGTGTTATTCAAGACAGTATAGGAGGACAAAGAATTCTAAAAGAAAAATGAGGATTACATAATGGAGACAATTATGCTTGGCTATAAGAATCGATAATAAGGTTGGACAAGTAGTTGCTGGATAGATGTCATTGCAGAAATAATTTTTGTGTTGTATATGAAGGTTGCAAGGGCTTTTGGGCAAAGTTGTGGTGTTTGCAGTCTCTCGTGACAGTTTTTGTTATCAGGAAAATATGTGTAAGAACCCTTTCTCCATGGGCTTCCCCAGCTCTGTATGTCAGGTTTTTAAAAACAAATAGAACAAGAAAACCCACAAGTGACTTCATTTTGATTTTGACAACCTTCACCTTTTCTTCTTTTGATCAAGTCTTTCTCCAAAGCATCACTCCATCTTTCTGTAGTTAGATTTCAGTTATTCTTCAGTGCCTCCATAGGCCTATGCTGGGTTGCTGGTCTGGTCCCATTTGGAGGCAGTCCATGTCAAAACCCTTATAGTCACATTTGAGCAACACGGGAGATTCAAAGGGAGTGGCTCTCGGGCTGTGACCTGGAGTCCATTATTAAGTTCAATTTCATCTGTTTCATAGATTTTTGCTATCTCAAAGTGCTTGGGCCAGCGTTATTCTATTAGGAGTTGTACTTCTGAAAAAAATTAAGTAACAAGTTCAAAGTATAAAAAGGAAAATATAAAATAAGATAATAGTAATATGACAACCCCAGTTTGCATAATGGTTTTGAGCCATGAACCAAGGGCTTAAAAGTCAACCAACTGAATACAACAAATGATCACAGGAAATTAGGAGACATCTGTTGTCAAATAGGTTGCCTGTTTTCTTATATTGTATATATATGGGTCTCAGCTTACCAAGAGGAATTTATCCAGGTACAGCATGTAGAGTTAGCAATAGCACAGACGTTTTTTAAATTTAACCAATAGATAATATAGAGCAATATTCTGCATTAGGTATCCCATGACCAGGTAAAATTAAAGCAGAGAATGAGCAGAAGTTATATTAGGGATGATGTCAAAAGTTACCCACTAGGTGGACTGAAGGATCTCTCTGGTTAGGTTCTTTCAAATTACCAGAAGCTACCGAGTATGACATTTCGATGACACCATTATCCTGCCAAATAAAAAAGGTAGCATAAAGGGGAAACTATGAGTCTCATTATGATATGGAATCTTATTCTGACATCTTAGGAAAAGCTTCCTACAGCATGAAAATGTCAACTTCTCATGCTGGTTTGCAGTTTGAATGCCTGGTTTGGGGTTTGGGGACTTTGGTGAACTTTGGGTGTGACCCTTACATATGGCACTATGTTCCTTATATTTTATCGAGTTTCATCCTAAGGACTTCAGGAACAGCAGTTCCTAGTTTTAATAATTTCATGAAAGAAAGTTGGAGAGGAGGAATCTAGAATAATTCAGGATCTAGTCTTGCCTGTAGCTAGAGAAGAACTCAAAAACGATGCACAGAGCTACGATCTAATTCCAGGTGTGTTATGGTTTCTCTTTTGGAAGCATGACTTTTTATTTCTGTGGATCACATAGAAATCTCAGATGTAAAAACCTCCTGAGGATAGATAGTCAGAGCAAGGCAGATTCTACGTTTCCTCCTGGGCCTAGTAGGAAGTTATAATTTTACTCCCTCATTGTAAAGTCAGAAACACTTGAAGTCTGGCACTTTATGCACATTCTCCAATACGACATTTCAGTCACACTCTTGGTAATATAACGAATGTTTTCAATTGTATCCTGTTATAAAGGGACAGCAAATTTTTATTGAACTTATGCAAATAACCATATTTCCATAAGAATACTCAAATATTTTCTGAATTTTAGAGAGATAACAGAGAAAAAGCAAATGTTTCCATCTTTGTTCACAAAAGTATATATTACCACATTGTTGTAATCTATAGATAGCTTAAGAAAAAATTTCCTTAAATATGGAAAGCAAAACATTTAAGAGACAATATTTTTCAAATAAAAATCATAAAAACATTATCTTCAGGTACTTAACTCACGTAATTAATTCTTGTTCTGCTTGATCTTGATCAGCAGTTTTATGAACCCATCAGATTCTTTATTAGAGTTCTGGAAAATGTTTATTTAGTTCATTGATCTTAAAGTTATTAGAAACTTACATTTAAGAATATTTGTTAAAGTCCTTTTCATGATTCTGATGGCAGATGCCTTTAGAGAAAAATTAAAATAATAATTAGATGACAGAAACATAAAATAGCCATGGTTAAAAATCTGATGGGAGTTCATTATAATCAGCAATTGCCAGGGAAATTTGGTTGTTTTTGTTACATACAACATAGTAACAAGAACTATGACTGGTGAAATATTAGATTTCTAAAAGTTTTGTACAATTTATACATTCATATCAATAACAAATGTAACTGCAAGAAAATTTAATGTCACTTATCATTTGACAATTCTTCCCTTCCAATTTACCAAATAAGCCTAATCATGTACTATCTCCAAGATGAGAGATACATCTTTTGAGGCTCTCCAGGGGCCCAGCTGGAAAATCTCAATTTTTAGGCCAAAAAGACTTAATTTGGAATTTAGATATTAGAGAAACCCATTGAAGATATATAAAAAAATCTCAGAATTCTTGATAATCATTTAACCAGTGATAATAAAGAACTTTAAAAGCAATAAAGCTACATGAATGTTAAAACTCACCTTAAAATCCTTTCAAGGCTCAATTTTCCCAAATTAAAAAAAAAAAAACTGAATAGAGACAATACATAAAGTTATCTGGATAAGAAGCAAAATCTTTGATTCTTAGGCCTGAAGACACTAAAAAGGTAAAAACAAAAAAACCTTCTGCAATGTGATTTATTTTCCTTATGGGAAGCCCATTTAGATAAACGAAGTTGAACTTGATGAGAAAGGTACTTAAATTTAATTAGACACAGGAAGAGTTTGTCCAAGTTTATGAATGTACACCATATTATAAAGGAAGATAAACAAGAAAACTAGTATCTTGAACAGGAGAATACATGGTTCTTAGTAATAGCATGGGAAGTTTCCTAGTTATTTGGAACAATTCGGATGCATTAAGAGAAACTAAAGAATCAAGTTGTACTGGGGGAAAACATTGCTTTTCTAAGCCTTTAAGACAGAACATTTCAGTCTCAGGTAAAAGCAGAGTTAGATTGAGAGAAAAAGTCGTAAGAGCTGCTAGAAAGTCAGAAGAGAATGATCACTCCAGCCAAGCTAAAAGATACACCTTTTCATGGGGGGAAAAAAGAGCTGAAGGCAAAGACGCCTGACCTGCAAATCACGTGCTGAGAGGCAGCAAAAGTGGAACTTGTCAGACCTGAGTCCGAGAAGCTTCAGGATGAAAACTCCACCTCGAGAAATCACATTACCATTCAAAACAAGGAAGGCAGTTTTCCAACCTGAAACTAGGGAAATTAAATGGATCTCAGAAAGAAATGTAGCAGAAATAGAAACTGTCTGCAGTTGAGAAGATGGTTGTTAAAACAGATTTTAGAATCAAAGAAAAAGTCCTGCAATTTTTACTAAGAGCCAATCAATACTTCAGAAAAACCCCATAGTTCTAACATAAGAATATAAGAATTGCCCTTTTAGTTTTGTATCAGTGTATTCTTTTTTTTTTTTTTTGAGATGGAGTCTCACTCTGTCACCCAGGCTGGGGTGCAGTGGCGCAATCTCGGCTCACGGCAAGCTCCACCTCCCGGGTCCAAGCCATTCTCCTGCCTCAGCCTCCCAAGTAGCTGGGACTACAGGCGCCTGCCACCACGCCCGGCTAATTTTTGTATTTTTAGGAGAGATGGAGTTTCACCGTGTTAGCCAGGATGGTCTCGATCTCCTGACCTTGTGATCCTCCTGTCTCAGCCTCCCGAAGTGCTGGGATTACAGGTGTGAGCCACCGCACCCGGCCGTATCAGTGTATTTTTAATACCAAGACTAAATGTTTAGAATCTTTAGAATTCATAAATATCTTTTGAATTATAGCCAACTTAATTATAACTAAGCTTCCTTTTATCAATTTTTCTTCATGAGTATTTTATGACTTGCACAGACCTTTGACAATCTGTTTGAACTTTCTATTTTGTCCTATATTTTATCTTTCTTAAATAACCAGTTGTTTCGGCTGGGCGCAGTGGCTCATGCCTATAATCCTAGCACTCTGGGAGGCTGAGGCTGGTGTATCACCTGAGGTCAGGAGTTCGAGACCAGCCTGACCAACGTGGCAAAACCCTGTCTACTAAAAATACAAAACTTAGCCAGGCTGGAGGCCCATCTGTCTTATCCTCAGGATTGTTCATCCTCATTTCCATCTCCGTAGATCCGTGAAGGTCAGGTAACCTGTGACTCCTCCAAATCTCACTACCCTTTATGGCAAATTGTGTCCAGCTGTGGTCTAAAGCCTGGGTGCTTTCCCCTCAGCCTCTGCTGCCCTGCGATTCTTTCACGTCTTTTGCCATGGGGAACCTGGTTCTATAACAGCGTCTCCTATGGTCACCTGGTCTATATATGACAGTGCCACCCAGGTTTCAAGTGGTGCTGTTCCCTACTTGCATATTCCTCCTTGCCACAGTCAGCCGCAGCAGCTTCTGCAACTGGAATTCATTTCCTACAAGCCAGTTTTTCCAAGTTTCCAAGGAACGTTCAGGCAGATATCAAAACAATGCCTCAAGTCTCCCACAAGAGTGTTAAAGATTTTGTCACAGGATTTAACTGGTCTTATTATCTGCCCCTCTATCCAGCATTCCCGAGTGTGCCTTTATAGTTCCTGCTGACAAAGAGTAGCCACATCCTGCAGCTCCTTTAAAGCCAAATCCTTTCCATTTTTTAGCCCCGGTGGGTCATGCTGTAGGTCTTACCCTAGATATGCATCTGGTGGCCGGGGCAGTGGAGGGGTCAATTTTGAGGGCAAGCGTATCCTATAGGTTACTTTCTGTTATGTAGTTTCTTACATGGTTGAGCTGTTTCTTCAGGTGCAGATTGTTCAGGGGAGTCTAAGGACTCAAGGTTTGTAAGTGCATCTGCACAGATGTCCCCATCCCAATCTCAAGCCCTCCTCCTTTTGTGACCCCAAAGTTGTTATAGCAGAAATGTCCAACTTGATTATTCAGGCTTCTCTGAAGTCCTGCCATGCTTACAATTAACTTCTATGTCTGCCTGTCAGCTGAGTCTGTTCTCCAGCTGCAAGGGATGAGTGTGTTTTCAGATGCTACCAACAATGCCCTCTGGCTTTCATGCTTTGCCTTATGTTAGTGATTAGCTGACCAGGGAGCCTGTCATTTTCTCTTCAATACATCAATTGCTCCCAACAACAGCCACATGCTCACAGTCCATGACTATTTCTCCCAGCCAGTGTATAACCTTCCACCTGCATTCCATCCTATTTCACCATAGGTGAGCATCTTGGTGTTCGTGCTGCAACAGCACACCAGGGACTATATTCCTCCTCCTCCCCAAAGTGATATATCCTTATTTCCAGTTTAGTGATGGGTGACCCAACTCCAGAGCCCATCCTAATCTCTGTCTCCTGGGACTGCTTCTCATACAACTAACTTGGGTTGAATCTCTGTCTCCTGGGACTGCTTCTCATACAGCTAACTTGGGTTGGCTTCTCTAGAAGTCGAGTCTGACATGGGGATTTATTGAAGAACCCTTTAGAAGACAAGCAAGCAGACAAAAACCAACGTGTAAGCAGAATCTCAAAGGCAACAAAGCTAAGCAAGATTATAAAAGTGGGTGTTGTATTGGCCACAAGGGGAAATCTCAGGCTGCTGGCTTAGAAAACAAAGTCTATGATGGTTCCTCTCACTGAGCTGGGTAACTTGAGGTTTGCCTCCTGAAGTTTCCTCATGCCTGAGTTTTCTCCATCTCAGCTGCTGCCAGTGTCTTACCTGCATTGCTGCTAGGCACTCTCAGCCCTCCACCCTCCAGCACAGTCCTCCCCACAACCTACCATCTCCCAGACATGCCACTTGAGTTGTTTTCCTAAAATCCTGATTCAGAATAAAGCTTTTTTCTAACTCATCAGGACTCTTATATGCATCATGCTCCCTGGTTCAGCATAAAGGTCTTACCTCTACTAACAAATTCTGTATCTACTAGTACTGCAATGCTGAGACCAAAAGAATACTTGCTTTTGTTTGTATTCCTTTGACTTTCTGTGCTCTTCCTGACTTAGTCTAGCTGGTGGACTCTTACATGTCCCCCAAAGCCCAGTGCAAATGCTACCCAGTTGATAATCCCAATCAGACCTCCCTATCCAACTTGTAAGATGCTCAAGAGCAGCATCTACTCAGGTGTGTGCATTCATCTCCGCAGACTGAGGGTCTAGCAGGGCACCTGGCACTTCAGAAATGTTTGTTCAATGCATGCATAAATATGGAAATACAATGCATGATTGAAGGGATAATATAGGAATAAGCATGAGTAAATGAAAGAATGAATGCATTTGTCTGCTGTTCCCACATTTCAAACTGTTCAGATTTCCTATCCATCTTTCCCTAGACTCTGAACATAGCACAGGGTATATGAAGGGGCTCCTCTGAAGAGTATGTTTGCTGATTGGATAGAAATGGGATTCTTTTCTTCAGAATCCACTGGTATCTCCAGCCAAGCAGATGAGCCTTGAAGCCTCTCTTTCCCCTCCATGAGCTCTGAGGCTCCTGGGAAATAAATCACAATGCCATTGGGCATTCATTAGCATGTAGAGTGGGAGTCCTGTCTGTATGGCTCCACACAAAGGGCTTTATCTACCATTTGCTCTCATCATAATCTGACTAGAGAAAGCTCCATCTAGGTCAGGGCTGGAGCAAAAAATGGAAACCTCTTCCTTCCAATGTAAATACAATTGAGGAATAGGTGTAGCTTGTATATGTCGAATGTAATTCACTTCCCCAAAGTATTTACATTTAGTTGTTTCCATTAAGTAGTGGAGGCTATTAGAACCGGCCATTAGAATGGCCTGGAATATAAAGGTGGGGGTCTGTACGTTGTAGGAGAAAAATACCAGACCCAGGGACTTGGAGAAACACACCTTTGAATAGGCCCTGCTGCTCATCAGCTGTGTGGCCCAACCGTAATGAGATCCAGTGAGGTCAATGAGCCTCAGTTTCCCTACTGCCAGACCCAACTTCAGGGGCATGGGGCATGCAACTCTTGCGTGCTCAGAGGGGCCTATGCCTGGTTTAGTGCTCTGCTGCTGCCATCTTGAAATTCTTTCCTTTGAACTTGTATTTTGTAGCTGAAGTCTGATGGGACAGTGGAACGTGTGCATTAGCAGAGGAGGCACCTGCACTATCTGTGTCCACCATTGCTTGCTGCCCCACGGGCATGGAGTGATTATGATTTTCCAGGAGCAGAGAATTCCAGTGGGCCCCTAGTGTGTGGGAGCTCAGGGAGCCTAGAAGTGATACAAGGAAAGCAGGTTTCATTGATGGTGGAGTGAATGGGGGCGCTGGCAGCCCTGAGAAGCCACACTTCCATTGGGACCAGAACTTATTTGGAAAGCCAAGAGGCGGCAATAGTGTTCTAAGATGATTAAAGAACCAAGAAACCCTACAGTGGCTTTTCTTACTCGTGTTACTTCCCTGTATTTGCTAACCTCTTATGCTGAACATGAGGACGTGAAAGAGAAGGGTAAGAATCCACAGTTCCTTTTCTTTCCAGTCCTTCCATACCCATCAGTAAACCACAGTAAAGAGTCTTAAAACAGAAGCATATTAAGAAGTGAAATAAAGACAGTCGAGTTGGTTTTATGCAGTGTTTTCATTGCTTTGGTAAGAACAAAATCCATTTGTATGAATGAGCTACAAATTTTGTACTTTTGGTGATTCTGCATACAAGTTAAATATTCTGATATTTGCCTTTAGAACTGGCATTGCACATTATATAATGATGAACGGTAAAAGTTGTGCTCACTTAAAAATTTAATTTTTCTTTGCCTAGAATGACATTAGTGAGTCAAAAACACTAACATTTCAAGATACCTCAAAAGCAAAACAAGTTGTACGTTTTAGTATGTTTACTGGCACTTTTTTCCAGTTTATAAAAGGGCTCCATATATTCTTTTCGTATGCAAATTATGTAGCTCGTCTTGCTTCTAGGTGCAAACAGGGATCAGGCTAAAAGGTTCCTCTCTAATTACTCATAGGTCTGTGACTTTTAGTTACTAAACATTTCACACAACTTGCATGGAATAATGATTTCCCGTTTAAAGGTAAACATAGATGTGATGCGAATCTGAAATTTAACCCCAGACATCCTGGATTCCTCTTTATTCCCAACCCCACATCCCACACATCTCCAATTCTGATTCATTCTAATTCATTCTACCCTTTAATCTCTCTCCAATCCAACTACTTGCTTCCATTCCCCCTGCCACTGTTGTATAAAGCCACCACTATTTCATCGGGAACTATTCAGCAGTCTTCTGGTGGATCTTTGTGCTTCCAGCCTTGCCCCGCTCACCCCATACCTGACTTGCAAGAGGACATCTGAAAACATCACTCAGATCATGCCTCCTGCACCTCCTCATGCTTGTAATCCCTTCATGGCCACCCATTACCTGTGAGGGGAGGAAGTCAAACACGCCCACGTAGAGGGTCACAACCCCATTTAATCCCCAGGCAGTTCCATCAGGTGCTCATGCACTCACCTCTAGCTCCCGCCATTCCAATAGCTATTCCCAGAAGGAACTTGACTCAATCAGACCCTCTGGCCTTTGCACGTGTGCATGAGGCTGCATGGCATTCTCCTTGTCTGATCAGTTTTTACTTGTCCTTCCAAATTTTCCAAATTCAGATCAGGACTTGCCTCTTTCAGAAATCCCTGCTAACTTCTCAGCTGGGTAAGAAAAATAATCCAGGTACTCTTGTAGTAGTATCTTGGACATCCCCCACTTTAACATTTGCTCATGATACTGAAATGACATATTCACATGTATTTCTCCCATTGAGCTCCCAGAAAGCAGAGATTTTTGTCCTGTTAATTGTTGGAATCTGAACTACATAATAGAAGGTCTTTAATAAATATTGATCAAATTCCTTTCTTCTGTCTCCACCTGTCTTCTCTCCTTAACTTTAACAGAGTATCTCAATCCAATTAACAAGAACAAAAATGCACAGGCATTTTTAAGGGATGAATAAATACACTATACCTGCTCATACCTACAGAGGATGCCATTTAGTGAGAGGAAGAAATAAGTAGCCACATTGCAGAGCACCTTGATCTGAGCCGCTGCAGATCCAGAGCAAGTAATCCTGCCTGGGGGAGTCAGAAAAGATGCATTTCCAGGCAGATCTGCAAAGCATGAGTAGAGAAATGGTGTGGTAGGCACTTGGCATGCAGTAGGTGCAGCCATTCAACCAGCAACTAAAAAAATCACCCATCATCTCCCTCGATGACTGTGGTTCGAGTGAGATGCCTTTCCCATTGTTTTTGCATTAAACAGTTGCTTCTTTATTTCACAGAGCCTTGCATTATAGTCCATTTACCTCGGGAACATTTCTCATTTTTGTTCCCAGCCCTTATTTATTTCAGGCAATTCATCTTTTCTCTTGGTGCGCTTTGCTGCCACCTAGTTAATTGCTTGTTGTTCGAAGTTTTTCAAGTTGAAGTTTACTTTTTTATTCGCTACCCAGGAAATAGGGCTTTCTTTGTTTTTCCATTGTTGTAAAATATACTGAAAATACAGTTTTGCTTTTCTTTGTATTCCCCTCCCATGACACTGTTGTGGGGGAAAGCTAGCAGAAGGTAAGGCTTTCTCCTGACACCCACTGGGGTTGTCAAAGGGCCCTCTCTGCTTCTCCTCTCTGGCCGTCCACAGGCCAGGTCCTTGGGGATATTCACACCTAAATCTGGTGAAATAAACTTGGCCTATATTTTATTTTGGGTCTTTGAAGGCCCCAAAGTGATCTAACGTTAGGAGTTCCATCTGGAAATAGAACAAACTGGTGAGCAAAGACAATGCAAGAGGATGCCTGTTAGTCGTTTTCAGCAAATCAGATAATCTCAGCCGGGGGAAGGTCCAGCAGGCTCCAGTCCACCATCCTACCAGCAGCTCCAAATCTGGAACCTTCTTCCCCAGATCATTGCTTGATCTGCTCCTATGAGGTTCTGACTTCTACTGAAAAGTCTTCTCCTCAAGGACATCTGCCCTGACCACCCTCGTCTCAATCTCAAAACCCTAATCCTGCTGAATTATACATCAGAGCTCTTATCCCTACCTGAAGTTACATATTTGTTACCTTGTTTATTTTCATCTCACCCCAAAATAAAATTCTATAAATTCTACGAAAGCAGGGACTTTGTCTTGCTGCCTCCTCTATCTCCCTGGTAGTGACTCAGAAATACTTGGTGAATAAGGAAGTGAGAGAAAGATGTGTTGGGCAGAATTCAGTATTAAAAAATACTTCTTTATGTGAAAATGACAGATGGTGATATTGATAGTAAAATATTACAACTCTAATTTCTTGGTTAAGTTTCAGATATTATATAAAGAGGTTGTCATGTCATTTGATTGAAGTCACATATCATCATCATTCCCATTTTACAGATGAGGAAACTGAGGCTTGGATGAGTCCTGGAACTTGCCTGAGTTAACATAGCTAGGAAGTGATGGATATAGAATATAACCGAAGACTGACTCCGTTGCTCAAAAACCTTCACCATGTTGCTAAACCCAGTTGGCCCTGCCTGCCATTTCTTTCTCTGAGTACAATCCGAGTTCTGTGCCTCGCAGCGACCCCAGACAAGTCCTGAGGTCACACCCTGCAGATCTCACTGTATGCTACATAGGGTGGATTTCACTGCAAAAATGATATATCTACACAGTCTCTCTCAAGTACCCTCTGAAAATGCAAATGGCATTAGAAGGAAGTTTTGTGGGGAAGCAGCACTGAAGAGACCAAGACAGATGAACTTAAGTTCTTTCCAAGGGTGGCCTGCCCATCTCCAGCCCTGGGGAGGCCTGGACTGGTTTGGAAAATGTTTTAGCCCTGTCATATTTGAGGGGAAATAGTGATAATAACAGCAAGTTACAATAATAATAGCAATGCAGTATTGACATGCTGTACAACGCTAAATGCTTTATGTAATTTTATCTCATTTAATTCTCACAACAGCCCTGTGAGGTAGGCAGCTCCATATCAGAATGGCGTAGCAAGCTCTGAGATGTTATATAACTAGGCCATGTCACCTAGCTAGCAAGAGACAATGCTCGCATTCAAACTCTGCCAGCCTCTCCAAAGCCTATGATGCTCCAATTACTCCACTCTCCCAAAGCACATCATGTCCTCTATTAACATTTTTAAAAATTACCTTTCATTTTATGCAGAACTGCGAGCCCAGTTCTTTCCTGCGTTCTTCAGTTTAATATAAAATAATGACCCTTAAGCTCTGCCAAACAATAAGAGGAGAAAAATTCAAATGAATTGGGGGGAAAAGAGCATGAAAAGGAAAGTGGTTGCAGAAGGGAAAACAGGAAAACCAAAGATTGTTGTTTTGCCGGTGTGGTCAACTCTTATGTGTGAGTATTACCGTGACACAGCCTGCCATAGTAGCGTGCCTTGACCCTGATCCACGACCTCCGTGACTGCTCAAAATCTGCTGGAAAGCTCTGCTTCTGCATCCTGACTTCCTAGGGGAGAAATGGAAGCTACATGTCTTCTTACTTTGTTTATGTTTCCCACTGAATATGCATTTGAACAAATGCATTCTAGTTTCTGGAATTCCATGCCTCATACCCATTCCATACCTCTTGTACACAGACCAAGAGATGGGAGGTTACACTTGGAGAGGGCTAAGGGGCATTTTGTCATCCGAGTGATCCTTCCCCATCGAACTCACTTCTGATGCTTCTGTTTTACAGGGTACTTGATAGAGACCCTTTAAGGCACAGCATTATTCTACAGTACCATTTACTTATTGTAGTGTACAGTTCTGCAGGGTTTGACAAATGCATAAAATTGTGTAACTACCAAAAATCAAAACATAGAAAAGCTCCACTCCAAAAAATGCTGACATGCCCCCCCTGTGGCTGATCCATCCCCCTGTCCAGAAGCAATGTCAGTCGATCTGTTTTTCCTATAGTTTTGCCTTTGCAAGAATGTCATAAAAATGAAATCACACAGCGTGTAGCCTCTTGAGCCTGGTGTCTTTCGTTGGGCATAGTAGGTTTGGCATCTATCCATCCACATTTCTGGGTGCGGCAGTTCATTCCTTTTTATTGTTAAGATTCTATTGTGTGGGTATAACATAGTGAGTTTATCCATGTGTTAAATTCAAGTGTTATTTATCTCGTGTTATTTACATGTTGTTCATGTATTATTCACATGTTAAATATCTGAGCTGTTTCCAGTTTTTGGTGATTATGAACAGAATCACTGCCAACATTCAGGTAAAGGTTTCTGTGTAAACCTAATTTTCATTTCACCTGGGGTAAATGCTTAGGAAAGACTACTGGGTTTTGTATTTAAAAAAAAAAAAAAAAAAGGCATGTTTAACTTTAAGAAACTGTCAAGCTGTTTTTCCAACTGACTGTTATCATTTACCTTCCTACTGGTAATGTATGACTTCCTACTGGTAATGTATGACAGTTCCAGGTGACCCACATCTTAACCAGCACTGAATTATTGTGGTTTTAATTTGCATTTCCTTAATGACTAATGAGGCTAAGACTCTTTTCACCTGCTTATTTGTCATTTGTATGTATTCTCTGGTGAGTGGTATGTTCAAATCTTTGACCACTTACTGAGTTGTTTTCTTCTTCCTAAATTTTGAAATTTCCTTGTATATTATGGATTTAAGTCTTTTTGTCAGATGTGTGATTTGCAAATTTTTTTCCTGATGTGTAGTCTTTTCATCTTCCTAACAATGTATTTTGAACAGATTACTTTGTATCTAAAGCTAACCCTGAGTTCATACTGGAGTCTCTGACCCTGATCCAGTCCCACATGGTTCATTCTAGACTTTGCCTCTTAATTATCTGCAACTTCTCCCTCCAATAGTGAGAAACCTTGTCCCTATCTTCCACCATCTGTTTATTTAGTCCATCCAGCAACAGTTTCTGAATGGTTCATCTACACCCTCATGAGAAACCAATAAGTTATTAAGATCCCAGTGTTGATGTAAAATTCCTTCTGTTTTTAATCTTCCAGTTTCCAGTCAAGACATCACTTTCCAAAGGTCAGCACCATTATCCTTCACCCCTGCAGGGAGGTTCTCTATTACCTCTGTAACACGTTAATTTGTCACAGTAGTCCATCTTGAGATCCCCGATTTCCCAACTGATTTTTCAAAACTTTTATACATTAAGGTCCACGTTTTGTGCTATAAATTCGTGAATTTTGACCAGCGTGTAGCATCATGTATCCAGTGCTACAGAATGCGCCATACAGACTAGTGCCACCATCACAAGGATGTGCCCTGGGCATCCTCTAGACAGATAACCTCCTCCTCCCCGAAACCTCTGACAAGCACTGATGGGTTTTAAGTCTCTGGAGTTTTGCCTTTGCCAGAATGCCATATGATCGGAATTATACAAGATGGAGGATGTAGCTTTTTACATCTGGCTTCTTTCAGTTCATGAAATCTATTTAGGATTCATCCATGTTTCGTGTGGATTAATAGTTCATTTCTTGTTATTGCTAAATGGTATTCCATCGTATAGCTGTACTGTACTTTGTCTTGTCTATTTAATGGTTAAGACATCTTGCCTTGTTGCTTCCAGTTTTTGGCAATTAGGAATTAAGCTATTATAAACATTCTTGTGTGGGTGAGCAAATACCTAAGAGTGTGATGGTTAGGCTGTAGGATAAGCATATGTTTAACTTTATAAGAAACTGCAAAACTGTCTTCCATAGTAGTTGTGCAATTTTCTATTCCCATCAGCAATGAATGAGAATTTGGTGTTCCATATCCTTGCCAATAACCGGTATTGTCAATTTTTTTTTTTTTTTGCATTGAGTCATTCTAACAGGTGTGTTATCTCATTTTGTTTTTAATTAGTGTTTCTTGAATGACAAATGATGTCAAGCATCCTTTCATATGCTTATTTTCCATCTGTCTATCTTCCTTGGTGGATGCCAGTACAAATCTTTTGCTCATTATTAAATTGGGTTATTTGTTTTCTTATAAGGTTCTAAGGGTTCTTTGTGTATCTTGAACAAAAGTCATTTATCAGATATGTCTTTTGCAAATATTTCCTCCTAATCTGTAGTTTCTCTTTTCATTCTCTTAATAATGTCTTCACAGAGCAAAAGTTTTCTATTTAAAGTTCAATTTATTAATTTTTTTCATGGATCGTGCTTTCAGTGATGTGTCTGAAAACTCATCACAAACTCAAGTTCATGGGGATTTTCTCCCAAGTTGTCTTGTAGAAGTTTTCTATTTTTGTGTTTTACATCAAGTGTGTGATCCATTTTGAGCTAATGTTTCAGTGTGAGACGTGAGGTATTGAAGTTTTTTGTTTTGCTTTTGGAAGTCCGATTGTTCCAGTACTGTGTATTGAAAGAAAAGACTCTTTTCTTCATTGAATTGCCTTTCCACCTTGTTAAAAATCAGACTGAGTATACCATTATCTGGGCTCTTTATTTTATTCCATTGATAATTTATCTTTTCACTAATACTATAAAAGTTTACAGAAATCAAGAGTCTTGTAAGTCTTAAAATTGGGTAATGTGAGTTCTGCATTTTCTTTTTCAGAATTGTTTTGGCTGTTCTCACAGTTAGATCTTTGATTTCTTTGTAGTTCTGCATACAGACCCTGCACATGCATTGTTGTATTTATACTTATATTTTGGAGCTACCATGGTTTTCAAAAAACTTCAAATTCTAATCGTTCATTGCTGATACATAAGAAAGCAAATGACCACGTGTCCTGCAACCTTGCTAAGCTTGCTTATTAACTCCAAAAATTAGTTTGTAGGTTCCTTGGGGTTTTTAGATAGACAATCATGTTATCCACAAACAAAGATGGTTTTACTTCTTTTCTAACCTGTGTGACAATTTTTTGTTCTTGTATTATTGCACCAGCAAGGACTTCCAGTACGATGTTAAAAAGGAGTTTAGGTAAAAGGGGACATACTTTGCTTCTAATCTCAGGAGGAAAGTTTCAGTTTTCCACCATTAAATATGTTAGCTGTAGATTTTTCATGAATACTGTTCACTAAGTGAAGGAAGTTTCTGTATATTCTTAGTTTTTTGAGAGTTTTTATTATGAATTGGTATTACATTTTGTAGAATGCTTTTTCTGTATCTGTATGATTTCTTAGTCTGTTAATATGATGAATTATAATGGTTTATGAAGGTTGAACCTGCATTGCCTTTCTGGGATGGATCTCACTTTAAGACTATTTAGGTTATCTATTTCTTCTTGAATAAGCTTTGTTTTTTTCAAGAAATTAGTCTACTTCATCTAAGTTATCAAATTTATGATGATAGAGTTGCTCATGGTGTTTCCTTATCTTTTTAACTTCCATGGGATCAGTAGCAATGACCTCTTTTTTCATTTCTGATCATGATTTGTGTTTTTTCTTCAATTTTCCTGGCTATAGGTTTATCCATTTTATTTGAACTTTTCAATGAGTCAACTTTTGATTCTGATTTCCTCTAATTTCCTGCTTTTGATTTCATTATTTCAGCTACAATTTTTACTATTTCCTTTCTTCTACTTGTTTTTAGTTTTGTTTTCCTTTTTCTAATTTCCTAAAGTGTAAGCTTAGGCTACTAATTTTGGGTCTTTCTGCTTTCTTAATATAGGTATTTAATGTTCTAAATTCCTTCTAAGTACTTCTTTTGCTGCATCTCGTAAGTTTTAATAATTGCATTATTTTAACTTCAAAAAATGTTTAAATTTTCCTTAAGACTTCATTTTCTGGCTACCTTTAATATTTTCTTTCGGTTTCCCTCAGTTGGAGTATAATATGCCTGGGTAACTTTATTTTTGGTGTTCATCCTACTTGGTATTTTCTGAGCCTCTTGGATCTGTGGTTGTGTGTCTGTCACCTATTTTGAAGTATTTCCAGCCATTACTTCAACTATTTATGTCCTTTCTTTCTTGTTCATTTGGTTTTTCAGTTGTCTGCCTGTTATGTTGTCACCATTTTATATTGTCCCACAGTTCCTGAATGAAGAGAGGGAGGGAGGGAGAGAAGGAAGGGGAGTACATGTACTAAAAATGAAAGATGACCAATATTGCTTGTTTCAAGGGTAATGGGGGGAAGCTCAAGGCTGCTTCTGGCTCACATCTGAACTTGGTTAATCTCATATTTGTACAACAGCTTGGGGGTCAGGGGGAGTGTTTGTGTGGAAGTGGCAGGATGTTTATGGCTCTGAGTTTTGCTGAGTGGGTGAGCTGGCCTCCCAGGTGTGTGTGTGTGTGTTTGAACAAACAGAATAAAATTTTATTCTACCTGTTAGTTTCTCTTATTTTCTTTTAGCATCTAGCACCTGAGATCTGTAGGTTTTTATATTTGTTTATTACAAATCCTCCTTACAGGGGATCTGCTTAGAGGACATTTCTAGTTCAGGCTGTATATTTTTATTTCCAACTTTAAAGTTCCAGGGTACATGTGCAGGATGTGCAGGTTTCTTACACAGGTAAACGTGTGCCATAGGTGGCTCACTGCAGAGATCATCCCATCACCTAGGTATTAAGCCCAGCATCCATTCTTACTGATGCTCTCCCTCCTCCCACTCCCCACAGGAGGCTGGAGCTATTATGGTCCTTACAAGGAAGGGGGAATGAAGCTGGAGAAGTGGTTTGGTGGCCAACTCTGAAGAACTCTGACAGGCCCCAGTGTGCGTTGTTCTTCCCCCATGTGTTCTCATTATTCAGCTCCCACTTAAGTGAGAACATGTGGTCTTTGTTGGTTGTGAACCAAGGTTTGTCTTCTCAGCACGTTAGGATGATGCTCTACATTAATCGATTGTTTTCAGTGGCTTTGGCTGATCTTCTTAGGCTCTAAGCACTGCTTACTTGAATATCAATGATTTGCAGAGAAACCAGCTGAATGCTAGGCCCACTTTTCTGTGCCTAGTTTCTTACTGGCATCTTGGGTCCTAAGTCCTGGCTGCCTTGACACCCCCAAACCCCATTTTTGGGGTCTCTCCTGCCCTGTAAGATTTTCATTCTGATTTCTCTGCCTTCCAGCAGTGGTCCTTTGTCAGCTGGATTATGTGGGATCGTAGCCCCCATACCCTCAATCACGAATTGGCAAACACACTGAGGAAAAGTCAGGTGCAGAGTGTGAGTATATTTTTCTGCATTTCCTTTCAAAACTCTTGGTTCCCCAAATCCCAAATGCTGCCATAGCGATCTGACTCCTTGGAACACATCTTCTGCTCCTCTGTGGGCTCTTCTGTTTGTTCTTCAGGTTGCATTGCTCTGCTGCTTGCCACTCCATCATGGCTGGAGGCAGAAGTCCTCAGGGGAGAATTCGATCTAGGTGGTGGCATTTCTGATGAACCCAAGAAGTGGAGCTGATACAGGCAGGTCACTTGGCAGCTTCAGAAACGAAGCTACAGCAGAGGCAGGTTGTAGGCAGAGTAAAAAGCATAAGCAAAGTAAGGAGGAAGAAATGGTGAACACTGGGGTAGGAAATGAATAGTTCAGAATGGCTGGAGCTATTTTATTATGGGGAATGAAGCTGGAGAAGTGGTTTGGTGGCCAACTTTGAAGAACCTTGAATTTGGGCTCCCCCTCCATGACACAGCAGAAAGCTATTAAGAGATTTCACCAAGGCTGGAATTTCTGAGAAATCTTTCAGCAGACAGTTCTGACAATTCAGTGAAGCACCCTGTGGGTCTGAGATGGGGGGGACCAGAGGAGCTGGGGAAACGGCAGGTTGACAGGGAGTGTAGCATTTGTAATGATGTATGTGTGGGGTGTGGGGGAGTGTGGCAGGACTAGATAGGAGGAGAGGCGTGGAGGAGACCCTGGGGGAACCCTGAAAGTTCTTCCTGAGCTTAATGTTGTGTTGTCTTTCCTATTAAGCTGGCCATTCATGAGTCACGAATCTGTAGACATATGTGTCAACTTACATTCTAAAAAACAAGGCAAAATTAACATGGAGAGTTTTATCTGGGCCAAGATTGAGCACGGCTGCCCAGCTCAGGACACTCTGGGAAATGCTGTAGAGAACAAAGACGGCAGCTAGAGATTTGAGAGAAAAAAGGACAACTCAGGAGAGGGGGCGATTACAAAAGTCGTGTTTCAGGTAATCTCACTGTTTTACAGGAATGATGTTGATATGTTATTGGCTCATGTTATTCAGGTTTAGAATATGAGTTATGGTTTCCAGTGTTTGGCATTGTTAGGTTAATTTCTGGCTACTTACTGTCAGCTAGTCTAGAGTCCACATAGCAAGTAGCTTCCAGAAGTGATTACTTACCTCAGGCAGGGAGTGAGAGGTGACTGCCACATTTCAATGCCTCTCTGGGCCTGATAATTTCAAGGAGCTCACATTCCTCAGACAAAAAATTTGTCTTTCTCATTTGTAAATCCTTCTAAGAGGGAAGCAACTGTCTGGCTTTGAATCCATAAGAATTTATAAAAGGCAGAGGCTAAGAATGACATTTCTCATTCATACAATTATAATGATCAATCAGTGTTTGCTTTCCTCTGGGACAAAGGTTCAGGACGGAAAGCAATTGCCTGTTGAGTGTGCCTCTTTCTCAGGAGAGCTAGTTCACCGCCCGGCAGGCAGGAAGCCTCGCGAGGGAGCATTCACCTTGATTAATGCACCAGCATCCAGGGGCTTGCAGGCTCGGAAAGATGATTTCAACAGCCCCCGGGGGTGTTGGCTTCGCTTAGAGGGCGCTCACATTAGCTAATCGCGCAGGAGTGGATAAAGTGAACCAAACGCCACTTTATTAAATTACAATGAGAAGTAGTTCTGCCACACTGGTAGATGTATATTCATGTGTCAATCCCATTCTCTCCCTGTTAAGCAGACCTATCAGAAATACCTGGAACCTTTGAATAATTCAGGAAAATAGTCAGAGCTATGCACACAAATATTTACATGTGCAAATGTTACAGTGTAATTTGTGATAGAAACAAAACAATTAAACACCCTGCAGTGAGGGGATCAGTTGAATAAATTATGGTAGAGCCAAATAATGAACTAGCAGGCAATGATTTAGAATTATATTGATAATTAATGTGCAAAATACAGGCAATATATTCATTTAACAAAGCAGATTGAAAAAGTATGTCATCATTGAATGTGTGTGCACAAAGAGGAGAGAGGCTAGAGTAAAACATTACATTTTTGACATTTATCCCACAGTGATCGTCCTTGTATTTGCTTGAATTTTCCATTTACTCCTAAGGAACATTTACCATGTTTACATTTAAAGTATGTTTATATGTATGCTTACATATCACATATCAACATATGACATGGCTGTAGAAGAAGTTTCAGACAGCAGAGTATCCTAGCAGAAACCTTTTGGAGTCAGGCAGATCTGTCTGAAATCAAGACTGCCAATTTCTAGCTTTTAGAGCTTAGGTTTTAAAAAAAGATAATTTACCTTTCTTTGCATTTGTTTATTCAAAATGGGGATAAATGGGAACTACCTTATATGATTTTTGTGAGCTAAAATGTAAAGCATTTAGCATATCATGAGTGCTCAAATGAGGGAACTATTTTTATTATTGTGAAAGGAGAAGATGACTCAGTTTTCTTCCATACAGGGGCTCTTGCAGATGTGATTTTGTGACTCAGAGCAGAGGCTGCTGATTGGATGGTTCGAAATTTTCCTGGCTTCAGGGCATGCAGCTGCGAGTGTCCTTGGGGTGAAGGCAGCTGGGCCCAGGGCAGCTCTTGCTGGGCACCGCCAAAGTTGGCCTTGATGACCTTCCTTTCTTTCTGTTCTCCATGGACTGACCTGTCCTGCTCCAGTGTGTCTGTGTTTTTGTATGTTAATGACGTTAGTCTGGGCAAGGATGGTCATAGGTCATCCCTTCTCCTTAGGAAGAACAGGGACGTCTCTGCTCATCCTCTTTTGTCTCTCTGATGACCTCAGAATTAATTTATGACCACAAAGCACAGACAGGTATAAATACGGCGCCTCCTATGAACCCCCTGCACACACAGCATGTGTCTTGCTTCCAGTACTGATAGACGACAAGGACAACAACACAGGTTCTGGAACTTCTAAGCCCAGGCCTCACTGACACTCTTGCAGTTGGGTTTTTTGTTTTTGTTTTTTTTTTAAAGCAATGTTTAAATTCAAGCTCTGCCTAGTCTTTCTAGCTGTATGATTTGGGGTGAGTCACTTCCTCTCTCTGGGCCTCTGCCAATTTCAGATCTCCCACCTGAAAGGGCCTTTATGCCTCATCATGTCCAACCTCCTCATTTTTTTTTTCTGGTGAACAAACAATCACTCCACCCCCATCCCAAACACTCTGTGGCCTCATTGATCAGCCTTGGCTCACCCTCACCCCCTTCTCCAGAACAGTGGAGGCTTGGAGTCACAGAAGAGAGGACCTTAGGAAGGAGGAGGGAGCTGATGACTCATGGAGGGGATTTGACAGCCGCCTCCTTTGCGGAACCAGGAAATTCATTAGGATGGAGTCTCATGCCCCGAGGAATTGCATTTCTGATTTTAGTTTTCCGTTATCGACCTTTATTTTGCTAATTACAGCTATGGCTATGATGTGTTGGGTCCCTGTTATAAGCAAGTGCAAGGTATACGAACGTTTTCTATCTAATTCTTATGTCAATGTTTCAAGGACATTAATGTTATCCCTATTTCCAAGATGAGGATATTGCATATTAGAGATTAGATTTAGAGATGACTGGCTGTCAGACCGCTAATAGTGAGCTGTATAATAAAATTGGTGATTACTAAAACAGGAATAAGGTGGAAAGCTTATTAAATCTCACTTTCTCTTTTACAAGTGAGGAGAATGAGGCTTAGAGATGATGGGGAGAAGGTCCAAGTTCACACGGCTGAATGGTATTTCAAGGACTCAGACCTCCCTGTCTCTTCCACGGCCTTCATGCAGCCTCTCCTTGCATCCACCGTTAGCTCTAAGATATTGCTCGATGTCTGTGTCACTGGGCTGCCTCTGCTAGGTTCATTTTGGAAACGAGCCCTCTCTCCAGTATTTAGAGATGTCCATGGATTCAGGCATATCCATCCACAGTCGTAAGTCCTTTTGGAGAAAATCTGACTCAGCGTTTTAATACAAGATAAAAGAGTATCCCCAAAGAGCCACCTGCAGCCTGATCAAGAGTGGCAAGAGGAGGGCATAGATCCAGATGGCCTTGGTGAGAGAGAGGAACTGAGAACAGTACTAAATAGTCTGCCATTCTGTATTATCCTGGTAATTTTGGTCACCTCATTACCTGTCTTTCGGAATCACTGTCTTCTTGGTTCCTGAATAGTGTGCTTAGAACAATCCTGGGGTGATATTTACCATAGTTCAGGGTCAGACTCCATATCAAATTATATTGCATGTATAGTCAGAGTGTGTGAGTATACAGTAGGTGCTTAATAATTACTTGTTGAATAAATGAGCAAAAGAATGAGAGTCTGACTTTCATATATCCAGGTCGTGGACTCAAAGTGATCAGAGAACCAGAATGGCTCAATTCAGCAGAAGGACCACAGACTGATGCCAAGCAGATGTGACTTCACATGCTGGGGTTGACAGACTGATGCCAAACAGACGTGACTTCACATGCTGGTGTTGACGTGTATTCATGACATTTGAGACTCAGTTCTCTTTTTTCTAAAAGAGGATGACAAGTTCTTACCTGTGTGGTTGTTGGGAGGATTAAAATTTTGGGCCTAGTGCCTAACAAAGTACTGAGCAAATGTTAGCTATTGCTGATGCTGTTCTACTGTAACTGTGAGTTTTAACTTATGAAGATGATGGCAATGATAAAGTCTGGCCAATAGTCCTGGGCAGAGTGGGCCAAGTCCATCAGACCGGCAAAGGCTGGGGCCAGGGATGCAAGGAGCTCCAGCGGACCCTTTCCAGGAGTTTAGCCTTCGATTCTAGGAAATGCAATAAAGTAAGCCCAGGACAGATGCTGGCGTCGGGCTGCCGTAGGGTGAGCAGACGAGTCATCCTGGCTTAGAGGGATGTGGAGGGTGGATTCCACTGGGCTATAAAATCTATGAGTAGAAAGAGGCGTGGGCTGGTTTTGTTGCCTTTTCTAAATTGTGCTGTTTGCACTGAGTTCTGTTTCAGTGAATCCTGAGAGAGCCTCTGTCTAGAGACCAGAGTGAGACGATGGAGGAGGTGGGAGGTAGAGGCCCCGCGGCCGCCTCTTCCTGGGCCTGCAGCGCCCTCTTGTGGCTCAGAGCCAGAGCATCCACTCCAGGATTCTGCAGGTGCTGCTGCAGAAGGGGTGCTCCTGGGCTTCCCACCCTCCTAGGGGCTGTGCTGTGTGGCTTCTCTTTGGAACCCGGAGCCCTGAGAGAGAAGGAAGAGGAGGGAAGACCTCCCGTCGTGTTCCAAGATGGGCGCCTGTGATGGACCTCAGGTGTGCTAACTGGCCAGATGACCTGCAATTATCTGCCTAGGCTCTTTGAGCCTGGGTCCTCATAGCTGTGTTATGAGATGAAAGAAGGCAGACAGTGTACCTGGAAGCACCTTGTTTTCTGACACCCAGTAGTTTCACATTAAAAATTAGTTATCTTGCCTTCAATATTTTCCTTTCTCTGCTAGATAAAATTGCTAAAATCCAGAGAAGTGAGCCTTCTGTTCTTTTAATAGATGCTAGTCCAGTGCTAAAGGGTGATGCATTCACCAATCTCTAAAACCTGTGTCCTAGATTCAAATTTGTCTATCTTTCTGTTTGACCTGGGAAGTTACCTAAACCCTTTGTGACTCAGTGTCCTCATTGGTAAAGTTAGAATAATACGATCTGTCTTGCAGACACCTTATGAGAATTATGTTAGTATTTGGGAAGAGTTTGAATACTACGTGGAGCTAGTATTTTTGATGTCTTCTCATTATAGTCTCATCACCATCCTTGTTGTAGTTAGTGCTGTGTGAGAGAGGGGGAGAACCTTCTAGTGGAGACTAGGAAGGGCCTGGAGATACGATGATGTTAGATCCCGAGCAGTTCCAATTTCCTTGGAGTAGAAAGCAGATAATGTTATGAGGCAAAACTGAGGAAGGGTCTCGGTACTCATGGAGTTTGGATTTTATCCTAGAGGGACCTTGAAGACTTATAAGGGAAGATGTGGGGACAAGCGTCATGTCCCACAAAAACAAGCTTATGTCTGTGGTCGAAAACTCGTAGGTTTGGTTGGGGGATGCCATTACTAAGAAATTATTTCTTCAGTATTTCAGAATGCATATGGTGACAAATAAAAGTTCATATAGATTTTATGCTCCAACGTCATGCTTGTGACACTGGAGGATTTCAGCAGGCAAATAAAAGAAATTCAGCTGAGTCCTATTGAGTTATAGTTGACTCAGCAGCAGACAATTTCAGATTGCACAACTAGGAATCCATTGTCTTGTATGGTTTTCTTCCATTTTCACCAGAGCCATAAACCTGATAGGGGATGAGCATAGTGAGAGAAGTCTGAGCTGAAAAAGTAGCCAAGGCTGTTCTGTGTCCCACAGGGTGCTGCTTCCCTATGGCTATTCTGGATGCTCCCAAACAGAATGTCAGCTACCCTCTGCAGCACAGATGGTACCTGTGCATTCAGCAGAGAACCAGATGCTCTGTGCAGTGGCTCACTAGGCAGGTGAGCAAGTCAGGAGCCAATGAGATGCTAGAGAAAGCAAGCCCAAGACCCACATAAAGGAAAGTATTACAACACACTGGTTTCTATCAATCAACTGAGGGTATGCGGTGGCTCCCGACAGGGCCTCGAAGAAGTACTGTTCTAAGTATTTGTTCTAAATGCAGGCCCATTGACGCCCCTTTAAAACTTCCTTGTCTGATTCCCAAGAGTTGTTCAATGTCTTCAAGTCAGAGGCAAGCAGAGCCTTCCCACTCTTCCCTGGACCTTGAGGCAGGTGACCTTTCAGAGATTGTGTGACTCCAGTAAAGCCATTGGCATAAATATTGAGAAGCCTCGGGTTCCCATCTGGCTTAGCCCTGCCAAAAAACCCCATTCCTCACAGTGAGCCAGGGACCTGCATTTCCCATGGTGCCCAGTGCCTTTGTTAGTTTTATTTTCCATGCTAAGTGGTTGTAGCAGGAAGGCAAAAGCGATTTATAATCTCCAGACATATTACTGATTGGAGAGATACTTATTGAATATCCACTGTGTGTCAAACTGTTGTTACATGCTGCATGGGAAGATAAGTTCTATTAATTATTTGGTATAAAAAAATCTCCATGCTCTGCACCTGAGGCTACAAACAGTAAAAAGGAACTGGTCTTCATTCTTGCCTGGAAAGACCTCCTCCTGGTCTAGTAGAGGGAATATACAGTGACCAGATAACTGTAATTAAATGAATGTAACAGTGTAGGTGCCCTCTGTATTATCTAGGCTACCTCTATGGAAGCCCAAAGGCAACTAAGTCCCCTTGGAGAAGAGGATGCAGGTACAGAATGCTTCTTGAAAGAGGCAACATTTGAGCTCAGAATTTAATTCAGGGTTTCTCAATCTCAGTGGTATTGACATTTTTGGCTGGATAATTCTTTGCTATGGGGGCTGTCCTGTGCTTCCTTGGCCTCTACCAAATTGTGAAAATCAAAAGTGTCTCCATACACTGCCAAATATCCTTGGAGGCAGGGCAAAAGTCCCAGTCCCTCACTCGAGAACCACTGATTTAGCTCAAGGAAGGCTGGTGGGAAACTGTCTGGAGAACTTGAGAACCTTGGCTTCAGTTGCAGGTAGTAAGGCGCTCCGTCAGGCCTTTTCCAGAAGAACTGTGCTTTAGAAAGGTCATCCCATTGCTGTGTGACAGACAGGGCAGAGGCAGTAGCTAGTGGCATTGTCTCCATGCCACTCGCCTTCTAATTAGACAGGAGACCTTGGGCCAGCCACCGGTCTGATCCTGCTCCAGGCAGCCTACTTACAAAACAGCTGCCGTGATGCCTCTGGTCTTCCTGCAGGCCCTACGGGGAGAGATGTGATCTATGATAATAACTTCTCCTCCTATAGGGAGAACAGCCCATGAGCTAAGGGACTTTGAATCAGAACCTGGATCTTTCTGATGTTTTTCAGTGTGAGGCTACTCGAAATTCTGAGATTCAAAGATGTTTTGGAGCCAGAAGTAGACAGGGGAGGTCATCTGGTCCATGATTAGTGGGTGAGTCTGATAAGTAAATATTTTCCTCCAAGATCCTCTGTACTTCCACAGTGAATGGGTGGGCTCCATACACTGTTAGAGGATTTATCCTTTGCTGGGTGATGGTACAGGTGAAATAGATGGTGTGGAGTGGACAACAGGCACATTGTATTCCACTCATTCTTTCTGAATGCAGACAATGGAGGCAGTATCAATAACAGGACAAAGACTCATGGGCCACAAGGAATTGGTTGGCCAACACAGTCCACCTTCCACTTTTTTTTTTTTGAGACAGAGTTTTACTCTTGTTGCCCAGGCTGGAGTGCAACGGCATGATCTCGGCTCACTGCAACCTCTGCCTCCCAGGTTCTAGCAATTCTCCTGTCTCAACCTTCCAAGTAACTGGGATTACAGGTGCCCACAATCATGCCCAGCTAGTGTTTGTATTTTTTAGTAGAGATAGGGTTTCACCATGTTGGCCAGGCTGGTCCTGAACTCCTGATCTCAAGTAATCCTCCTGCCTCAGCCTCCCAAAGTGCTGGGATTACAGGCGTGAGCCACTGCGCCCAGCCCACCTTCCACTCTTAATCACTGCACTGGCCAACACAGGCTTTTTCTCCTTCCTCTGAGACATTTTCTAGTTCTGAAGAAGTTATTCACCTGTGAAGTCAGTTTTGAAATAAAACCATGGTTCTTAACTAAAGCATCAAAATCACCTAGAGCACTTGTTTAACACACAGATTGCTGGGCTCCAGCCCCAGAATTTCATGCCAGGTGATGTTGACGCTGCTGGTCTGGGTATTTTAAGCAGCCTGTTTAGTGTATCATGCGGCATCTGCCTCTGAAAGTATAGATAATATGGTGTGTGGGCAAATACTTCTTGGAAGTTTCATACATACCACTTACCCCAATCCTGGTTGCTCACGGCTGGCACCCCCATCTCCTATTCTTAGCCTGTGCATTAATGTGCATTATTTATGGTTATAGAGTTGGATAACTGAGTGACTTCTATTTTTACAATAATTAAAGGGTTTGGGAGAAAATGAGTTTAGCTGTTTATGTGCCCTCAAACAGCCTTGTAGGTTAGGGCCAAAATGATGAGAGAACAAATAAAGGTGCTGTCGGCTTTGTCCATGGTGCTGAAGGACACACTGGAGAAGGTCCGAGTTCATAGGATTGCATAGCCCCAGACAGAGCTGGGATAGGAGTCTGTACTTTTCCTCCAGCTCCAACATGCAGGTGCTTGAAAAGTCTAATGGACCAAGGAGAGAAAAGAGGAAAGGGATTCGGCATATACCCCAGGATGCAGCAGGCTCAGTTTTTCAGCTTCAAAGCCAATGTACGCAATGAAAAAAAAAAAAAAGTGCAGGACAGAGATGACCCAGAGCTCCCAGGACTGAGGCTAGCACATGGTCATTGGCCATTGCTCCCTACTGTGGAGGTCCCTCTGCTTCTGTCATTGTTGTCAGATTGCTGAACTGGGAAGGAAAGATATTCAATCCTGTGGACTCTGAACACAATAGGTCTGTTCAAACCTAACTGGGTTATCTGTAAAACCATGACCCAACCTCATAATCCTTGGCTTCCTTGGCAATTATGACAGTCCCTGTCTCTGAGAGTTAAAGTGAGGATTAAACAATACAAAGGACTGTAACATGTGAAAATACTCAGGAAACCGTAGCTGTATTTCCTGTTACTCCAATGAACTACTAAAAGTTTCATGCACAAAGTGGCATCCTCTGCACCTTCTGAGTCAATGCCTTATTCCCAGAGGTTGTTCCACAGCCAACAGTGTCAAAGCTCTTAGAGTCACCCTAAATGATTTCTCTTTAATGACCACAACTTCTTGATATAGTATAGAGCTTCTCTCAAACTACAATATGTATTCAGATCACATTTGTATCTCATTAAAGTGCCTTTGCTAAAGTATGGTCCACGGATCAGGAGCATTGGCATCACCTGAGTGTTAAAAATACAGAATCTTGGGTTACACCCCAGACCATATAAAATTAGAATCCCTCAACATGTGATTTGTATGCACATTAAAGAATGCAAAGCACTGGCCCAGAGAATACTGTCAGATACTATGCTGCTGTTGGGATGTTTAATCATTCTTTGGTTCATGCTTTGTCGTATCTTCTTTCCTCTATGATCTTTTACTTTCTAATAGAAAATTCTAGCTATTTGCCCTTACCATCAGGAATAAGTGCTAAGACATGTATTTAATCCTTGTAGCAACTCCATGAGGTAGATGTTGCATTCTATAGAAGAGCAAATTGAGGATTAGTAAACTATATGACCTTGTACAAGCAAGATTAATTTTCAAATGGCAGGGCCAGGATTTGACCCCAGACCTTTCCTGCTGCCAATGATGTGCATTCATGCTTTGTTACACAGCACATACCAAGTGAAGGGCCTTAACCTCTGTACAGATAACCACCCAGATGGCCTACTTTGTATCTTCTTCCAAACAGAAAAAACAAATTCTAGCATAATAATTACATACTAACAATCTCTGAACATTCAGTTATGAGAACTGATGTCTAACTGAAGGAGACTGATATGGTTTGGCCATGTCCCCACCCAAATTTCCTCTTGAATTCCCACATGTTGTGGGAGGGACTCTGTGGGAGGTAATTGAATCATGGGGGCAGGTCTTTCCTGTGCTGTTTTTGTGATAGTGAATAAGTCTCACAAGATATGATGGCTTTATAAGGCAGAGTTTCCCTGCACAAGCTCTCTCTCTTTGCCTGCTGCCATCCACGTAAGATGCAACTTGCTCCTCCTTGCCTTCTGCCATGCTTGTGAGGCCTCCCCAGCCACGTAGAACTGTAAGTCCATGTCCACTAAACCGCTTTCTTGTATAAATTGCCCAGTCTCAGGTATGTCTTTATCAGTAGCATGAAAATGGATTAATACAGAAACCAAGTCTCCACCTAGCTCTTCTCTCTTGCCTGGGATGTATCTGTGGGCATAGATAGTCCGTGGAACCCCAGGTACTGAGAAGTGGGGTGAATGGTGAAGTTCTTGATCTGAGCCCTCCATGGGGCAGGGAGAGCATTTAGATGGGATCTCAGAATGAGAGGGCATCTGGAAAGGTCAGCAGTATGGACAGGAAGGCAGCGAAGTTCTAAACATGGACCATAGCTGGCTGTGAGACACTGGTGAAGAGGCTATGAGCATCTCTCTGCCTTTCTAAGACATTTCTCTGATCCCTTCACTCTCTGGTTTACAATCCTTCAAAGGCTTCTCATTCCCAAATGGCTAAAATCCATCTCCCTTGCCTGATGTCTGAATGTCACTTGCCTCTCCAAATCCTTCCTACCCTGTCCTTTGACATCAGCTGTACAGAGCCCTAGTGGCCGCCAAAGGTGCCCAGCTATTCCTCACCTTTGCTCATAGTGCCTTGGACACCTCTCTCAACCTTGGCTTCCTGCCCAACTTGTTTGCACGTGCACCACCTCCTCTGGGAGCCCTGTCCTCTGTACTCTCAGCATACCCTGCCCATGTGTCTATTGCCATCACTGCACACAGGATTACATATACATCCACATATTACAGATATGGGCTCCTCACTAGACTGAGCTCCTTGAAGACAAGCACAGCAGAGCCAAAAACAGCGGATATGGCACATGCTTCTTTTTGTTGATATACAATTTCAGAAGAATTGGGAATAAATTCTATTCATTTTCAGGAGAATAAACAGACTCAAAAGAGAAGTCTGACTTCTCCCAGATTATCCAGGTCTGAGCTGGGACTGAACCCAGTCCTCCCAGCTTCAGAAGTGATATAGTCACTGGTTCCATGTGTAGCTGCCCATTAAAGCTGATAGACTTTGTCCCATACCCTCATGAATTTGCTCTGTCCATGACCTGCTGGATGGACATGGGCCTCATGGGATGGAGTAGGATGGGCCTGGGAATCTGCATTTTCAGGTTGCCGTGAATCAACTTCCATGTGATTTTGCCAGGTTAACACTATGTCAGGTTAGAAAACTTTGGGTTATGCCATTGTTCATTGTTTATAATCATTTCAGATCCTGATGTTGAGTTCAATTAGAGAACATGGATAGCAAACCATTGGGGTGATCCATAGAGTAATGTTGATATTAGTTGTCCCTGAGGTGATATTAACACATAAACATCTTGGTCAGGTGGACTATTCTTGAGAACACAGTTTGGATGAGGGTAGGAAGAAATTCCTCTAAGTATCGATATCTCATTATGTCTTGAACACTGAATTTTGGAAGTCTTGTGTTTACCTGAAGAGCAGGACTGGCTAGTCATGTAAAAGATTCAAAATGAGATGTCATATTCTGAAAACAATAGAATTAAGCTACAAATCAATAACAGGTCTAGAATATTTTTATATGTTTGGAGGCTAAAAAAAAATCTAAACAACCCATGAGTCTAAAAATAACTGAAAAAGGATATTTAAAAATAGAAACTGAATGAAAATGAAAACACAGCATATCAAATATCCATGTGTGTATCTCCATTTGTGGGATAGGTGTGGGAACTGTAACAAACTACTTCTGTTTGTTTCAGCTCAGTCTCAGTTTCTTCTCAATTTTAGGCAAAGTGCAGAAGTTGAGGGTATCCATGTATTACATTCCTTAAACAGACTTCAGTTCATTTAATCCTAGTTTCTCCATCTGTAAAGTGAATGCAGTAATAGGGCCATTTCACTGACTGCTCTGACCATTAGAAAGGCAGGGCCTGATACACAGTAAGCATTTTATGGCATTAGTGAATTCATACATTACATATTTCAAAGATGAGATGAACAAAGTGACTTGCTCAGGCTTACAGAAATTACTGGAAAGGGGTATAAGCTTAATCTTTGGAGTCTTTGATTACGTGGTGCTGTGCCAGGAGCTGGAAGGAATCATGACTGACTTTGAACTGTGTACCCTGAGCCCCTTCTGGGGTGATGTGACTTAGCAAGGAAGACTGACAGCTGAGGTCTGGGTGCCCTCCTTCTCTCTCCCAGCTTTGTTTATGTGTTTCTCCCTGTGACTTTCTTTGAACCAAAGTATTGACTTAAAAAAAAAAAAAAGAAAAAAAGAAAAAAAAGAAAGCAAAGCATCTCTTAACCCAAACACCTTTTTACACTTGGGAAACAGAGCCTGAGAGGACAGCCCTCCCCAAGGCAGACATAGAATTCCAGCAGAGTCGTGGTTATAACATTGAGGCCCTATTTGCCCACTATGTTTTTCACTGCACTAACACTCCCATAGCTTTTATTGATAGTTCTTATTGATGGATTCTTTTCTCTCATTTTGGCATTTAATGTCCTCCTGGGAGAAACAATATGCTCTGTTTCTATCCTCCTTCCTCAAGGGAAGCTCAAGGGAAGCTCAAGGGCAGGAGAACATTGGCCAGAGTCCTCTGTCTATGCAGGAATGGTCATTTCCAGAGCCAAGACAGGGGCTAATGGCCTCTGAGCTCCCTCTCCCTATGGTCTCAGAGAGGTTATATAATTTCCCCAAAGTTACACCGTGAATACATGGAGAGAGTGGAGTTTGAATGAAATGTGTGACTGTGAACCTGTGCTCCCCTGGCCTCTCCTTCTGAGCTTGGCAACCTCTGGCAACAAGGGTGAGTGCCAGCAGAGAAAACACCTGCTGGGAAGCTCAGATCCAGGGCTTGCAGAAAACCCTTGCAGGGCAGGCCCGGGCGCTGATCACGATTCCTCACATTCTTTCAGGGCTGAGGGTTTCTTGAGACTTCCAGACCACTGATGGCCATGGGATTCTGCAGCAGAGCAGGTGTGTCCAACATAGGTTACCCAGGCCCTGTGTGGCTGTGGTCCCAGCTCATTTTGTGCAGAGGTTGCCAGGAGAGCCGGAGAACTGAGGCTGCTCAGCTAGTTCAGCATTTCTGAGAATGGCCTGCCTTTGACAATCATCTGGGCAGCTTTGGCCATCAGATGAATCCCACGGAGAACCTACTTCAAGCGGGCAGTGAGTGAGGACCATGAGTCCTATCCTACTTCTCAGAAAACTGTGGGCATGTCTCATCGCCTGCATGTGGGTTTTTCTCTGTCTTTGGAAACAGAAGCTGCCTATATACAAGTTACTCTGCAAATTGTTCTTTGCATTTAGCAGATCACTGCCATCCTTTCAAGTTCGTACAGATAAAGAGAATGGGTTGGATGTAACAGAGGTCTTGATACAGGGCAAACAAGCAAACCCTGAAACAGACTTGTGTGCATACCCATGCATGTATCTTTATGTAATCCTACTTTTCTGAAAGCAGGAACCCTGTTCAGCACTTTTAACAGGTAAGCTAGTTAGCTTTCCTAAAAGTTACAGGAATCAATGGCTCCAGAGAAGCTTCTGAGCAGTCGATGGGATCCCCAGGGCCTGCTGCATTCTACTTGGATCCTTGGTCACAATTTCCTCTACAGTCAACTCTGCCCCAGGAAAAGGTAAGTAACAGGATTAGAGGATGCAGAGACCAAGTCCAGCAGGTACCCAGCACAACAGGAAGGCTGAGGTGGGCAGGGGACAAGAAGAAATAGGAAACAGTACCTGTATCCCACTGTGGCTCAGAGACAAGTCTTTGGCTACTTGAGATGGGCAAACCTGGTGTGAATTCCCAGGCAAGAGATGACATGGGCTCTGATGTGTGGGGGTTGGGGGGTTGGGGGGTTGGGGGGTTGGGGGATTGGGGCAGGGATGAAGAGACTAGGGTAGGACATGGTGGGAAGGCTAGCTGCATATTTGGTCATCAATAGTGTTCTTTCACTGGTATCCCTCATCTCCACCCTGCATACCCATTGCTGTTGGGAGCAGGCCCCCCAAAATCTGGCCATAAACTGGCCCCAAAACTGGTCATAAACAAAATCTCTGCAGCCCTATAACATGTTCATAATGGCCCTAACACCCACGCTGGAAGGTTGTGGGTTTATGGGAATGAGGGCAAGGAATACCTGGCCCGCCCAGAGCGGAAAACCAATTAAAGGCAGTCTTAAGCCACAAACAATAGCATGAGTGATCTGTGCCTTAAGGACATGCTCCTGCTGCAGTTAACTAGCCCAATCTATTCCTTTAATTCGGCCTATCCCTTTGTTTCCCATAAGGGATACTTTTAGTTAATTTAATATCTATAGAAACAATGCTAATGACTGGTTTGCTGTTAATAAATATGGGGGGAAATCTCTGTTTGGGGCTCTCAGCTCTGAAGGCTGTGAGACCCCTGATTTCCCACCTCACACCTCTATATTTCTGTGTGTGTGTCTATAATTCCTCCAATGCCACTGGGTTAGGGTCTCCCTGACTGAGCTGGTCTGGGCACATTGCTAATCTTTTTCTCAATTGACCTTTGTTACTGAGGCCTGAATGACCATCTGGGCTTCTAAGAGCCACCAGACCTGTTAGCAATTCTGAAGTAAAAGGGCTTCTCTGGGGAAGACCGTCTAAGGAGGAATCCTGGGAGAGATAGCATTCATAGCTGACAGAAAACTGCATCCTTTTAGAAGCCCTTTTATGGAACTACCCCCCAGGGATCCTCTCTTTGGCAAACATCACATTGCATTGCTGTGCTAGACACAGACTGGAAGGAGCATGAGCATACCCCAAGAATGTGTTCAAATGCATCTTCCTGGGGCCCACCCCTTCAGAGAGTCCAAAGTGTTGTGAGCTACATGGTTTGGGAGTCTGCATGTTAGCCAGCCCTCCAGGTGAGTCTGTTGTGGGAGTCTCAAGGAACATACTGAGAAAATCTGATGTAACTGGTCAGCTCCTTAGGAAGCAGGAATGGTGTTCCCCTGCCCCTTGTGGTGTGCGTATGGTAGGAGAACCAAGCAGAGAACCTACCTGGGATGGGCTTCCACATATACAGTGCTATCTCCAAAACAGGAATTTAGGTGGCGGTGATATAGCTTGGACATGTGTCCCCTCCAAATCTCATGCTGAAATGGAATCCCTGGTGCTGGAGGTGGGGCCTGGTGAGAGGTGTTTTGTTCATGGGAGTGGATCCCTCATGAATAGCTTGGTGCTCTCCTTGAAGTCATGAGTTTTTGTTCTGTTACTTCACAAGAGCTGGTGGTTTAAAGAGCCTGGAACCTCCCTTCTTTTTTTCTTGCTCCCTCTCTCTTGCCAGGTGATGTGCCTGCTTCCCCCTTCACCTTCCACCATAAGTGGAAGCTTTCCGAGGCCTCACCAGAAGCAGAAGCCATCACTATGCTTCTTGCACAGCCTGCACAACTGTGAGCCCATTAAACCTCTCTTCTTTATAAGTTACCCAGCCTCAGGTATTCCTCTGTAGCAATGCAAGTGGACTAATATGTGTGGTTAAGTTAAAGCAAAGCAACCAGCAATGCTACTCTGTGGTCAGGCCTCTCATCTGTGTGTTTGCCAAATGTGTATAAGGAAGGCAGAAGCACATTTATATACAGATTCCTCAGTTTGGAATCTTTAATACCCCAGGGTCCAGCTCTCCACACTGGGCTTCAGTTACCCTGGAGACATGCTGCTCAAACACCAAATCACACTGGATAACTCTTTGTCTGGGTCTTAACCTAGGAAGTTGCCTTCTGGATCCCTGGTTAAATATTTTAAGCAGAATGGATCTCAGACACAGTAAAAATGTGCATTTGTAGAGCTCACATCAGATTCGTAAGAATTGACTTAAACCCTGGTGGCTTGTGCTGGGGGATAAATGCGATGTGTTTGTGCAAGGAATGGAGGTTTCCCTTACCCCTCACCTCCAAACCCCACTCCAACAATGTCACAGTCATCTGAAAGTCCTCTCCTATCTTTGAGGGCCATTGTAGACACTGGGGAGGTGGAGGTAGAGCGGCATAATTCGTGCTCTCGGGAGCTCAATTTGAACAAAGACGTGTTTAAAAGCAATCATAATCCAACCTGATAAATGCGGGGATCAGGGGTATGTGGTTGAGAAGCCCTGCTGGCAAGGAACAGGCTGTGGCCAGCGGACATTTCAGAGATGACGGGATGAAATCAGACATTATAAATATCTGAGACACCCAGGGGTAGTAGGCCTCCCAAAATACCAGGCCGTAATTCTCGGGACTTGTAAATGTTGCTGAATGTGGAAGAAGAGGCTCTGCAGATGTGATTAAGTTAATCTAGAGATGGGGAGATTGTCCTTGATTAGCTAGGGTCCTAAATCTAATTACAAGTGTCCTTATAAGAGAGAGGCAGAAGGAGATTTGATATGGACAGAAGACAAGGTGATGTAAAAATGGAGCAGAGATTGGAGTGACTCAGAGTGATGTGGCTACCAGCAAAGGAGTGTCTGGAGCCACCAGAAACTGGAAGAATGAGCTCTCCTCTGGAAACTCTGGAAAGAGTATGGCTCTGTTCATAACTCAGTTTTATGGGGCTAAAATTGAGCCAGGACTTCTGGCACCCAGAACTGTAAGAGAACTTTGTTGTCTTAAGCCACTACGTTTGTGGCAATGTATTAAAGAAGCCATGGAAAATTAATACACTGGCCAATTCACGTAGGGGTAGAAAGGGGACAGGTCATATTCCAGGCAAAGCAGGACACAGGCCACAGAGCAATCTGGAGGAACTACAAATAATCATTGGTGGCTGGAAAATGTGGGTGACCAGAGCAAGGGGAAGGGGAAACGAGTTGGGGAAGATGTTCAAGGTCAGATTAGCAACTGCACACACTTGCACGTGAACACAAATGCTTTCTCCAGCAGCCCCAAGCAAGGTTGTTCTCCTGACTCATTTCTCCTCTATGTCATCCATACTCTTGGTCTCCGTGGGAGATGAAACACAACCATAAACTCTTCCCATGGAGTGGTGGCATCTAGTCTCCCACCCCTCGAATCTGGGTGGCCTTTTCATTTGCTCTTCTGTTGTGTTAGAAGCAACACAGGCCTCAGAAGGTCTTTCATATTCCACTTGGCCTTCTTAGAATGTTGCCATTACTTCACAGAGAAGCCTGGTCTGACTTACTTCTTAAGGGTGATGGATCACATGGTGACAGAGGCCCAGCCACCCTTGTCCAGCTGAATCCAGCTCACCTCTGACCTTCCAGCTGAATGTGCAAGCCTAGGCAAGGCTGGAGGAATTGACAAGGCAATCCACAGAAAGTGGGATAAGAATGAGCTATTATTTTAAGCCTCTAACTTTTGGGGCAGTTTGTTATGCATAAACAGAAAAGCTTCTATGCCCCCAACCCCATCAGATTCTGGTCTTTGAGATTCTCTAACAACCCATCACTCCCTGAGTCTCCCCTCAGTTTGTTTTGTGGCTGGACTCTAACCCCAGTTCCTTCTAATCTATTGTGGACTTGGGATCTTGCCCTACTTTTGGATCTATGAAAGATTTTCTAATGCAGGGTGTTCTTCCAGGGATAATTGGTAGTAAAAATTCTGAGCTTCAGCACAGTTCCCACCTCCTGCAATGTTTCCCAAACACAGGTTTTGAAGGGTATTTACACCAAGAAGCTGTGCAAATTTACATGTGATCAAGTTAGAACATCCAGCCTCATTTACTGTGCCATTAATATGTGCCCAGTGTGAGATAATTTGTCACTCCTGTCTCACTTGAATATCATAAGGATTGTCTGGGTAAGACATTATCATCCCCAATTACCCAAGGCTTAGAAAGATTAAGGAACTTCCACACAGGCATTATAGCTAGTAAGAGGGGCTGAGCCTGAATTTGAATGAAGAAGGATCTGATTACAAAGCTCAGTGCTTTTGAACTAAGCTGCCCCAAATGACCAATGCAATCTTAATAGATATTATTGAATGGCTGAATAAATGAATGAATGCATACTTGGATAACCCTCCAACTCAACTCTGAGCTCCCTTCGCCTGCTGTGAAAAGCCTGGGGAATGTTGCCGACACTGAGGCTGTGAGCAGAAAATGGCCTGTGGTGCAGCATGTCTAGGGCAGTGTATTAAACTGCTTTCATGCCACTGATAAAGACATACCTGAGACTGGGAAGAAAAAGAGGTTTAATTGGACTTACAGTTCCACACGGCTGGGGAGGCCTCAGAATCATGGCGGGAGGCAAAAGATACTTCTTACATGGCAGGGCAAGAGAAAATGAGGAAGAAGAAAAAGCGGAAAGCCCTGATAAACCCATCAGCTCTCATGAAACTTATTCACTATCATGAGAATAGCATGGGAAACACCAGCCCTCGTGATTCATTTACCTCCCCTCTTCCCCTGGGTTCCTCCTACAATACGTGGGAATTCTAGAAAATACAATTCAAGGTGAGATTTGGGTGGGGACCCAGCCAAACCATATCAGGCAGGGAAGCTGCCCACTGAGTGTTAATTCCTCTTTGTCTCTGATCCTTATGCTGCATTCGGCTATTGACAAAGGTGTTTAAGCTGGAGCAGAATTGTACTCAGTGATACGAGAACTTGAAGCTCCCAGAGATTCAGGCACCATCTCTTGAAGGCAACAGGCAGGCCTCAACAGGCCCTTTCCCCTTTAACACCCCCTCCTCTTCCCATCAAGAAAGCAGAAGAGCTAGGACACTGTGTGGAGGGAGTGCACCACAGCAGGTCCCTCCACAGCTCTCCTGCAGATTGAGCGCACCAAGAGCCTGGCCTGTTGGCACCTGCCTGGGACGAGCTGTGACTCTAAGCCCGGGCTGCAATGGCCACTTGTCAGAGCATCTCACTGTGTTCCTTTTGCATCACAGATGAGGGGGGATGTGTCCTCTTGAGCCCATGAACTTAGGTCCAGGTGGAGTTCCCCAAGCCATTGCTCTATTTTGGAGCATGGATTCAGCACACCTGAGCAGAGACCGCCATGAAGGAATTTTATGAGGATCTGGGGGTGAGAGTCTGCGGGAACTTCTGTAACTTTCTCCAAGAAAGATGGGAACAGTGTTTCCAGACCTCAGAGCCACGTGTTGAGCATGCCCTGGACCATCTCTGTGCAGACTTATTTGACATGGACAAAGCACTTAACTTTTCTGGGCCTCAGTTTGCTCAATTCATTTGTTTGTTTTTTGTTGTGTTTTTAGATGGAGTCTTGCTCTGTCACTCAGACTGGAGTGCAGTGGTGCAATCTTAGCTCACTGCAACCTCCGCCTCCCAGGTTCAAGTGATTCTCCTGCCTCAGCCTCCCAAGTAGCTGGGACTACAGGCATGCGCCACCACACCTGGCTAATTTTTCTATTTTTAGCAGAGACAGGGTTTTACCATATTGGCCAGGCTGGTTTTGAACTCTTGACCTCATGATCTGCCTGCCTCGTACTCCCAAAGTGCTCTGATTACAAGCATGAGCACCCAGTTTGCTCAGGTTTTTTTTTTTTTTTTTGAGATGGAGTCTTGCTCTGTTGCCCAGGCTAGAGTGCAGTGGTGTGATCTTGACTCACTGCAACCTCCGCCTCTCCCAGGTTCAAGTGATTCTGCTGCCTCAGCCTCCTGAATAGGAGGGATTACAGGTACCTACCACTGGAGCCCGGCTGATTTTGAGATGGAGTCTCGCTTTGTCACCCAGCCTGGAAGGCTGGAGTGCAGTGACGTGATCTTGGCTCACTGCAAGCTCCGCCTCCCGGGTTCAAGCCATTCTCCTGCCTCAGCCTCCCAAGTATCTGGGACTACAGGCACCGGCCACCATGCCCAGCTAATTTCATTTTGTATTTTTAGTAGAGACGGGATTTCACTGTGTCAGCCAGGATGGTCTTGATCCCCTGATTTCATGATCCACCCACCTCGGCCTCCCAAAATGCTGGGATTACAGGCGTGAGCCACTGAGCCTGGCCTAATTTTTGTATTTTTAGTAGAGATGGGGTTTCACCATCTTGGCCAGGCCGGTGCAGTTCTTAAAACAGCAGGCCAAGTGCAGAGTAGAAGCTCAGGAAAGGCCTGTGGTCCTGGGTTTTCCTGGCTACTGACTCATAGAAGCAGCCAGGTGGTTACTGCAACAGCCTTGTCCATCCTCTAAGCCATCTACTGGGCTCTCTAGCCAGGGCAGGGCAGCTCTGGACAAGTTTGCTGTGGGTGCAGACAAGTCAGGCTGCTCGGCTGTAGATGAGGAGTCTCAGACCAGAATTTGTCACCCAGGTGGGTGTCTACTCAAGAGACTTAAGAAGATAGCACAAAATTGCCACTACAACTCATTCTCTTAGCTCAATGACATTTTAGGTGATCCAACTGTGGTTTGCATGAAAGGTTAACTGGAGACCAAACAACATTCTGGAACCATTATCATTTTGGTCAGCATCGGGCAGTAAGAATTCCACCTAGTGGCTAGACAGGGTTATTTAGGGATCAAACCATATTGCCTTCCCTAAGGATTCAGGCTAGAGAGGGTTCTGGATTTTCTTTCTTAGCTAATGCAATGGTGAAGAAATATTTAACGTATTTTAATCAGGCTATATATTGTAGATGCTATTAATTTCATAAAAGAGGGTCCATTTCCCATATCCAATGTTAATTTGCATAACATTTAGTATTGACTAAAGGGTTACCAAGTACCCACACTGGAGGTGTGATTCCTGGTTGGAATGCTACTTGACCATCTGGAATGTAAAGTCCTTAAGGTAATGATCTCCCCTTGGGCCATTGCTTTAATTAGCCAGCACACACATTTATATTACTTCGTGGTAAGGTATTATACATAAGTTACCTATCAACATCCAATGATAGTAATATCTGCTTCATTTGGTTGTGAACATGAAGCGTAGCAATGCTTTCTATCACCCCTGGTTAATAAATAACCAAACCGTGTTTGAGAGATGAAGCAACTCGCTGTGGACACATAGTTAATAAGTTATAGAATGGGAGTTAAAATGCAGTTCATCCATTTGAGATGTCATTGAACTTGGAGTCTGTTAAGGAGGATGGAGAGGTGACGCTCTCACTATATTGTGAGTGATCTTGGGTGAGTCCCTTGCCCCCTTTCCATGATAGTGCCTGCAACGGTACAGAGGTTGAGAAATTGTTGCTGTGACAGGGTGCGTGTAGGTTCAGTGGAGGCAGCAATGCTCCATGAATGCTAAGGTGATAGGCACATGTTCCATGAGGGTCGCGTTGGGGATTTTCTGTTTCTCGAGTGATCTGTTGTAGCTCTTTTAGCAAGCACAAAACAGGTGTGAAAGATCAGCCAGTTGTCTAAAAAATACTCTCTGTAGCTCAAGGAAGTGCAGTGAAATTATTTTCTTTCAAACATGATCTTCTAGCTGTCTGCAGAGGAGGCTCTTCATAGAGCCAAGTTGTAGCTAGGATGTAGGTCGTCCTCCTTGCGTAGCAAACCCTACACCTCTTCTCAGGAGAAGGATATATAGTCATTGACCTTTTCAGATGTTTCTCCAGGGAGTGGAGAAACCCTCAATTAGCCTTCCATCAATATAGATCTCTGAATTTAATTAAAAGTATTTTTACCACATTAAAGTGATACAGCTGTACCTTAGATACTTGAAAACCAGATAACAGTAAGTAAAACATTTCCCCCCACTACATCAAAATGCTTATATTTTGTGGCCTTAGGACTTTATTTCCATTCTTACATAGATAAAATCATGCCGGTTTTTTTTTTTTTTTTTTTTTTTTTTGGAGACAGTCTTGCTCTGTCACCCAGGCTGGAGTGCAGTGGTGCAATCTTGGCTCACTGCAACCTCCACCTCCTGGGTTCAAGTGATTTTCGTGTCTCAGCCTCCTCAGTAGCTGGGATTACAGGTGTGCACCACCATGCCTGGTTAAGTTTTTGTATTTTTAGTAGAGACGGGGTTTCGTCATGTTGCCCAGGCTGGTCTCGAACTCCTGAGCTCAGGTGCTCTACCTGCCTCAGCCTCCCAAAGTGCTGTATGTTTAATTTTCTATTCTGTTTTTTTTTTTTTTTTTTCTGCTTTGTCCATGGTATATTTTCCATGTTGCTCTAGAGGTTTCCTAACTTGTTTAGAAACAGTAGCCAGAGTCCATTGATTGTATCCAGGATAATTTATATATCCACTTCCCTTTTAAGGCTCTTCCTAGCTTTTTTTCTTATTAAGAATAATGCTTCAGGGAATATATTTATGCATAGAGGTTGCTTTTCTTTCTCAGATATAGAATTATATCCTTGGGCTCAGTTCCCAGAAGTGAGTTATTGGCTCAAAAATATGAGTTTCTGTGGCTCTGAAAGCACATTGCCAAATCACTTTCCAAAGTGTTCATTACAATTAAGAGAGTCAGAGAGAGAATTTTACCCCAACCTCACCAGTAATAGTGTTTTTTCTTTTTACTATGGTTAAGAAGCCAAACACTTATTTTATTGGATTTGAGTTTCTTTTCAGTGAGATTTGCCATTTATGTATAAATACTTCCTAGTTATAACTAGTATAACTATTATATATAGTTTCTGTACATCCTATGTGCTTTACATGGGGTCCTTTAAGTATTATTTGGCATAACTGAAGATTCAGGCACAAAGAGGTCTGAGTTGATTGCACAGATGTGGGACACATGGCATAGGGAAGGGGTTTGAGACTCCTCTGGAGCGAGCAGAATTTGGGGAACTGACCAGCTACAGAGTGGCAAGAGAAGGGCTGAGACACAGGGTCCACAAAGTGTGTTGCACTTAATTGCAATTCACATCCCCAGTGACAAAGCCTGGAATGAACATTTAGATAGAGGCCACCCTCTGAAGCTGCAGTCTCATCCCCTAACCAGGGTGCATGTCAGAGACATAGTCATTCCGTCTATGCGTGGAGGGGTGCATGCTGGCCTCGAGAGGACCCTCGATGCCAGGCTAGAGGGTTTGAACTTGATCCTGCAGGCAAAGTGGAGACACTAACTTCTGTGGAAGAAGCATGGCCAGAACCTGACCATGATACAGTCGCTGGAGCAGGGAGATTGGTGGATGCAGCAGTGATTTATGCAGGATGGGATGAGGCCTGGGAAAGCAGAGTAAGGGACAAGACATGCTTTTCTGTGTGAAGGAAAGAGTAAGATGTGTCATTAGCGTATGTCTTTCCCCCAGGAAAGAGCTGCTGTTATGCCCCATCCTCAGGCAGGCTTCCCTGGGACAGGGAACTTTGCAAAAGCCTAACTGTCTCATGAATTGCATCTCCAGTGCCCATCACAGTGCCTGGCACACAATAGCTCATTATGGAATGTTAAATAACTGGATCAAGAAGTCAATAAATAAGTGTAGAGAAGGGCAGGAGAGGAAGAGGAAGAGGAAGATGGATACAGATTGAAACAGAAAAATGAGACTGATGTCATGTGAGGCTAAAGGCAAGAGAAATAAATATAGCAGAGTATACTGTGTAGAATAGAAATGACAGTAAAAACTGGGTCAGGAGACCTGAGTATTAGAGTCCATTTGACCAATAGTCAACCCCAGCAGAGTAGTCCCTGCCTCCATCTCTGAGCCTCAGCTTTCTCTTTTGTAAAGGAAGTTGTGTTACAAGATTGTTATGGAATCATTGATTCTAACATCCTATGACTGATAAGAACCTGAGTTTTTATGCAGGCAAAGTTCTGTTTGTATTGTGGTGTAATAAAATTTCATACAAACTGGAGTTTTAGTACTTTTAAGTGTGGTATGTTGTGTATATGTTGGCCTCAGACTTCACTGATTCAGGTCCCTGTTATTTCACTTAATGACTACTGTCTTTTCTCCTTTCTATCATTCCCTTCCAAATGGTAGTCTCCTCAAATCATTCCCCATAAGGAGAATGAGAACTTCTTGGAAGTAAAAATGATTGCTGGCCTGGAGTAGGAAATATTCCAGTTGAGCCTTGAGGAGTTGGTACCAGAATTCAAAGAAGCTATCACAGACCAATTGGCCATGTCAAAGGGTATACTGTTAACACGAAGGAGCTCCCTTTGTACAAAGATGTAATTTTTAAAGCGTGTGATTATCAACTACAAAACCCTCAATAATTATTAATTCATAATGATACATACACAAAAATGCAAAGACAGAACACCAATCAAAAACAAATATAACCCATTAGGAATCATTAGATTCTCAGACATTAAAAGTTAAAAGAAAAAATGAAGCATGCTTTCTACCATTCCTGAATAAATGGTGTTTCAGAGCAACCAAATAGTCCTAGTTGATGAGCAAATATTTTTTACGAAGATTTCAAATAGTAAGTTCTAAAGGAAAGGTAGAATCAAACAATTGAATCAAGCAATAAGTCACCTGTTGAACCATTAGATGGTACATTGCTAAGAAATTTTACACTGAAGAATCAGGCAGCCCCAGCTGAACCCCTTATCAGTGTAATTATTAGATACTATGTGCCTCCTGGTATGTTAGCAAGTGAAGCACCTAGGACCACTTATCAAGTCTATATGCAAGAAAGTTAAACCCCAATACAATGAAACCCTAGAGAGGCAGAGTTCAGCAAACTATATAGCCTGTTGGCCAAATTCCGACTGTGGTCTGTGTTTCTATGGCCTGCACAGTAAGAATTGTTTTTACATTTTTAAGGGTTGTGAGTAAAATCAGAGTATGTTTCAGAGACCATATGTGGCCTCCAAAGCCTGACACATTTACTACCTGACCGTTTAGAGAAAGTTTGCTAACCCCTGATTTTTACAAAAAATATGTGGAGAGATTATGAGAAGACGATCAATGACAGCACACAGCATCAAATAGACTAACCCAGAATGTGAGAGGTATTACAGAACAACTAGCCTTGCTTCTACAACAAGTCTGTAGCATAAACATTGGGATGGGGAGCTGGATTGCTCTAGACTGAATGTTACGTGGATGTTTGGTTCCTGATTTAAAGAAATATAAAATGTAGCTTTAAAATTAATCTTTTAAATTGATAAGTCATTGTTGTAAAAATACACAGGGCACAATGATATTTGGATATATGTAAATAATGGAGAATGGTTAAATCAAGCTAATTATCATATACATCCCCTCATTCGCATTTGTTGGAAATGTATTCTTAGCTATTTGGAAATATACATTATTGGCTATATCAACCTGCTCTGCAATAAATCAAAACTTATCACCCCTGTCTATCTGAAACTTTGTGCTCTTTGATCAGCAACTCCTCATTCCCTCCTTACCCCATGCTCCCAGCCTCTGGTAACCATTTTACTTCTACTGACAAGTTTAACTTTTTTAGTTTTCACATATAAATGAGATTATACAGGATTTGTGTCTGGCTTGTTACACTTAACATAATGACTTCCAGTTCCATTCATGTTGTTGCAAATAACAGAATTATTTATATAGCTGAATATTCCATTGTGTGTGTGTATATATATACACCATATTTTCTTCATTCATTCATTGATGGACACTTAGAGGTTGATTTCACATAGTGGCTATTGCAAGTAGTGCTGCAATTAGTATAGGAGTGCAGATATTCTTTTGAGATACTAATTTTAATTTCTTTGGATATATACCCAGAAGTGAGATTGCTGGATCATATTACAGTTCTATTTTTAGTTTTTTGAGGAGCTACTGTTTTCCATGATGGCTGTAATAATTAATTAATGGACAAGAGTTCTTTTCCACATCCTCACCAACACTTGACAAAACAAACATGTTGTCATTATAATTTTATAAGTGATTGTATTGCATATTGCACATGAAGAAAATCTTCATTTTTTAGAGTTCCATGCTGATGCTTGTAGAGATAAGTGACATGATGTTTTGAATTTGCTTGAAAATATTTAAATGAAACAAGAAATGAAAGGAATAGATGGGGGGCATGAAACAAATGTGACAAAATATTGATAATCATTGTTGAATTTGGGAGGTTTAAAGGTATAAAGTTTTCATAAAATAAAAGTGAGACAAAGTATAATTATTATTCTTTTATCTAACAAATTAGAAATTCGTGTTTTGATGGTTAATTGTGTGTATCAACTTGACTGGGCCTTAGGATGCCCAGATATTTGATCAAACATTATTCCTGTTTTTTTCAGTGAGTGCATTTCTGGAAGAGATTAGCATTTGATTTGGTGGACAGAGTAAAACAGATCACCTTCCCCAATGCACCTTCCTCAATCTGTTGAATACAATGAAAATATGGAGGATGTTTGGATTTACCCTTGCTGCCTGATCTCTTTAGCCAAGACATAGATGTCATGCCCTCGGTGCTCCTGGCTCTCATACCTTCAGATGCAGACTAGAATATTCACCCTGTTGGCTCTCCAGCTCTCAGGCCTTCAAACTACATCACTGGCTTTCTTGGGTCTTGGGCTTGCATGTGGCAGATTATGGGATTTCTCAACTCCACAATCATAAGCCAATACCATTATATAATATGTATTTCATCCTATTGGTTTTGTTTCTCTGGAGAACCCTAATAGAAGTGCATATCCATTCTGAGAGCACCCTGTATTATGCGCTGGGGATACAATAGTGAATAACAAAGGCATGGTCTACATCTTCATGTTGACAAACATGAACAGTAAATGAATAAATTGTTAACATTCTATAAAAAGAACAGATGTCATAGTTTTCTGAAAAATAGCAGGGCAGGGATAAAGGAAGGGCTTTCCCAGGAAAATAACACTGAAGCTCAGCTCTGAAGGAATAAAATGATCGAGTGGAGCAAAGAACAGAGGAAAAAAGTACTCACAGCAATCAGAACAGGCAGTGCAGAGAGTTTGAGGGTGGAAGAGGTAGGTTTGAGAAACTGAAAGAAGTTTCTGGTGGTTGGAAGTACAGATACAAGGCTTTTTGTTTTGCATTAACAAAGTTTTATGGAGTTTTGAAAATAGACTTTACTTTTTCAGAGAAGTTTTAGATCCACAGCAAAATGGAGTGAAAGGTACAGAGACTTTTCATACACCCTCTGCCCCTACACATGCACAACCTTTTCTCTACCAGCACCCCTAGCAAAAGGGTACATTTGTCATAACTGATGGATCCAAAGTCCACAGTTTACATGAGGTTCCACTCTTGGTGTTGTGCATCCTGCAGATTTGCCTAAGTGTATAATGACATATACTCACCATTATAGTATCATATAGAATAGCTTCACTGCTGAAGGCATGAGTTTTGTCCTCAGTCCTCTCACTCTTTTCCTTACCTTCATCTAATCCTCCTCCCTCACCCAGGATGAAAGAAGTCCTCCAAATGGGCAAAGCTTCATAGGCTGCACCTAGTTATCCACTTGTGTAAAGACACAAGTAGTCCAAGGTGATAACTATGATTCATGTGCACTCACAGCTGACATGGCCAGCTGCTCATAGACATGGAAAGACAAACACTAAGATTTTAAATGAGAAATTTTGAAAGAGATATGAAGTTTTTACATATGTGAATAGCTAGTAGTAAGGAAAGATATCTTGGTAGTAGTTTGAATATATGTCCCCACTAAATCTCATGTTGAATTGTAATCCCCAGTATTGGAGGTGGGGCCTGGCGGGAGGTATTGGGTCATGGGGCCAGATGCCTCATGGCCTGGTGCTGTCCTCATGCATTCGAGAGATCTGGTTGTTTAGAAGTGTGTGGCACCCTCCCCCCATACTTGTTCTTTTGCTCCTGCATTCACCATGGGACATGCAAGCTTCTACGTTACCTTCTGCCATAAGTAAAAGGTCCCTGAGGCCTCCAATGAAACCAAGGAGATGCTGGTGCCATGTTCTCTGTACAGCCTTCAGAATCAATTAAACCTCTTTTCTTTATAAATTACATAGTCTCAGATATTCCTTTATAGCTATGCAAGAGTGGCCTCAAATACTTGGTATCATTTGCTACCTCAACCAGAGATTATACTTTACAGATAAGGTGCTAAACAACCAATTAGACCAAACAACTTGCCCAGTTGATATAAGCTAGGCTCACATTGGTTACCTAATTGTTGACACTCTTCAACACATGAATCCAACAACCATAGTGACAGGAAGGAAGTTATACAGATGGGGCAAATAGCCTGGTCTCTCATTTACCAAGATTATTCTGAACCTCGACTGCCCTACAGAGACCAAAACATAGCCCCTGAAGTGGATGATTTACTCAAGGAGATCAACTTGGAGCTAAATTGAGTATACCAGGATCCTTCCATGATAAAAAAGACAGTTACCTATTCTGATGGAAGACATATTCTGGGTATGGGTTTGCTTTTCCTATGTGTTTTAGCCAGAATTCCTACCCAAGGCCTTATTGAATATGTGATCCCCTGGCTTGTGGTCCTACATAATATATCTCATTAGATCAGGGTACCCATTTTATGTAACATGAGGAGTTGTGATCATAAGATATACAAGTCATATAACATACTATTATCTTATGACCACCAAGTTATGACTGTTATGTTATATACTGTTATAACAGTATGTTATATGACATATATATCTTATGATCACCAGCAAACTGCAGGCACAGCCAAAGCCTTAGCTGAGAGGCAGTATTTTAAGAAAATTCAGCACCAGCCTCCAGAATGCAGGAGGTATATTGAATCACAGACATTATGGTGCCATCTTCCCATTAGGAAAAAATATATAGGTCCTGAAATAAAGAGGCAGATGCCAGCAGGGCCTCACACAACTCCAGGTGACCCACTTGGAAAATTTGTCTCCTGACCCTGTAACTCTGGGCTTTGCAGGATTAGATGTTCTGATCCCCAGTGGAAAGTAATTTCACTAACTGGTATAGCAAGTGTTCTGTTGAACTATAAGCCATAGCTTCCATCTGGGAACTGCAGGCTGCTTATGTCCAGGGACCAGCAAGCAAAAAAAGTGACCATTGTAGTAGGAGAAGTCTTGATCATCATCAGGAGGAGATAGGGTTGCTGCAATGCAAAGGCAGCATGTAAGATGTGCCTGTGTGATGGTTAATGTTGAGTGTCAACTTGATCGGATTGAAGGATGCAAAATATTGTTCCTGGGTATATCTGTGAGGGTGCTGGCATAGGAGACTAACATTTGAGTCAGTGGACTGGGGGAGGCAGACCCACCCTGAGTGGGCACCATCTAATCAGCTGCCAGTGCAGCTAGGGTAAAAGCAGGCAGAGGAACGTGGAAGGGCTAGACTGGCTGAGTCTTCCCGCTCTCATCTTTCTCCCGTGCTGGATGCTTCCTGCCTTAGAACAGTAGACTCCAGGTTCTTCAGCTTTGGGACTCTTGGACCTACATCAGTGTTTGTCAGGGGCTCTCATGCCTTCGGCCACAGACTGAAGACTGCACTGTCAGCTTTCCTACTTTCGAGGTTTTGGGACTCAGACTGGCTTCCTTGCTCCTCAGCTTGCAGACGGCCTGTTGTGGGACTTCACCTTGTGATCATGTAAGTCAATACTCCTTAATAAACTCCTGCTCATATATCTGTCCTGTTAGTCCTGTCTCTCTCGCTCTAGCGAACCCTAATAGAGCCTGCTTCCCCTTTGCCTTCTGCTATGATTGTAAGTTTCCTGAGACCTCCCCAGAAGCCAAGCAGATGTCACAATTACGCTTCCTGTACAGCCTATGGAACTGTGAGACAGTTAAACCTCTTCTTTATAAGTTACTTAGTCTAAGGTATTTCTTTGCAGCAGTGCAAGAATGGACTAACACAGGGAACAACACTGTCTTCACATGGCAGAAGGGCAAGATAACCCAACACTGCCTAAGTCCTCTTTCATAAGGTCCCTAATCCCATTTATGAAGGAGGAGCCCTTACGTACTCATCACCTCTTAAAGGCTGCACCTTCTTAATGCTATCACATTGGCCATTAAGTTTCAACATCTGAATTTGAGAGAACACATTTCAACATCTGAATTTGAGGGAACACAATCAAAATGTAGCGGGTATATTTGTTTTGAGTATTAGCCACTTATCAGAAGTGTGTTTGTAAATATTCTCAATCCATGGGTTGTCTCATTTCCTTTGCTGTGCGGAAGTTCATTTGATATAATTTGTCTGTTTTTGCTTTTGTTGCCTGCATTTTTGAAATTCTATCCAAGAAATCATTTCCCAGACCAATGTCATGGAGATTTTTCCTAATGTTTTCTTCCCATAGTTTTGTAGTTTCAGGTCTTACATTTAAGTCTGTAATCCATGTTAATTTTTGTACATGGTATAATAGGGGTATTATTTCATCCTTCTGCATGTGAATATCCAGTTGTCAAACACCATTTCTTAAAGCGATTGTCCTGTACCCATTTTATATTTGATACCTTTGTCAGAAATAAATTGAATATAAATGTAATTTGAAAGTTTTTTTCCAGGCTCTCTGGTTCTGTTCTATTGGTCTATGTGTCTGTTTTTAGGTCAGCACCATGCTGTCTTTAACATACTACAAAACTATAATAATCAAGACAGGTAGTGTGAGGCCGCCAGCTTTGTTCTTTTTGCTCAGAATTGCTTTGGCTATGGTGGGAGACACTCCTATGGTTCCATACCTGTTTTAGGATTGTCTTATTTCTTTGAATAACGACATTGGAATTTTGATGGGGATTATGTTGAATCCCTGGATTGCTTTGAGTGGTATGGACATTTTAATAGTATGAATTCTTCCAATATGAACTGAGGGTCTCTTTCATTTGTATCTAACTTCTTTCAATATCTTGTAGTTTTCAGCGTACAGGTTCTTACTTGCTTAATTTTGAGTACATTCCTAGCTGTCGTAAGTGGGATGGTCTTCCTGATTTTTCAGATAGTGTTAGAAACATGTCTAATTTTTGTAAGTTCATTTTGTATCCTGCCACTTTTCTGAAGTCATTTATTGGTTCTAATAAGTTTTTAGTGATGTGTTTAGGATTTTCTACATGTATCAGATCATCTGCATACAGGGACAATTTAATTTCTTTTCTAATTGAAATGTTTTACTTTCTTTTTACCTAATTGCTCTGGCTAGGGCTTCTAATACTATGTTAAATAGAGGTATCCAAATGGCCATCCTTGTCTTGCTCCAGGATCTTAGAGGAGAAGCTTTCAGCTTTTCACCATAGAGTATGTCAGCTGTGGCTTTGTCACATGGCCTTTATTGTGTTGTGGCTCATTTCTTCTGTACCTAGTTTGAGATGCCTCATTACAAGGCAGTTTTGTCAAATGCTTTTTCTGCATCTATCGATATGGTCTTATGGTTTGTCTGTTCTGTTAATGTGGTTGCACATTTATGAGTTTACACATACTGAACCACTCTTGCATCCCTGTGATAAGCCCCACTCGATTGTGAGTGCTTTTAATGTGCTCTTGAATTTGGTTTGCTAGTATTTTGAGGATTTTTGCATTATGTTCTTCAGGGATGTTAGTCTAACGTGTCCTTGTCAGCTTTGGTATCAGGGTAATGCTGGCTTCATAAAGTGCATTTGGAAGTATTACCTTCACTTGAATTTTTAGAAATGTTGGGGAAGGACTGGTAACCATTCTTTAAATGTTTGGTAGAATTCAGCACATCCATCAGGTCCTGGGCTTTTCTTTGATGGGAGACCTTACTTACTGATTCAATCTTACTCATTATTGGTATGTTCAGATTTTTTCTTTGTGCCTTAATCTGGGTAAGCAGTATGTGTCTAGGGGTTTATCCACTTTCTAGGTGATCTACTTGGTACATAATTGTTCATAGTAGGCTCTTATGATTCTCTGAATTTATCAGAAATTCAAAAGAACTGATTTTTCAAATCTGAGTCTTAGCTAATGGCTTATTTTTGAAAAAACTCTTATTGATATTCTCTCTTTCTAGTCTATTGTTTACTTCTGCTATGGTCTTTATTTCATTTTTTTTTTTAACTAACTTTGGGCTTAATTTGTTCTAGTCCCTTGTGTAATGTTAGGTTTTTTGAGATCTTTGATAGAGGCATTTATTGCTATAAATGCTCAGAATGGCTTTTTCTGCATCTGATACCTTTAGGAACGTTATACACCACTTTGTCTCAAGACATTTAAACTTTAATTGCTTCATTGACCCATTGATTGCTCAGCAACATGTTTAATTTGTATATATTTATAAGTTTTCTGAATTTCTAGTTTAATACTGTGCTCAGAAAAGATACGTAATGTGATTTTCAATCTTACGGTTTTTCTTTTATAGTTTCTGCAACTTCAAGTTGCCTTGAGCATATACTCCCATCTTAAAGTTTCTAAAACTTGCTTTGTAACCTACCATATAATCTATCTTGGAGAAAATTCTGTTTGTGCTTTTAAAAAATGCATTTTTGGGTTAATTGTTCTGTGAATGTCTTGCTAGGCTTAGTTCATCTAAAGTGCAGTTGAAGTCTGATGTTTTCTGATTTTTCTCTCTGGATGATCAATCTATTGCTGAAAGTAGGGTATTAAATTTCCCTACTATTTTAGAGTCTATCTCTCCCTTCAATTCTATTAATATCTGCTTTACATGTTTATGTGCTCCTAGTTGGATTCATATGTATTTATACTTGTTATATCTTGATGAATTGACCCGTTTATTAATGAATGACTTGTCTAATTTTAAAGTTTCTGACTTTTAGCTTACCTGATAAGTATAGCTACTCCTGCTGTCTTTTGGTTTCCAGTTGCATGGTATATTAGTCTGTTCTCACACTGCTGTAAAGGAACACCTGAGACTGGGGAGTTTATAACGAGGTTTAATTGTCTCACAGTTCTACAGGTTGTACAGGAAGCATAGTGGCATCAGCTTCTAGGGAAGCCTCAGGAAACTTATAATCATGACAGATGGTGATGAGAAAGCAAGCACATCTTACCTGGCTAGAGGAGGAGGAGGAAGGGGCATGTGGGGTGGTGCCACGCACTTTTAAACAACCAGATCTCACGAGACTTTACTATTACAACAATGGCACCAAGAGGGATGGTGTTAAACCATGAGAAACCACCCCCATGATCCAATCACCTCCCACCAGGCCCCACCCCAACATTACAATCCCATATGAGATTTGGGTGGGGACACAGATCCAAATCACCTGGAGTATCTTTTTCCATTTCTTCACTTTTATGCTATAGGTGTACTTACAGGTCAAGTGAGTTATTAAAGGCAGCATGGAGTCTTTTTAAATGATCTATTCATCCACTCTGCCTTTTACATGGAGAATTTAGACCACTTATGTTCAAGGTAGTTATTAATAGGTAAGTACTGACATTTTCTGGTTGTTTTGTAGATCTTTTGTTCCTTTCTTCCTCTTGCTGTCTTCCTTTGATTTTTCCATTAGTATTGTTTTTTAAAATACATTTTAATTGACAATATTGTACATATTTATGGGGTTCGGTGATGTTTCAGTATATATAATGTATAGTGACAAGATCAGGGTAATCATCTGAGACATCATTTGTGTTGGGAACATTCAATATCCTTCTAGTATCTATCTATAGTATCCTTGAAACTATAAGTTAACTATAGTCATTCTACAGTGGTATAGAACACTAGAATGTATTCCTCCTTTCAAGCTGTGATTGTGTATACTTTAATAGATCTTTCCCTATTTTTCCCTTTCCTATTCTCAGCCTCAGAATATCATTGAGTTTCTACTGTTGACTTAAGAGGTCAACTTTAAGTTTCCATGTAAGAGTCAGAACATGTGTTTTACTTTCTGCTCATAGCTTATTTCACTTAATATCCTCCAGTTCCATCCATGTTTCCATGAATAATAGGATTTTAATTGCTGAGTAGTATTCCATTGTACTTTATCCACATTTTCCTTATTGTCTGTTGGACACCTAGTTTGACTATCTTGGCTATTGGGAATAGTGCTGCCATAAATATAGGGGTGCAGATGTCTTTTTTGATGTAATGACTTCAATTCCTTTGGGTAACTACCCAATAGAATTACTGGATCACAGGGTAGTTATATATTTTTAAACTTTGAGGAATCTCCATACTGTTCTCTGTGGTGACTGTACTAGTTTACATTCCCACCAATGTGTACAAGGTTCCCTTTTCTTCACATTCTTACCAGCATTTTTGTCTTTTTCATAATAGCCATCTTAACTATGGTAAGAAGATGCTTCATTGTGGTTTGTATTTACCTCATGATTAGTGATGTTGACATATTTTGTTGGCCATTTATATGTTCTTGAGAAGATACCTGTTCAGATTGTCTTTAGATTTTTGCTGTTGAGTTTCTTGTATATTTTGGTTATTAATCCCCTGTTGGATGAATAGTTTGCAAATACTTTATCCCATTCTGTAAGTTACCTTGTCACTTTCTTTTGCTGTGCAGAAACATTTTAGTTCTATATAATTCCATTTGTCTATTTTTGATGCCTGTACATTTTAGGTCTTGTGTTTTTCAGACAAGTGCACTGAAGTGTTTTCCCTATGTTTTCTAGTAGCTTTATAGTCTGGGCCTTATATTTAGTTTGATACATTTTGTGTTAATTTTTGTATATGGTGAGATAAGGGGTCTCGTTTCATTCTTCTGCAAATGGATATCCAGTTGTCCCAGCACCATTTATTGAAGAGACTGTCCTCTTCCCAGTGAGTATTCTTTGTACTTTTGTCCAAATCAGTTGGCTGTAAATAAGTGAATTTCTGAGTTCTCTAATTCATTGGTACATAAGTCTGTTAATGCCAGTGTCATGCTGTTTGGTTATGGTAACTTTGTGGTATAATTTGAAGTCAGGTGTATTAGTCTGTTCTCATGCTAATAAAGATATACTCAAGACTAGGTAATTTATAAAGGAAAAGGTCTAATGGACACACAGTTCCATATGGCTGGGGAGGCCTCACAATCATGGTAGAAGGTGAATGAGGAGCAAAGTCATGTCTTACACAGTGGCAGGCAAGAAAGCCTGTATAGGGGAACTGCCCTTTACCAAAACCGTCAGATCTCATGAGACTTATTCACTATCATGAGAAAAGCATGGTGAAAATCCACCTCCATGATTCAATTACCTCCCACTGAATCCCTCCCACAATATGTGGGGATTATGGGAGCTACAACTTAAGATGAGATTTGGGTGGGGACATAGCCAAACCATGTCATTCCTCCCTGGTTCCTCCCAAATCTCATGTTCACATTTCTAAACCAATCATGCCTTTGCAATAGTTCCCCCAAAGTCTTAACTCATTTCAGCATTAACTCAAAAGTCCACAGCCCAAATTTTCATCTAAGACAAGGCAAGTCCCTCCTGCCATGAGCCTATAAAATCAAAAGCAAGTTAGTTACCTCCTAGATACAATGTGGGTAAAGGCATTGGGTAAATGCATCCATTCCAAATGGGAGAGATTGGTCAAAACAAAGGGGCTACAGGCCCCAGATGAGTCTGAAATCCAATGGGGCAGTTGAATCTTAAAGCTCCTAAGTGATCTCCTTTGATTCTGTGTCTCACATCCAAGGTCATACTGATGCAAGAGATGGGCTCCCATGGTCTTAGGCAGCTCTGCTCCTGTGGCTTTTCAGGGTACAGCCCCACTCCTGGCTGCTTTCATGGACTGGGATTGTCTGCAGCTTTTCCAGGTGCACGGTGCAAGCTGTTGGTGAATCTACCATTCTGGGGTCTTGGGGATGGTGGCCCTCTTCTCACAGCTCCGCTAGGCAGTGCCTCAGTGGGGACTCTGTGGGATCTCTGACCCCACATTTCTCTTCTACACTGCCTTAGCAGTTCTCCATGAGGGTTCTGCCTCTGCCCCAAACTTCTGCCTGGACATCCATGTGTTTCCAGACATCCTCTGAAATCTAGGTGAAGGTTCCCAAATCTCAATTCTTGACTTCTGTGCACCCATAGGCCCAACACCACATGTAAGCCACCAAGGCTTGGGGCTTACATTCTTTGAAGCCGTGGCCTGAGCTGTATGTTGGCACCTTTTAGCCATGGCCAGAGCTGAAGCAGCTGGGACACAGGGCACCATGTCCCGAGGCTGCATAGAGCAGTGGGGCCCTGGGGCCAGCCCAGGAAACCATATTTCCCTCCTAGGCTTCCAGGCCTGTGATGGGAGGGGCTGCTGTGAAGTTCTCTGACATGCCCCGGAGACATATTCCCCATTGTCTTGGTAATTAACATTTGGCTCCTCATTACTTATGCAGATTCCTGCAGCCCCAGCTTGAGTTTCTCCCTAGAAAATGGAGTTCTCTTTTCTATAGCATCATCAGGCTGCACATTTTCCAAACTTTTATGCTCTGCTGCCTCTTGAATGCTTTGCTGCTTAGAAATTTCTTCCAGATACCCCAACTCATCTCTCTCAAAGCTCCACAGATCTCTAGGGCAGGAGCAAAATGCCACCAGTCTCTTTGCTAAAACACAGCAAGACTCACCTTTATTCCAGTTCCCAACAAGTTCCTCATCTCCATCTGAGAGGAGCAGCATTTGGTCAAAGCCATTCAACAAGCCTCTAGGAAGTTCCAAACTTTCCCACAACCTCCCATCTTCTGAACCCTCTAAATCTCTAGGAAGTTCCAAACTTTGCCACATTTTCCTGCCTTCTTCTGAGCCCTCCAGACTGTTCCAACCTCTTCCTGTTACCCAGTTCCAAAGTCACTTCCACATTTTCAGGTATCTTTACAGCAGCACCCCCCACCCTGCCCTACCTAGTACCAATTTACTGTATTAATCTGTTCTTATGCTGCTAATAAAGACACACTCAAGACTGGGTAATTTATAAAGGAAAAAGGTTTAATTTGCTCACAGTTCCACATGGCTGGGGAGGCCTCACAATCATGGCAGAAGGTGAATGAGGAGCAAAGTCATGTATTACATAGAGGTGGGCAAGAGGAACTGCCCTTTATAAGACCATCAGATCTCATGGGAATATTCACTATCATGAGAACAGCATGGGAAAAACCCACACCCATGATTCAATTACCTCCCACAACATAGGGAGATTATGGGAGCTACAATCCAAAATGAGATTTGGGTGGGTACACAGCCAAACCATATCATCAGGTAATGCGATGTCTCTCACTTGGTTATTTTTGCTTAGCATTGCTTTGGCTATCTGGATCTTTTTTTGTTCCACGTAAATTTTAGAATTTTTGTATTTCTGTGATGACTTCTGCACAAAGGTTACAATTAACAGAGTGAAGAGACAACCTATAGAACATGCTCAGACTAACCAACTCAACGGATTAACCACCAGGATGTATTAGAAACTGAAGCAAAATATCTGAATAGACATTTCTCAAGAGACAAATGACCAAAGGGAATATCAAGAATACTTGACAACACTAGGCAGAAAGGCAAATCAAACCATTACATATCATCTCACTGTAGTTAAAATGCCTTATTAAAAAACGGTGCTGGCAAGAATGTGGAAAAAGGGGGAATACTTGTATACTGTTGGTGGGAATATAAATTGGTAGAGCCACTATGGAAACAACATGCAGGTTCTTTCAAAAGCTACAATCAGAACTACCAAATGATTCAGCAATCCCATTGCTGGGTATATATTCAAAAGAAAGGAAATCTGTATTGTGAAGAGATAGCTGCTCTCTTATGTTTATTGCAGCACTATTCACAATAGCCAACATATAGGATCAACTTAGGTATCCAACAACAGATGAATAAATATGGGATATATACACAGTGGAATACCACACAGCCATTAAATAATTAAATCCTGTAATTCATGGCAACATGGATGGAACTAGACATTGTGTTAAAGTGAAATAAGCCAGGCAGGACTTGAAATCTCCCCCAGAACAGAAAATACATGAGGTGATGAATACCCTAAATGTTCTGACTTGATTATAGCCTATGCATGTAACACAATTTCACATGTACTCCACAAGTATATATAAACACAAGGTATCAAAAAATTTTTAAAGACAAATAGTTTATGTCATCCCTCATGTTAGAGCTAAAAAAGTTGATCTTATGGAGATAGAGAGTAAAATGAAAGTGACTAGGGATTGGGAGGAGTAGTGGAGAGGTGGGCATGAAGATGGCCTGATTAAATGGGTACAAAATGCAATTAGAAGTAATAGGATCTTGAGAGGAGAAAGGAAGAAACCAGTTAGGCAGGCAGTTAGGGTGGGTGCTTGGTTGAATTCTTCCAAACAAAGGAACAGCCTGCAGAGACAAGGGAACTTGCACAGGGGTGCTTGCCTGAGACATACCCACAACCACACAGATAAGAAAGGCTATACAGGTGACTTGTATAGACATGCCCACAATGGAATATTCCATCCCCGGCACATGCACAGTAAGGGGAACAAAGCAATATGGAGTAACTCAAGCAAAGGGCCTGCATTGTGCATTAGGAGGATGGGGTGAAGCTACCAGAAATTCATGCCTTAAGCAGATAAGATGTACAGCCCTTATGGCTTTCTTATAAAAGCCTTTGCATTCAACTGTAAACACAGCAATCCTCTTCTGTGTCCCCTCTCTGCAGCAGACAGCTTTCTTCTTTTGCTTATTAAAACTTCCACTCCAACTTCACCCTTGGTGTCCACGTTCCTTAACTTTCTTGGACCTGAGTCAAAAAACTTCAGGTGATACCTGGGGTTACGAAAGACTGCTACATTGTGATGCATTGGTGAGACTAACAATCTAGCATTTAGTAGCACAATAGAGCAGCTGTTAGTCAGTTTATTCTATTTTTAGAAATGGAATAGTGGAATTGGAATGTTTCTAACACAAAGAAATAATATTTGAGGTGATGCCTTATTTGATCATTATATATTGTATATTTTATCAAAATCACATGTACCTTATTATGAGAGAAGAGAGAGACCCTCTCATATTGTTTTACATTGTTTTATACTCAGTTAAAAACAACAAGGAAGTAAAACCAAAGACAGGCAAGCCCAGTGCCAGGCCCGAAACCAGGCCTGGGCCTGCCTGGCCTAAACCCAGTAGTTAAAAATCAACTTATGACTTAGAAACTGATGTTATTCATAGATTCCAGACATTCTATAGAAGAACATTGTGAAACTCCCTGCCCTGTTCTGTTTCTCCCTGAGCACCATTGCATGCAGCCCCTGTCATGTACCCCTTGCTTGCTCAAATCAATCATGACCCTCCCTTTCATGTGAAATCTTTAGTGTTGTGAGCCCTTAAAAGGGACAAATTGTGCACTCGAGGAGCTCAGATTTTGAGACAGTAGCTGGCCGATGCTCCTAGCTGAATAAAGCCCTTCCTTCTACAACTCGGTGTCTAAGAGGTTTTGTCTGTGGCTCGTCCTGCTACAATTAATGTATACAACTATTGTACATCTACATGAACCCAGCTTTAGCCAGGTGTTCTGTAACAGAAGAGCTGGTTTGCTTGTATATAAAAGAATACACTGACCAAGAATTTTGAGAATGGGCTGGTCAGCCTGAGAAGAACAGCCTGATGGCACCTGCAGAAGGCCACAAGACATTGACCAAGAAAGCAATGATTAACTGACAACCATTTCACAGAAATGCTTTGTTCATTGTTTGTCCCTCCCTTAATTTCCCTTAAGAATCCCAGATCCAGTTTGGGAGGCTGAAAATATTAAGGATATGTCATCCTGTGGTGAAAGAAGGGTGACAACATGAGAATAAGGCTAAACTCATTTCCATAACAAACTTACTCTCAGTGACAAACAAACTCCCACAATTATGACATTCATCCATTCATGAGGGCAGAGCCCTAATATCCTATTAAAGGTCCTGCTTCTCACACTGAAGTTTGTTTCCAACACATGAATCTTGGGAAACACATTCAAACTGTTACTGGAAGGCTGTGAGTATGAGTTGTCCAGGTCCCTTGGCATTTTGAACAAAGAATTGGACAAAACGCACAAAGGAGTGAGACACAGGAACAAAGCAGGAATTTATTAAAGGGAGAAAGCACTCCACAGGGTGGGAGTGGGCCCGAGCAAATGGCTCAAGGGCCTAGTTACAAAGTTTTCTGGGTTTTAAGTACTCCTTTTGAGGTTCCTATCTGTTACCCCTCATATGAAGGATTCGGTCTGTGGCTGAAGGCTAAGGTGAATTTAATTCAAGGCTGAGGTGAATTGGCACTCTATGCAGATGAAGGGATTGTCCCTGCTTGGCCCAAGGCCACTCCAAGGCACCCTCCCTTTCCACTTGAGACATGGTGGAAGTGAGAGGGCTGCAGGGAGAGACTAGCCTTTGATCCTTTGTTCTTCCACCCTAGGGAGATGGAGTTTCTCCTTTTGGTTTAGGCTTTAGGAAGTTTGGGTTAATTGGCCTGAGGTTCCCTGCTTCCAGACCCAGGTGTCCTGTAACAGAAGAGCTTGTTTGCTTGTATATTATTGCTTTGCTTGGGTTTGTAGATTATATTAAAAAGCAGCCTCAGGAAAATAGGACCTTCAGAGATAAAATACATGGACCAAGAACTTTGGGAATGGGCTGATCAGCCTGAGAAGAACAGCCTGATGGCTCCTGCAGAAGGCCACAAGACATTAACCAAGAAAACAATGATTAACTGACAACCATTTCACAGAAATGCTTTGGTCATTGTTTGTCCTCTCTTAGTTTCCCTTAAGAACCCCAGATTCAGACATACAGCTTGGAGAGGTAGTCTTTAAACACAAGTTCACTGCCTCCTCTGGATTGCTGGCATCTTGAATACAGCTGACTTTCCTTTTCAAAAGCTTCTCTCAATTTTGGCTTTCAAGAGATGTGTGGCCTGTACCTTAGTTACACTTTCATGTTTTTGAGTATTTGTTAAAGCAACAGCTCCACTCCTTGGTACCTGTCTTTTGTCTGTTTTGCATTGCTGTAACAAAATATTACAGACTGGGTAGTTTATAAAGAAAAATTTCAGTTTTGGAGACTGGAAAATTCAATATCAACATGCCACCAGCTGGTGAGAGCCTTGTTGCATCAACTTAAGCAAAGGGCAAGCGACTGCAAGATGGAGCAAGAGAGGGACAAGCTCACTCTTGCAATCACTAACCCATTCTCAAGATAATGACAATGCATTCATGATGGCAGAGCTATCCTAGCACCTATCATGATCATATCACCTCTTGAAGATCCTATCTCTCAACACTGCTACGTTAGGGATTAAGTTTAACACATGAACTTTGAGGGATACAAACCATAGCAACATTGTTGGTTTTATGGTTTCTCATGAGAAATTTGTTTCTCTAAGTCATTCTTCCCAGTTTTTGTTTCGGTATCATTTGGTTCTCCTAACCTCCTCTCCTCTCCTTTGGCCCCTTCCACCCTGGCTTCTGTCAATATTTCTTCTATGTCGCTGGTTTCTCGCAGTTGTAACATGATATGCCTATATGTAGCTTTTAGGTGTATATTTATTATGTTTGGTGTTGAGCTTTCTGGTTTTTGTATTTTTTGGAACTCTTTAAGCCATTAAGTATTCCTTCTGTTCTAAATATTCTAGCTAGACACACACACACACACACACACACACACACACCACATCTTATGGAAGTTGTCCCACTGTTCTTGGATGTAATGTTCTATTTTTTTCTCTTTGCATTTTAGTTTGGGAAGTTTCTATTGACCTATATTCAAGCTTATTGATTTTCCTGGCTACCTCAAGTCAACTGATGAGCTCAAAGACATTCTTCTGTTATTTTGATTTTGAACATTTCCTTCTGATTCTTAGAGTTTCCATTTCTCAACTTATATTACCCATCTGTTCTTACATTTGTCTTTTTATTAGAGCCCATATTAGTCTGCTTGAGCTTCCAGAACAAAATTCCATAGACAGGGTGGCTTGAACAATAGAAATTTACTTTCTCTCAGTTCTAGAGGCTGGAAAGTCCAAGACAGAAGTTCCAGACAACTTCTGGTGGAGGCTCTTCTTCCTAGCTTGTAGAGAGCTGCTTTGTCCTCATATGGTCTTTCCTCTGAGCCTTCTTGGGGAGAAAAGGAAAATGTAAACTCTTTAGTGTCTTTTCTCATGAGACACTAATCCCATTGAGTCAGGGTGCACCCTCATGACCGCATTTCACCATGAGTCTAGGCCATATCTCCACAGGTAGCCAATCTGAGGGTTATTCTAGCTTCAATATGTGAATTTCAAGGAGAGAAACAAACTTACAATTAATAAAGCTCTTAACATATTCAGCTATTTTAAGATTTCTTTGATAATTCTAACATTTGTGTCACAGGATTCAAATCTGGATCTGATGCTTGTTTTTTCTTCCTTTCAGACTTGACCACTGGGCCTGGCTTGTGTCTTTGTTACTGTTTAAAGCTGGATATGGTATTTCAGGTCATAGGAACAAAGGTACATGGATCTCTAGTATGAGGACTTACGTTAATCTGGCTAGCATTTGACCTTTAGTATTTCATGTGGCTACAGGTGCCAGAGGCTTCAGATTCCCCTAATGTCCTTGTTTTTATTCTTTGACCTTGGGCTTTCCTACTTATTCTTGCTCATGACAGCCTGTCTTGAAGCTCTTTCAGCTCTAATCCATTGTTACTTTGGTGGGGCTCTGTTGATGTGGTGCTAAGATACGGAAGAGGGAGAATGCTGTACAATCTTCCAATTAAATTTCAGTTGTTTAGTGGGTTTCTCTGACCTGTGACCTCCACAAGTTTTTCTTCTTGTGTAGCCCTCCAACCTTGGGTGAGACAGGACAGATGGAGGGGCCTGGAGGAGAGGCATACCCTTCCCCATGGCTCTGGAGAGAAGACATTTGTTATGGGGAAGGCTGTGGATTTATTTCACATGGATTACTCTTCCAGCCCATTGCCAGAGCCAAGGAGGGAATCTTTCTTGGTTCCTGAGAACCTGGTGGGGTTCCTGGAGGTGAAGCCCCCTAAAGTAAGCAGACCTCCTAAGACTGTAGCCCCCCAAGAGTTTGTCCCTTATGCTAGTCCATACTCAGTTCCCAGCAGTTTATTAAAATTACCACTTAAGAACTCCTACCAGTTTTTGGCTCCAGCAGCTTCTATTTCAAGTAGAAAGGCTTTAACCTTTCTGGATTTGTCTGTCTCTCCAAATTTCAGGGTGGCGGTTGCACTGCAAGCTTCACTCTTGAAAAGGTATCGAATACCTGTCATTGATTTTTAGCTTATTCTTATAAAGATAAAAGCACAAAATTCAAGATCTTTACATTTTGGAGCTGAAAGCAGAAGTCACAGAAGTCACAGATGTTCTTTGTAATTTAGATCCCCACGAAAGCAGAGCCAAGGACAAGTCCTCCAGTACACATGGCTGATGTGTAAGATGATCTCAGGGAACAGGGATAGTGAGTGAATGAGACAGGCAGAGACACCCCAAGTTTACAACATCAATGCCACTGCCATAGGCAATAGGTGCTGGATATTCTACTGTGATAAACAATGCTGGAAAAGAGAAATCTTAATACACAGTTTTTCAAATCCAGAGATTAATTGATCTAGTCATCCTTCCATAAGCATAAATACATTTCTATTTCTATATTTGTCTTGGGTCTGAAAATGACAAATATTGATGCCTGCTCTGTTATAAGCATCTTCACATATGTTCTCTCATCCTATTGAGTATGCAAGAGAATGTGTTATCTACCTCAAACAAATGAGGCTATGATTTCAGAGCAGCCAAGTGACTTGCTCAAAGCAACACAAGCTGTAAGAGAACAAAGCCAGGGTTTGGGCCTGTGCCCTTCTCGCCATAGACTCCATAGGCTAAAGTGATGCTTCCCAGAGCTGCATAAAACAGTCTCTCCTGGTAGTCCCCAAAGCCAAGCTGTGGCATATGTTTGTTTAATCTGGTCACATATATCTCAGAAAATCCTAACTAGAATTGAGCTTCTCTGATCCCTCCTTTCCCCAAGACAGAAATTTTCCTAATTCATCCACATAGTCATTTACAAATACCCATCCACAGGGGAGATATCTTTAATTGTCACAAAGATACATCATAGTCTCATTAAGTAGGGACCCAAAAATTCCTCCCCCTAAAGTCCGAGTCTGGCTTTCAGACATGGGTTTGAGTCATTCCAATGTGAGATACGAACTATGATTTTGTTGCTCAGAACTTGCTTTTGGAATGTGACATTGGTCTTGTTCTCTGAAAACCACTCACTCATTAACAGATTAAACACTAGTTAGAAATGTCAGGCAGAATGTTAAAGGGGCTGAGACAGAGTGATGAGTATGTATGACTGAGTACAATATGCTCAATTCAGGAGTTTGTGCAATAAGGAAAATGTCCATAGTATCAATAAACTGATGGGAATTGAGACATACATTTTAATGTCATCTGTATAGCCCATTGTGTAAGTCATGAGGAGGGGGTCCTGAACCCACAAGGACATCTGGATCTGGCTTTTCATGAGAACTGTCTGTGGTTCTGAAGGGGCCCTATAGGCTAGAACTTCACTGCAGAATAAAATCTAGGATATGAATATATTTTATATATGGATATTTGAAGGAATTTTGTTTTCCAATGGGAATCCATTTTCAAACATATCACCAAACTATCCATGAAACCTTGGTATAAAATGTGGGCCATCTATCAGAAGGTATGGAACTAATGTTCTTTGGGACAGGAGCAATATGTGTTTATCTTCAAACCCTTGGTACTTCACACATACTGGAAATTCAGCACGGGCTTATGGGTTCATGGCTCCATTATGTGAAAAAGTCCCGGAAATCATTACAGTGAGACATCATTGTAGTGTGAGCTCTTAAGCAGCATGAAATGGAATGTACTTAAGGTTGAGAACTAGAGGTTCTGTGTTCGAGATCCAGTCATACCCACCAGAAAATGTCTTTGAACACAATACAGTTGACCCTTTTTAAACTATGCTGGTCTTGATTATATGCAGGTTTCCATCAATCAAATATGAATTGGAATTATCATATTAGGAGCTGGGCACAGTGGCTCATGCCTGTAACCCCAGTGACTTGGGAGGCTGTTGCTTGAGGCCAGGAGTTTCAGAACAGCCTTGGCAACATAGTGAGACCAATCCAGAAATAAAAGTCAATAGCCAGGTATGGTGGTACATGCCTGTAGTCCTAGCTACTCAGGAGGCTGAGGCAGAAGGATTGCTTGAGACCACAAGTTCAAGGCTGCAGTGAGCCACGGTTATACCACTGCACTCCAGCCTGGGTGACAGAGGCGGCCCTGTCTCTTAAAAACACAAGACAATATTTGCAGTGTGCCAAGTCCATATATACAGAGGTCTGGCTTTTATACATACATGGGTTCTGCAGGGTGACTTCCATACTTGAGCATATAAAGACTGAGATATCCAAATGTCCTGGAACCAATCTGTCACATATACTGAAGGACAACTGTATCTTGTTATCCCCATTTTTAACTTCAACACTGCAACCATTACTAATTACTACCCACTCAACTATTACTAATTACTACTCAGCATCGTGACAATTGCATAAATTACAATAATACAGCCACATATTGTCTACTTTTCAGTGCCCTGCAATATCTAGTTCAGGTTCTTTCACAAAGTAGGAGCTCCCTAAGTATCTATTGGTTTGAATTATGAAGTGCTGGTATCAGTTACCTCTGAGAATGAAACATCCTGATCTTGTATTTGGCAAACCCAGGAAGAAAAATGCAAACCATCCTCTTAATGGAAGCTTTGTGCAGCAGTCTGCATTAAGATTCTGGAGGAGAAGAGGAAGCCTGCATCTTTCATTCTGTACCCAAATTGAAACACTCCATTATAGGCAAGGGAGCCGTGGTGGTTTCATCAGCTGGAACATAATAAAGGAGAGCCAGCTGTGTGATCCAGCATGAGGTGTCTCCTGATGCTCAAAGGAAGCTTGCTCATGCAAACTCTTCCCACATTGTGTCTTGAGCTTAACAGAACTCATTTCATGGGGAGGAGGAAACTAAACTTCATTCATGACTGCATAGCATTTATTCAGTTGTTCTTGATGTTATGGAGAAAAAAATCCCATCTGATTTTAATTTCAATTCTGCCACTTCCTAGCCATGTGAACTTTGGAAGTGTATTTCACTTGTAAAGCCCTACTTGTCTATTCATGTTTACCGGAAGCATTAGAGGTATTGTATGAACAGCACCTTGTACAATGGTTGTCACATACATAGTAAGAAGTCAATTATTTAAACTAGCACCAAAACTCAACTTCAATTTCTTCATCTGTTATCATTAAAACCTTTCAAAAACTTAAGGACAAAGTCTATAGTTAGAACTGTGGATTTTGCTAATCTAATTGCATTCTCATGTATTTAAGTGATTATAATTTGGAATATTAGATCAGGCTGCTGTAAGTAGGTTCAGGTTGTATTTCAAGATTTTTTTATACTATCCTTAAAACCATTAGAAGCATGTTATCCCCATCCCCCTTTATAGAGAGCTGAGGCTTAAGAAATATAAGGCAAATTGCACAAATTTACATAGCTCCTACATGGCCAGAGTAATTTTAATTAGGTCTGATTCTCAGTCCATACACCTGCAACTGCACTTTATTTTCCTCTTGGGGCAAAGATAGCTTTAACTGAAATTGATCTTCAGACAATTTATTGCATTTGAACAAACCATCAGACATGTAAATTTAAACCATTTCTCAGCCAGTAAGCTATACAGAAAGGGCATCAGGCTGAGAGTTAAAGACATCCAAAAATCAAGCTGATATTTATGTAAGCTTTATGCAAGATACATGTGTAAGCAGCCTACTTCTCAATGACCCTATGTGTAAAATGAGAACAATATTCATCTTGGATTTGAAAGGATCTAATTAGATCTAGCAGATGTGTTTTAAGAATAAGTGTTTCAAAGATGAAAAGAAAGGAGATGCTATTCCTTTCCTTCCCCTCCCTTTTTTCCCCACAAAGCAGTGGGGGTGGCATTTATGGATTCATTGTTAGTATATATTGACCTGTTAGATTAGGGTAAAATACATGGTTGATGACTGAAATCCTTTTTACCCTTCTCACCTTCCCAGTGTCTGCAGGAGCCAGAAGGCAGGCACAGACCTCCTGGTTTGGAGTGTAGCTCTCTAAGTATGTGTAGTGTCTTTCCTTCCTGATGCTCCAACTAACCCTAATTAGGCCCCATTTCAGCAACTCATAGGAGATGGCTGCAGCCTCATGAGTCTGAAAGGAATGTTGGAAGCAGGAAGAGGGTTTAAATTCAGCAGACATGTATTAAGGAAGCTACTATTCCCATAAGAAAACCACAGTTTAGCCGAGCTGACAGGCATGTAAGTAGGTAACCATGGCAACTCAATGCCAAGAGATCTAGAATTCTGTAGAAGTGTTACTGTGGACTTATGTAAACCAAAAGGGTTAGGACAGACATTTGATCATAGTTCAGATACTCAAGATAAACTGGAACACCTGGTCTCATAGCCATCTTTAACTTCCGGTGAGCTTTATTCTTTGGTTCTCAGGATCTATTCTACCTCCTAAAGCCATTTTAAAGTTAAGAACAGATATGGAAGTCTGTTCTCTTGCCAGAATTCCATTTAGTATCCTGCTGAGGCATTGAAATAGTGGCCATTAGGTCCAAGATAATGTTTAATGGACACCCTTGTTAACTATGCAGAATATAGCTCCAAAACAATTGTTGATTCACAGTCGCTCTTGGGTATTAGTTTAAGCTTGCCGACTCTAGCAAAAACGGTTTTATACCAGTCTTAGGAGTCCACAGGCCCAGTAACTCTCCAGTCAGATGCCTTGTTCTTCTAGTCCTCTGAATATCTGCACGTTTTTGCTTTGTAACAAATTCTTTACCTACAGTGTCCAATTACGCTGCCCCTTAACTTTGAGGTTTCAACTGAAGAATCCCCTTCCCTATGCCTCAATGCACCTTGCAGGTGGGTGGGTATTTGAAGGATTTCAGACTATACTGTGACTGTTCTGTTACTTGTGTGTCTGTTCCTCCTGTATAGACTATGAACACCTTAAAGAGGATCATGTTTGTGTTCACAGTAGGGGCTCAATCACTGCTTAATGAAAGATGAATGATCCTGAGAAACTGCTTTGAAGTGCTTTGATCTAGAGTCAAGCTTATCCCACCCAGCCTACTTCCCCAAAGGTTTGCAGCCTGAGTCACTCAATCCTGAGGCATCACCAACATCATTTTTATGCCTAGTGTGGGAGAGTGGAAAAAAAATGTCAAGGTGTCAGAAGACTTTGGTTCGGCTTGTGATTCACCAACAGGCTACAAAGAGCCATGGTTTTATCATTCCTGAATTTCATCCTCATCTGAGGAACATGCTACGGTCCACTGGAAAAACTGATTTGAGTGTCAGAGTTGAGTATGAAGAATATTTTGGGTGGCTGGCACATAGCCTGTGACATAGAAGGCACTGCATAAACAAGCTCAAATTTAAATTCACAGGCTAGGATCCCATTAGTAAGGTTATAAGCTTTTTATATAGACACGAGTGTGTTTCTATTTCATTGTGAAAGGAATTTTCATAATTAAGACATCTTTGGCAAAAATTTAATGGCATGATGCGTGCAGTGCTAAGAACTTATTAGATCGCAAAATAGCTTCTGTTAGATGCTTATCTTATGTTGAGGATTAACCTAAATATGCCACATGAATAATCTCTAAGTTGTCATAGTATCATAAAGCAATTAGCCCATTTTTACAGGTCAGGTGTCAGATTCAGAAAGATTAAGAATTTTGTTCCAGGCAACACAGCCAGTACATGAGAGGTGAGGTTGATGCTGAATTATGCTTTTTCCTACAGCACTTTTTCTCCTCATTGATTCAGCACAAGTCCATGGGTCACAAGAGCTTTGAAAGACACCTCTGATGGGCTTCAGGATTATTATTGGAATGGAAGACTTAACTTAGATTATGGTTTCAGAAACAACCTGGCCCAGGCATGAGTATCTGCTGAAAGGTTTTTGAGTAAATATTGTCAAAATGTCTGCTACCCAAAGTGGTCTACAGATTCAGTGAAATCCCTATCAAGATAGCAATAAGAGGCTGTTCTATAAAGACTTTGGCACCATATTCCACATTTATCTGTAGCTTGACAAAGAACTACAGAAACTATGAGTAAACAGCCCAGATTATTTTCCCAGACAGGACAGGATCATCCTAGACCTTAGGATCTTATGTAAGTCTTATACTGAGGAAATTAAGGATAAAGGTTCACATCCACACTGACCACTGACCTGTTCTAGGCAATGGGATGTCACTTTTCTCATGTCCTCTTACATAAAGTTTTGTTGGCCTTTCATATGCCATTTCAGCAAAGGAAGTGCCAAGTGCTGTCCCTCCCAACTCACGCCCAATGTCGGAGCAACTGGTGCATGTTTCACTTCAGGCAGATGTGACCCCATCTGTCCCACTCCTTTCTAAACATTCCCTTTCCTCAAGTTGTCTGCAATTCCCTCATCTTTGTTCCTATATAGTCATGAAAGAGGCTCTACACTCACATTTTTTCCATCACAAAGTACATCCCAGTTGACTTTAAAGCTGGCCCCAAGGATCCCTGAGCCTAAAGACCTGACCACCATGTCGACTTGGGTGATTCCAAAAAGGGAAGTGTAAGATTCAACCCTCCACTGTTCATTTTGCCACAGGAAACCAATATACCCAATTTGTCTGGATAAAGGATACTTTGGAAAATTTACATCAAAACAAAATTTTCAAAATCCACTGGATGTCAGCATTTTTACAAGCACTTTGTGTAAACATAGTTAGGAAATAGCTGTGGAAATCCTTCCTCTGCAACCAGAGTTTGTCTATGATGCAGTCAGTACAGATACGAAGAGCCACGTTTATATCATGGGGCACACCTGCTTTTTTCTCCTGAGTCTCAGTTTTGGAAATAAACCAGGTTCTACCAACCTGTGCTCGTAACATACTTAAAAGAACCTTGACATAAAACTAAAAGCATTTTTCCTCACGTCTCTAAACATTTTCCCCTGGACACAAAGTTGGTTTCTGCCTGTTTCATCCCCGATCTTTCACTTCAACACTGAGATATCAGGAAGCAAACATGAAGCAACATGGAGGACAGGCCTGGGTGCCCATCACTGGGCCACTTGCGAGGCTAGAACCAGCCATGGTGAGTATCCACAGAAGGGTGAGTGCCTGCTGCCTGTCAAGATTTTAACATTCATAATGGATACTTGAGCTCGATCCACAGCCATCTTGATTGTCCCAGACTTGATCTCCATGAGAACATTCAATGGGTGACTACCCAAATCCTTTCACGTCAGGAAAAATCTTTTTCATCCTGTCCCATCACTTATTTGGCTTGATAGAACTTAGGTGAGAACAAACCAATTCTTCAATTTGGTCAAAAAAAATCCAAGCTCGATAGATAGTCCTTGAATCCTGTCCTCTCTTCCCGTCAACTTTATTACTTGGCTAAATAGGTCCTAGGTTAGAACAAACTATTTCCTCATAGGAGCTCTGGTTTTGTTGTAGGATTGAAGGAGACATTTTTAGCGTGTGTAATAGCTTTGAAAGTGAAATCTGGAGCAAATCTCATGGGCTTCTCCACAGAGCACGTTCTAGAGCTCAGAAGTATAAAGAGAATTCCTTAAGATATCACTTAATACCAGTTACCTGTGCTCAGAGTGCATGCTGCTGACTATAAGCACATAGGAGTGGAAAGATTAGGCAACATGTGACATGCTTTGTGCACATTAAGCCTTTAGAGAAACTATGGAATTTTTCTGGACATGGTATCTACACATATCTGTTGAAAGTCAGGAAATCCTCAGTGGTATCTCAGTTGATTCATCTTCCCATTGGTCTCATGGGATACACAAGGCCTTTCTCCAGCATCCCCTTTCCTAACAATTCTGTTTAAGTTTCAGAGAATAGACCCAAGATGAGGAAAATTCTCACTTTCCCACCTCAAGCCCTGGAATACTCTTCCTATCCAAGACTCACTCTTGTTAATCCAGTTCAACTTATTATACAGTCCTCCATGAACACCTGCTTTCCATGACTCAGAGGCTTAATGTTCTAAATGTTAATGGGGGAGGGAATGTGTTCTGGAACACTTCTATAAACAAAGCCATTTCTGTATTTCTAGTTTTTAAAGAAAGCGGTTTGATCAAACCACCCTGAGAACATTAGTGCCAACATTCAGATTCTAACAGAAGACTTCATTCATTCTGGACATGCATTTTACCTGCCATGCACCTACCTGGGCTCCTATGTCTTTGAATTCAGAATGACTAGAATGTGTGAATATATGCACACAGGCATTCCTGTAACTCTTCTACTCCCCCTTGTTATTAGCTCATACTTAGAAATCCCTAGATATTTGATGTTAAGAGTCAAGGATACCCATATGCCAGTGCATAGAAGGCCACACTAGAGGAAGCAGATGATATTGTCCAAAGTTCATGAAGGTTATAGATTAATTTACACATTGAAGAGAAATGGGAACTTCACAGTTTACCTAAGATGAATGTACCATCGCTACTTCTAGAATGATGAGGGATTTCACAGAAAAATGTTTCTGGGAATCAGTAAAATTTTTTTTCTAGGCCAGAGACTACTCATTCCTGTATTTCTACCTTTTGCCTTCAGGTCAACCTACCTGCATGTTAGTGTGCATGAAACCTCAACTATGTAGTGATCCCATATGTAGTGATCCCATATGGCCAATGAAACTTTCCTTGTTGTCTTGAAAGTAGAGGGGTTTTTCAACAGGTCACCCCATATACAACCTCTAAGCGAACTAGAAAAGGTGGTATCAGCTCAATCTGGCTCTTGGCTTCACTTTATTTTAACCAAGAAGGTGCCATCAGGTCTCTGTAGGAATCATCCCTTATTTATGTCTTAGTTCAATTTAATATTGCTATAAAGGACTAACCTGAGGCCAGGTAATATAGGAAGAAAAATAGATATGAAAAGAACAGAAATTGATTGCTGGCAAGATGGCCAAATAGGAATAGCTCCAGACTACAACTCCCAGTGAGACTGATTCAGAAGGCAGGGTGATTTCTGCATTTCCAACTGAGGTATGCAGTTCATCCCATTGGGACTGATTGGACAGTGGGTACAGCTCATGATGGGTGAGCCTAAGCAGGGTGGGACATCATCTCACCTGGGAAGTGCAAGGGGTTGAGGAATTCCCTGCCCTAGCCAAGGGAAGCCAGGAGGGACTGAACAGTACACTCCAGCCAAGATACTGTGCTTTCCCCATGGTCTTCACAACCCACAGACCAGGAGATTCCCTCCAGTGCCTATGCCACCAGGGTCCTGGGTTTCAAGCACAAAGCTGGGCAGCCCTTTGGGCAGACACTGAGTTCACTGCAGGAGTTTTTTGTTTTTTTTCTTTCCATACCCCAGTGGTACCTTGAATGCCAGTGAGACAGAACCATTTACTCCCCTGGAAAGGGGGCTGAAGCCAGGGGGCCAAGTGGTCTGGCTCAGTGGGTCCCACCCCCATGGAGCCCAGCAAGTTGAGAACCACTGGCTTGAAATTCTCGCTGCCAGCACAGCAGTCTGAGGTCGACCTGGGATGCTTGAGCTTGGTGGAGGGAGGGGCATCCACCATTGCTGAGGCTTGAGTAGGTGGGTTTACCCTCACAGTGTAAACAAAGCAGGCAGGAAGTTTGAACTGGGTGGAACCCACCACAGCTCAGGAAGCCCATCATGGCCAGACTGCCTCGCTAGATTCCTCCTCTCTGGGCAGGGAATCTCAAAAACAAGGCAGCGGCCCCAGTCAGGGGCTTATAGATAAAACCCCCCCATTTCCCTGGGACACAGCACCTGGGGGAAGGGATGGCTGTGGCCACAGCTTCAGCAGACATAAACATCCCTGCCTGATGGCTCTGAAGAGAGAAGCGGATCTCCCAGCAGTGTTCAGCTCTGCTAAGGGTCAGACTGTCTCCTCAAATGGGTCGCTGACACCCATGTCTCCTGACTGGGAGATACCTCCCAGAAGGGGCCAACAGACACCTCATACAGGAAAGCTCTGGCTGGCAGCTGGCAGGGGACCCTCTGGGATGAAGCTTCCAGAGGAAGGAACAGGCAGCAGTCTTTGCTGTTCTGCAGCCTCCGCTGGTGATACCAAGGCAAACAGGGTCTGGTGTGGACCTCCAGCAAACTCCAGCAGACCTGCAGCAGAGGGTCCTGACTGTTAGAAGGAAAACAAACAAAGGACTAGCATCAACATCAATAAAAAGGATGTCCACTCAGAGACCCCATCAGAAGGTCACCAACATCAAACACCAAAGGTAGATAAATCCACAAAGATGGGGAGAAACTGGGGCAAAAAGGCTGAAAATTCCAAAAACCAGATTGCCACTCCTCCTCCAAAGGATCACAACTCCTCGCTAGCAAGGGAACAAAACTGGATGGAGAATGAGTTTGATGAATTGACAGAAGTAGGCTTCAGAAAGTGGGTAATAAACTCCTCTGAGCAAAAGGAACATGTCCTAACCCAATGCAAGGAAGCTAAGAACCTTGAAAAAAGGTTAGATGAATTGCTAACTAGAATAACCAGTTTAGAGAAGAACATAAATGACCTAATGGAGCTGAAAAACACAGCATGGGAACTTGTGAAGCATACACAAGTATCAATAGCCAAATCGATCAAACAGAAGAAAGGATATCAGGATTGAAGATCAACTTAATGAAATAAAGCATGAAGACAAGATTAGAGAAAAAGGAATGAACAAAGCCTCCAAGAAATATGGGACTATGTGAAATGACCAAATCTACATTTGATTGGTGTACCTGAAAGTGACGGGGAGAATGGAACCAAGTTGGAAAACACTCTTCAGGATATTAAGGAGAACTTCCCCAACCTAGCAAGGCAGGCCAACCTTCAAATTCAGGAAATACAGAGACCACCACAAAGATAGTCCTTGAGAAGAGCAACCCCAAGACACAATCGTCAGATTCACCAAGGTTGATATGAAGGAACAAACATTAAGGGCAGCCAGAGAGAAAGGTTGGGTTACCCACAAAGGGAAGCCCATCGGATTAACAGTGGATCTCTCTGCAGAAACCCTACAAGCCAGAAGAGAGTGGAGGCCAATATTCAACATTTTTAAAAAGAATGTTCAACCCAGAATTTCATATCCAGCCAAACTAAGCTTCATAAGTGAAGGAGAAAAAAAATCCTTTACAGACAAGCAAATGCTAAGATTTTGTCACTAGTGAGATTTTGTCACTACCAGGCCTGACTTGCAAGAGCTCCTAAAGGAAGCACCAAGCATGAAAAGGAACAACTGCTACCAGCCACTGCAAAAACATACCAAATTGTAAAGGCCACTGACACTATGAAGAAACTGCATCGACTAACGGGCAAAATAACCAGCTAACATCATAATGACAAGATCAAATTCACGCGTAACAATATTAACCTTAAATGTAAGCTGGCTAAATGCCCCAATTAAAACAGACTGGTAAATTGGATGGAGTCAAGACCCATCAGTGTGCTGTATTCAGGAAACCCACCTCATGTGCAAAGATGCACATAGGCTCAAAATAAAGGGATGGAGGAATATTTACCAAGCAAATAATAAAAAAAAAACAAAAGCAGGGGTTGCAATCCTAGTCTCATAACACAGACTTTAAACCAACAAAGATCAAAAGAGATAAAGGTATTATGTAATAGTAAAGGGATCAATGCAACAAGAACAGCCCACTTTGGGAGGCCGTGGCAGGCAGATCATGAGATCGAGACCATCCTGTCTAACATGTTGAAACCCTGTCTCTACTAAAAATACCATGCCAGGTGTGGTGGCAGGCGCCTGTAGTCCCAGCTACTCAGGAGGCTGAGGCAGGAGAATGGCGTGAACCCGGGAGGCAGAGCTTGCAATGAGCCAAGATCTCACCATTGCACTCCAGCCTGGGTGACAGAGCAAGACTCCATTTCAAAAAATAATAATAAAATAAATTTAAAAAAACCCAAACAAGAGCTAACTATCCTAAATATATATGCATCTAATACAGGAGCACCTAGATTCATAAAGCAAGTTCTTAGACACCTACAAAGAGACTTAGACTCCCACACAATAATAGTGGGAGACTTTAATAGCCCACTGTCAATATTAGATCAATGAGACAGAAAATTAACAAAGCTATTCAGGACTTGAACTCAGCTCTGGGCCAAGCAGACCTAATAGACATCTACAGAACTCTCCACCCCAAATCAACAGAATATACATTCTTCTCAGCACATCACACTTATTCTAAAATTGACCACATAATTGGAAGTAAAACACTCCTCAGCAAATGCAAAAGAACACAAATCATAACAAACCACAGTGCAATCAAATTAGAACTCAGGATTAAGAAACTCATTCAAAACAACACAACTGCATGGAAACTGAACAACCTGTTCCTGAATGACTACTGGGTAAATAATGAAATTAAGGCAGAAATAAGTAAGTTCTTTGAAACCAATGAGAACAAAGACACAATGTACCAGAATCTCTGGGACACATTTAAAGCAGTGTGTAGAGGGAAATTTATAGCACTAAATGCCCACAAGAGAAAGCAGGAAAGATCTAAAATTGACACTAACATCAAAATTAGAAGAACTAAAGAAGCAAGAGCAAACAAATTCAAAAGCTAGCAGAAGACAAATAACTAAGATCAGAGAAGAACTGAAGGAGATGGAGACAGGATAATCCCTTTAAAAAAAGCTTAATGAATCCAGGAGCCAGTTTTTTGAAAAGATCAACAAAATAGACTGCTAGCCAAATTAAAAAAAAATCAAATAGATGCAATAAAAAATGATAAAGGGGATATCACCACTGATGCCACAGAAATATGTATTACCATCAGAAAATACTATAAACACCTCTATGCAAATAAACTAGAAAATCTAGAAGAATTGGATAAATTATTGGACACATACACCCTCCCAAGTCTAAACCAGGAAGAAGTTGAATCCCCGAATAGATCAATAACAAGTTCTGAAATTGAGGCAATAATAGTCTGCCAACCAAAAAATGTCCAGGACCAAACAGATTCAAAGCCGAATTCTACCAGAGGTAAAAGAGGGGCTGGTATCCTTCCTTCTGAAACTATTCCAAACATAGAAAAAGAGGGACTCCTCCTTAACTCATTTTATGAGGCCAGCATCATCCTGATACAAAACCTGGCAGAGGCACAACAAAAAAAGAAAATTTCAGGCTAATATCCCTGATAAACATCGATGCAAAAATCCTCAATAAAATACTGGCAAACCGAATTCAGCAGCACATCAAAAAGTTGATCCACCACAATCAAGTTGGCTTCATCCCTGGGATGCAAGCCTGGTTCAACATATGCAAATCAATAAACATAATCCATCACATAAACAGAACCAACGACAAAAACCACATGATTATCTCCATAGATGCAGAACAGGCCTTTGACAAAATTCAACAGCCCTTCATCCTACAAACTCTTAATAAAGTAGGTATTGATGGAATGTATCTCAAAATAAGAGCTATTTATGACAAACCCACAGCCAATATCATACTGAATGGGCAAAAATTGGAAGCGTTCTCTTTGAAAACCAGCACAAGACAAGGATGCCCTCTTTCACTACTCCTATTCAACATAGTATTGGAAGTTCTGGCCAGGGCAATCAGGCAAAAGAAAGAAATAAAGGGTATTAAAATAGGAAAAGAGGAAGTCAAATTGTCTGTTTGCAGACGACATGATTGTATATTTAGAAAACCCCATCATGTTGGCCCAAAATCTCCTTAAGCTGATAAGGAACTTCAGCAAAGTCTCAGGATACAAAATCAATGTACAAAAATCACAAACATTCCTATACACCATTAACAGAGAAATAGAGCCAAATCATGAGTGAATTCCCATTCACAATTGTTACAAAGAGAATAAAATATCTAGGAATACAACTTACAAGGGATGTGAAGGACCTCTTCAAGGAGAAGAACAAACCACTTCTCAAGGAAACGAGAGAGGACACAAATAAATGGAAGAACTTTCCATGCTCATGGATAGGAAGAATCAGTATTGTGAAAATGGCCATACTGCCCAAAGTAATTCATAGATTCAATGCTATCCCCATCAAGCTACTATTGACTTTCTTCACAGAGTTAGAAAAAACTACTTTAAATTTCATATGGAACCATAAAAGAGCCTGCATAGCCAAGACAATCCTAAGTTAAAAGAACAAAGCTGGAGGCATCACACTACCTGACTTCAAACTGTACTACAAGGCTACAGTAGCCAAAACAGCATGGTACTGGTACCAAAACAGATATAGACCAATGGAACAGAACAGAGGCCTCAGAAATAATACCCCACATCTACAACCATCTGATCTTTGACAAACCTGACAAAAACAAGAAATGGGGAAAGGATTACCTATTTAATAAATGGTGTTGGGAAAACTGGCTAGCCATATGCACAAAACTGAAACTAGACCCCTTCCTTACACTTTATACAAAAATCAACTCAAGATGGATTGAAGACTTAAACATAAAACCATAAAAACCCTAGAAGAAAACCTAGGCGATACCATTCAGGACATAGGCATGGACAAACACTTCATGACTAAAACATCAAAAGCAATGGCAACAAAAGCCAAAATTGACAAATGGTATCTAATTAAACTAAAGCTTCTGCACAGCAAAAGAAACTGTCATCAGAGTGAACAGGCAACCTACAGAGTGGGAGAAAATCTTTGCAATCTATCCATTTGACAAAGGGCTAATATCCAGAATCTACAAATAAATTTACAAGAAAAAAGCAAACAACCCCATCAAAAACTGGGTGAAGGATACGAACAGGCACTTCTCAAAAGATGACATTTATGCAGTCAACAAACATATGAAAAAAAGCTCATCATCACTGGTCATTAGAGAAATGCAAATCAAAACCACAATGAGATACCGTCTGACACCAGTTAGAATGGTGATCGTTAGAAAGTCAGGAAACAGATGCTGGAGAGGATGTGGAGAAATAGGAACGATTTTACACTGTTGGTGGAAGCACGAATTAGTTCAATCATTGTGAAAGACAGCGTGGCGATTCCTCAAGGATCTAGAATTAGAAATGCCATTTGACCCAGCAATCCCATTACTGGGTATATACCCAAAGGATTATAAATCATTCTACTATAAAGACACATGCACATGTATGTTTATTGTGGCACTATTCCCAATAGCAAAAGACTTGGAACCAACCCAAATGCCCATCAATGATATATTGGATAAAGAAAATGTGGCACATATACACCATGGAATACTACGCAGCCATAAAAAAGGATGAGTTCACGTCCTTTTCAGGGACATGGATGAAGCTGAAAACCATCCTTCTCAGCAAACTAACACAAGAAGAGAAAACCAAACACTGCATGTTCTCACTCATAAGTGGGAGTTGAACAATGAGAACACATGGACACAGGGAGGGGAACATCACACACTGGGGCCTGTCAGGGGGGCAGGGGGCTAGAGGAGGATAGCATTAGGAGAAATACCTATTGTAGATGATGGGTTGATGGGTGTAGCAAACCACCATGGCACGTGTATACCTATGTAACAAACCTGCACATTCTACACGTGTACCCCAGAACTTTATATATATATATATAAATATATATAAAGCTTTTTCTCCCTTTATCCATATGTAAACATGCACATATATGTAAAAACATGGAGAAAGATGTTTTTGAAAATGTAAAAAAAAAACAAAAACAAATTGTGGGCATACTCTAGCCTAAAAGATGCATTATTGGAGTATCTGAAGAGAGAAGAGGCAGGAAACTCTGAAATATTGGCCACGGTTTTTCCATATTTGAAGAGAACTGTAAGTCAACATGCAGAGAATTAACCTCAGAAGCACAAAATATGCATCTTAATCACACAGGAATAAGTTAACTGAATCAGTAAAATGAATCATTTAGAGACTTAAAAGTCCTTCTTACCCAATAGTTAAATAACTAGTTTAGTGTATCAATTGAGCATCCCATGGCAGATGATATTTTGGTTCTATTAACCAACAAGACCAAGCAGACAGTCTTGCTATTTCCCAGGCAAGTGGCAAAGATAAACTCACCACTTATGAGCACCACAGGTTTATAAGCTTTCTGTGGAAGGTAAGTTGTCTTTCCAGGGACTAAGAGCTTATGTCTTCCTTCAACCTTCAACATCACTCCACAGCCTTCAGTTTTATAAATCCTTTCCTTTAATGGAATCTGTAGGTTGCAGAACTATCTTATTAACCCCTTGGTTGAAGTGAGTCACAATATGGGGTTTTAAACAGCTTGTTGTCTGGCTAGAAGTCTTACACCACTGTCCACACAGCTACCCTTCTCTGCCTCAAGTCTCTGCCATGAATGAGCTGAGAACAGGGCTTATCAGCACAAAGCAACTTTCATGCTTCCCAGGCTGACCCAAGGACACTTAATACCCAGCCCGCCATTAAGCCACAAAACAACGTTCTTGGCAACATCAGATGACACAGATGCTACATTTTTTTTAAGGATAATTATGCCCTGCCTGGAAACTGTTGAACAGCAGTTTAACAGTTAGGTAAATATTCTGTCAGGTAAATATTCTTTCCAGCATGGCAAGAAGCCTTTTCTCAGAGGAATCTCAAGCCTGGGGCCCATTTTTTCCCCAGACGAACTCTGGCCTAACACTTCCTTAATCTCTGCTGGTTCCTTTAACTGCTGTGTCTTGTCTTCATTCCATTTATCATCCAGGTACTTAAGTGCTGAGTAAGCTTCAGACAAACCAACTTCAGAATAACTGGTTGTCAAGAACAAGGATGAAGGGGACCAAGTGAAATATATGGTTCTTTTCTTTACAACCCATTAAGGAGGCACTTTGTTATGCCATCTTGCTCTCAAAAGCGGCACATTTGAAGACAACTAAAGCTATTTTGAGAATGTGTCCAGAAAGCAAGGATTGACCAGATCATGGAGGACTCCCTTTAGCTTCTGGTCATATCCTGTGTGAGATCTAAGAGATGGTTTCAGAAGGTTTTTAAAGATTACATTAACATTTTTGTTATTGTGAACTCTGCATGACATAAAATTCACCTCAACCATTCAAGTGTACTACTCAGTGGCACACTTAATGTTGTACAACTATTGCCACTATCCACTTCCAAAAGCTTTATCATCGTGATGGAGTCTTAATGGCCTGGTGTATGTCAGCAAAAGTTGCCAAGTTCTACCTCTCCCAACCTATGTCCAGTGGCAGAGCAGCTGGTGCACATTTTGGACTAGGTAGCTATGACCTGCCACCCTTCCATTCCTTCTTAAGTTTTACCTCTTCCAATTTGTCTTCCTTTCTTCTTCCTGGCCCCAATGTAGTCGTTAAGAAGTCCCTGCTCTGACCTCATTCATCTCATTGCACAACAGCACATCTGGAGCTCAGGATTGAGCTGCCCCTGAGGAGCCTTGAGCCTGCAGGCCTGACCATGCAAACCTGGCTACAACAGAAAGGGAACTGCAGGATTCAATCCTGACCTGCTAATAGGAGACAAACATATCCAATTTGTCTAAAGGATATTTAAGAAATTGTGGTTTAGTGCACTAAGGTGTTAAATGGGATATCAGCATTTTTGCAAGCACTGTCATGGGAACATAATTAGGCAAGTACTTATTTATGAGAATCCTTCTTCTGCAACCAAAAATTCAGTAGATGATACAATGTCTTTCAGGGTGCCTGCTTTCTCTCTCCTGAATGTCTGGTTTTAGAAGAATGAAGTCTATTGACCTGTGCTGGTAGTCTGCATTTATGTGAACCTTGATATAAAACTGACTCTACCTTCTCATCTATATAAGATGACTTTCCTCCCAGATATAGAACTGCAATTTCATAAGAGCAAGATTGGTTTATTTTCACCAAGAAGGTGCCATCTGTCTGCCCAGTACTGAGCTCTCAGGAAATAAAGCAGCATGGAAGACAGTCCTGGTGGCTTCTCTGGGACACTTGGGAATACAGTTGTTCATGGGGACAATCACAGAAGGGGGAGCTCTTGTTACTGGCCGGGATTTTGTGTTCATAATGGATGTTTAAACTCCACCCATAGCCATCTTAGTTGTCCCTGCCTTAATTAGGAAAAACCCATGCCCCATCAGAGCAATATCTAGTGGTGACTCTTCGACATCTGGAGAAGTCAAACCCCCTCCTTGACTCCTGTCACATCACTTTCATGTTGTGGCTCAACAGAACCTAGGTCAGGACAAGCCAGTTCTTCAATTCAACAAAATCAGGGCTCAGGTGAGTAAAACATTTCTTGTATATACAAATCGCTTTTGAAGAGTGAAATTAAGAATGAAAGCTCCACCTTCAATGGGGTAAGTTCTAGACTCAGAAGCTGAGAAGAGTGATAAGACATCACCATTAGTGCCAGTCACTTTTGCTTACTCATGTAGAGTGCCCGCTGCTATAAGTGTATGAGTCAAATTACACAGGAATAGAAGGTTTAGGTAATATGTGACATCACTATGCACACTACTGGTTGCCTTTAAAGCCTGTAGAACATGTTTTGTACTCTGCAGTGAGGACATTGGTGAATCTTTGGAACCCTTGCAAATTGTAACCATTGTGTCTACATTTGCTAAGTCTAACACAGGAAAGTCTCAATCCCATCCTAGCTGACTTGTTTTCCTATCAGACTCCCGGGTATCACAAGGCAAGAATCAGTGAGTGATGTGTATATTAACTACCTGCAGCTAGATGTGGCTACTTATATATCCAAAATGCAGGATATAGCTGGATTCATCCAACCTTCATTGGAATCCTGCATACCAAAAAGCTGGAGGAGTTGGTCAACTGTTCATGGTTCAAGTTCATCTTTTTGAGAGAAAAATCACAGATGACCACGTTGATTGCTTTCAATTTTCTTCAAGATTTTGATTTTGCATTGATTCTCATCTCTGGAGTGATTGATGAGACACCAGAATTTAGGGATGCATGGAAGCCTGTCAAATGCAATTAGGCCTGAGTTGTTCCCTTATGTAAAAGCATCTTGTCACCCCAGTGCCAAGATAACAGCAACAGCATTTCCATGCCTGGCCTCTGCAGCATTGTATCATGTAGCAGAAGCTAGTTCAACTATGCAAAATTACAATGAAAACCCATACCAGAAGGTATTCAAGAAACATGAAAGCTGAAAGGCTTACAGAAGGAAGCTAAAGTGCTCTGGGCCAACCCACATTTACTGAGTAGTGGGAAATTCAAGTCATGTGGAATAACACATGAGATGATTTAGGCAACCATGGGATCCAAGAAGAGAAGCAGGTCTTGCACAATCAATCAATGAGAAATTACTCATTAGAAAGGACTCATCACAGTGTCCTTTAGTAATGAGAAAAATAAGATACCAATGGACATTGGAATAGTGGCCATTTGGTCTTAGGTAATGGCATTTTATAGGGACCTTTTCTATGACATAGCTCTCATAGGTGACTCAGTCATGCTTGGGTGTCAGCTTTACCTTGCAGTTGACTGGAGCAGAACAGCTTCCCATTTACACAGCTGTGAATAGTCTGCTGGTCATGAAACCCTCCCATCAGATGCTTTGATCTACTCCTAAACATTTGCACATATTCTCACAATGTTTAAACCCTTCACCTGGACTGTCCAACTGGGAACTTCCTCATTTTTAAGATTTTAAATCAAGCAAAATATTTGAGAATCCCTAAGTCCCATTTGTTACATGGCCTTCCAAAAAAATAATTGACTATTGTGATTATGCAGTCATTGAATGTCTGTGCCTATGGGCTATGAACTTCTTAAAGATCAAATTTGTATCCACAGTCCTTGTTCACAGTAGGGGCTCCAACATTGTTTAATGAAATGAATGACCAAGAGAAATTAGAAGTGCTCTGATCTAGAGTCAGAGACCCAACCTGGCCTACTTTTCCAAAGGTTTGCACCCTAAGTCAATCAGATGGGTCAGCATCATTTTTATATATAGCGTCAGAGTGGGAAAAATGTCAAGTTATCAGACTTTGGTTCAGATTGCAACTCACCAATAGGATACTACGCCATGTTTATCATTCCTTTGAATCTCATGATACTCATCTAAAAAGCATGCTACTGCCCACTGGATGAACTGATTTGAGTACATGAAGTTGAGTGGCTAGGGTAGCTGGCACATAGCTTGTGAAATAGAAGGCATTCCATAAATGCTTTCCATCAGCTCATATAAATTTAAATTTAAAGACAGTGTAGCATTTAATTGGTAAGGTTGTAAGCTTTTATATAGGTAAGAGGGTATGTTTTTATTATCTTGTGAAAAGAATTCTAATGGTCAGTAATGCAAATATCTACAAAGAATTGACAACATAATGGTGTAGAATGTTGAATAGAATTGTATTGAATGGAAAAATAGCTTCTATTTATTGAATACTTATTCTGTGCTGGGTATTGACCTAAGAGGCCACATGAATCATTTTTTAGCACTCAGAATCATAAAGAGACCATTAGTGCATTTTTTACAGGTGAGATGTCAGATTCAGAATAAGAATTTTATACCAGGAAATACAGCCAGTGAATTAGAGATGTCTGATGCTGAATTATGCTCCTTCCACAGCACTCTGCTTTACCCTCAGCATTGATTCAGGGCTAGTAATCCCATGAGACATGCTACCTCAGCAAGACAGTTACAGGTTTGTCTTCAGGTTTATTATCTGAATGAGACACTTGGCTTAGATAATGGCTTTAGAGCCTGCCTGGCTGAAATATAAAAGTCTCTTTGAATTTAGAATATTGGCAAAATGTTGTCACTACTCAAAACAGATTTAATGCAATCAAATATTGTAATTGAAGTAAAAAAAATTTATCCAAGTCTCTTCTATAAGAAGGCTAACACCATTCTTAACTCTGTAGCTTGGCCAAGTAAGCTACAAAAAGTATAAGGAGACAGTCTCCAAGTCATTTTCCTAGGCAGGCCTGTGTCAGTCCTGACCTGATGAGGATGTTATCAAAATCTCATACGGAGGAAATTCCAGCATTAAAGGCTCACATCTTCATTGACCTGTCCTGGACAATGGGGTATTATACTATGTGTCTTCTCAAATATCAAGCCTTACAGGCCTAAAAAAAGTCAAATGTTGCCATGTGCTGCCACCCCTCCCCACTCATGTCCAGTGGCAGAGCACTTGGTACATTTTGGTTTAGGCTGTGACCCATTCGTCCCATCCCTTGAAAAACATTACCTTCTCCCTAAGCGTCTGCAGTTCTCACATCCTGCTGCCTCTGTAGTCATGAAGAGCCTCTGGCTCCCCGATCTCAGCCTTCTCATTACACAAAAGCGCATCTCAGCTGAGGGTAAAGTTGGCCCCTGAGCCTGAAGACCTGACCGCACGAGCCTGGGTGTAACCAGAAAGGGAAGTATAAGATTCAACCCTGCACTGCTAGTGTTGCCATAGAAGACAAATATCCCATTTGTTTTAATAACTTTAAAATTTTGGTTTGTACTAAATCTAAAATGCCTCCTCATGTCATCATTTTTGTAAGCTCTTTCCAAATTCTGATTACGTGGCAAGATTTATGAGAGTCCTCCTTCCTTTGCAACCAGAAGTTCAGTCAATGGCAGTCTCCTCCAGGGGTACCTACTCTTTTTTCCTGCCAAGTGTTTCAGTTCTGGAATAAAACCAGATTCTGCAGAGCTGTGCTGGTTGTCTGTAGTTATGTGAACCTTGGTATGTAACTGATTAAAAGTACCTTCTCACGCTTATCAAGAGATGGATTTTTTCGAGCTTCAGTTCTATTTCTGGCTCTGCAATCCCTTGTTTGTCTGCCTAGCTCTGAGGTCCCTAGAAAAAAATATATATATGAGGCACCATCAAGGTCAGGAATGGCTACCTTCTCTGGTCCACGTGGGGGGATACGACTGGCCATGATGACCATTCAAGATAGGAATGCTGATGCTAGCCAGTAGATGTAATAAAAGGAAATAAGGAACAAAACTCATGGGCTTCTACAAGTGACCACTCCTAGATATTGCAGAAGTTTATGAAGCCAAGAAGGGAAACAGCAATAGTGTAAGACACCTCCATAGGGATGGAAGCCAAATTGAGCTGATTTTCCTGCTACTGCTAGGAGAAGACTAATGTGAGGGAGTCAGGGGTAGGACTTAAAATAAATGCTTGTTGAAGCTCTCATGTCTGATTATAAAGCTTTAAGTTTTATGAAGCCAGTCACCAGTGCTAAGCCACAGAGTGCCTGCTGCTTTGAATCTAAGCACAGAAACAGCAGCAGCACAGAGGGGTGGGAGTAGTATACCTGGCTCACATACACTACTTCGTGCCCACTGAGCCCTGTAGAACATCATTTGTACCCAGCAGTTTAAGGAACGGGTGACTCTGTACACTTCAGTGGATGTGAAGATTCCATAGATTTCCACAAAAGTCCAAACACAGGAAAACCTCTATCACACCTCAGCTGACTCTTCCACCCCTTCTCCAACATGCCCCCCACCTTTCTTTTTTTTAAACATAATCCAGTTTGATTTTCCCAAATAATAGATCAAGATGGGACAGTTCTTTGCCTTTCAGCCCCCAAGCTCTGAAACATTCTTCTATCCAAGACTCACTTCTGCTGAACCCAACTCATCTAGTTATACAAAACTTCAAGGAAATCATGGGGTTTTTTTTTTTATGATCCATGACAAGCTAGTTATTAATGGGGAGGTGTTCTGGATTACTCCTTTAAGCAGGGCGATTTCCATATTTTCAGTTTCAGCTTTTGAAGATGGTTTGATCAAAACACACTGAGAACACTGGAGCCCAACATTCACGTTCTGACAAGATCTCTTTCATGCTGGGCATGATTCTTACCCTCCATGGCACCCAGGTCCTGCATCTTTGAATTCAGAGTCACCATAATGGGTATATGTAAGCACATTCATGCTTTCCTTCCATAACTCCATTCTCCCATAGTTTTAACTCATACTAAAAAATCCCCAGACATTTGACACTGAAGCTAAGGTTACACATACCTGTGCAGAGGCGGCTACATTAAAAGATGATACTAAAGGTCATCAACCATCTAGATTTTAATTCACACATAAATCTCCCATGAAAAATCAGGGAAATAGGACTATCATTCAGCTGGACTAAGATGAATGGATCACCTACTATTTCTAAAGTGAGGATTTCACAGAAAATTGTTTCCTAGGAAGGAACCAAGTCTTTTTCTAGGATCAGAGACTCATCCCTGTATTTGTGTTTTGCTGCAGGCCAACTTACATGCACGCTTATGTGCACCAAACCTCAGAGTTATGCCCTATCCTCATATAACAAATGGAACCATTGCTGGATTTCCAGTTAGCACAGGGTCACCCTGTACCCAACCCAAGTGGAACCAGATGAAATGCTCTCTCCACATCACAATCTGGCTCTTGGCTTCATAGTTTATAGTAAGATGCCAGACTTCTTTGCAACAATCATTCCATAGTTTAAGAAGGAAGAAGTAAAGTGCTAAACAGTGGTATTTTAGTTTGAGGATGCCCTAAAGATTAAGGTGTCCAAAAAGGCAAAGTCAGCTTTAGCTCATGAGATGTCTCCACCTAGTCCCACCTAGTATTGAGATCTGTATCTCCTACAGCCATTTGTTTATAGAGAGGAGTGTACGCTGGAATGATGGCCACTTGGTCCCATGTAACAGCATCTAAAAGGAACTCTTGTTCTCTATGGATGACATAGTCCCATGTAACAGCATCTAACAGGAACTCTTCTCTATGGATGACACAGTCCCATGCAACAGCACCTAACAGGAACTCTTCTCTCTGGATGACACAGTCCCAAGTAACAGCATCTAACAGCAACTCTTGTTCTCTGTGAATGACATAGTCCCATGTAACAGCTTCTAACAGGAACTCTCATTCTCTGTGGATGACACAGTCCCAAGTAGGCATTGGTTCTGAGACTCATCCTTGGGCACTGGCTTCAGCTTACTGCCTGGATCAGAACTGCTTCACATCTGAGTGTCTGGGGACACTTGCAGGCCCTGCAATCCTCTAACCAGGGAAGAGGAGGAAGATCAATATTTAGGCAGAGATAGGGTAGATGCAGAGAACACCAAGCTATGAATATGGAGAATTTCCCAGAGCAACATCCTGTTTAGAAGTGACTTCAAGCCACATCTAGGTTCTTTCACTGAGTCCTCAGTTCTGTGCCAGTTAAAACACTAAATGCTAGGGACACACATCCTTATAGGGCACCTCGTATGCCTTTTCAGTGGTATGAGAGAGCCAGTGTGCTCCCTCTGTGACTCTAGCCGAAGATGAATATCCCCAACATAAAAAGCATGCTCAACTCAGACCCCAGTGGCAGACAGCTGCTTCATTCTCAGCCAGTACTCTCTTCAAATTTGACAGGCAACTATATCTTCTGTGGAAGTCTCTCATAGCACATTTTCTTTCGTATACTCAATGGGTCCATGTTGGATGGGGCGCTTGCCTCCCCAGTTAAAAAGAGAAACTGCTCTGGGTTTGTCGTTCCTGACTTTCCTTAAACCTATGCTTTCTTAGGTCACCAGTAGCCACTGTTTGTCTACAGACTTTCCCCGTGAAAGGGGTAAAGGCGTAGTTGAGGACAGCACGACTTCAGTGACCTTCCCAGCTGCAGTCTTTCCCTGCAGGGTGCTGCTCTGCACTATTCTTCCTGGAGCCTGGCCTTGCAGAAGGTATTTATAAAACCAATTTCCTGCCATACTAGAGGATATTGAAAGCCCCAAGACTTATTATAAGAAAAATGGGAAGGAGACTGGGATGTGGCCTTCCTGACTCACACCAGAAACATTGAGCTAAAGAGCTTCCTTGCCCACACTGCCCCCAGGAAGCGTTAGGTTTCTGACTTATAGTTTGTGTCAGAGATTTAATTTCTCATTAAACCAGGTAGAAAAAAAAAGTCAGTTGGATCAATATACACACGTCTAATTCCTCATAGCACTGGCCAGCCTTATACCTGCAAAAGATGGATACACCACTGTCTACACTTGTTCATCTGCAGCCTTGCTGGGAGAAGTCACTAAAAGAAGTTAGGTTTCCAAACCTAGACCCCATACCCATCGCTTTGTCAAGAGCAAAGTGCTCTTACATGGTTGTTCTAGTCACAATAATTCAAGGAGGCACTTGGCTATACTGCCTCCTTTCATTTTTAGGACAAATAAAGATGAAAATATGGCTAGAAAAACCACCAAGATCAGCAACGTTAAGTGGGACACAGTCTCACATGAGATCTGCAAGACGGTTTTGAATAATGTTGTCTAACAGATGCCCAACCAGCTTCAGGAATGAGCCTAGAAGGAGAAGAGCTAAGCCAGCTTCTTCTACCCTTAGTTATCTGGAGGGAGAGAGAATGCTGACCTAGTCTTATTCTGTGCATCTAATGGAGCAAAAGCAAAACTTGGAGAGGCTGGCATCTCAGACACAGGCAATAGAGGTAGTTTCCACCACTACTCACCATCTTGGGATGGGCGTTGTATACATGCACAACTGATGACAGTGTCAGATACACCAACTCTGAAGCAGAGTAGGTGTTAATCCAGTGGTTTATATACTAGGTTTAAAAATCTAAGACAAAGTATATCTACCATGTTTTTATCTCACTTGGGAACCTAGAAACTTCTCAAGTGCATAGCTTCCTTTGGCTTTCCACTACACCAGGCACACAAAGTGGCCACAAACAGCCATGTGCATGTGAGTCTCTTTGAAACAAAAGTTTTGAACTCCACACATGCCACTACTTAAAAAAAAAAAAAAAAGCCAGCCATGTAGGCTCAAGACCTGCCTGTTAACTTATCACACTCCAGTCAAGGGAGAGTCACACACAGCATCATCTGTTCTAGAATGAGTCTGACACCATATCTGACATTATCTTAACTCTACAGCTTTGCAAAAGCAGCCACAGGAACTGAGAAGACAGCCTGCAAGTGATTTTCCTAGGCAGGCCTGGGACAGCCCAGACCTAATGATCTTAAAATATTTTATAATGAAGAGACTCCAATGCTAAAGGCTCAAATATGCACTGAGCAGTCTTGGACAAAGGATATAATAACCTTCCTTGCATCATTTCTCATATAGAATTGGTGTTTTCCTCAGTAATGGTTGCCAAGTGCTGCTGTTCCCACCCTAGCCAATGGCAAGGCTGTCGGTGCCCATTTTGGCTTAGGCAGTAGTGACTCATTAATCCCATCCTTTAAGTATTATATCTAAGTTGTCTGTATTCCCTTATCTTGGTGCCCATGTAGTTGTGACAGGGCCTCTGCCCTCTGACTCATTCTTCCATCACTAAGATGCACATCTAAGCCAAGGGCTGAGCTGGCCCAGAGGAGCCCAAGACTGCAGACCTGACCATGCAAACCTGGGCAAGTCCAGAAGGTGAACAGTAAGTTTTGGCCCTGCATTGCTCTTGTTGTACCCTCCATGGCCAATGTTACCACAGTGGACAAACGTTATCAAGTTTGCCAGACCAGAGGAGGTTTTAAAAGTTATAATTTTACATTAAATGCACCAGCATTCCCTGGGTTGTCAATTTTTGCAAGTACTTTCTCACTTCTATTTACATAAAGAAGGTATTTTTGGAAATCCTTATTCCTCTGCAACTGTGGTATCAATCTGTAATACATTGTCCTCCAGAGGTATGGCTCCTCCCTGTCAGTTTTGGGAAAGTTTTGTGGAACTATGATGTCTGCAACATCAACCTTGACATGTGAGATTGATAGCATCCTTAGGTCTATAAAGAAATTGCTTTTCCCAAGCCACAGTTCTGTTTCTGCCTGTGTTGTCTCGGATCTTTCTGCCCACCACACTGAAATCCAGAGCTAGGCTAAAGGATTAGAGTTTCCACTCTATGAAGGTTCTAGAGTCCAATTCACACAGGAGATGCCCAGGAGAACCAGGGAAGTGGGATCTTTGCACAACTTAACAGATTAAAGCATCATCTGCTCTTTCTGGTGTGACCAGGAAAGAGTTGACAGTAATTTTTTCTTATAAAGGAGCCAGATGTTCTTCTGAGAGAGACCATTTATTCTTAGGTTGTTTTTTGCCTTCAGACCTTATACATGCTATTGTGTACATAGAAACTCAGATATGCTTTGGCTCCATAGAGCCAGAGGATCTTCTTTCATGATCTTGCAATTAGGGCCTGCTGCCTACGACAGGTCATCCGATATCCAACCAACAAGCGGAATCAAAAGAGGTCCTGTCATCCCCAGTCAGTCTGGCTCTTGGCTTCAACATAATTCATTTTCACCAACAGAATGCTATTAAGTGTCTGTAGTAATCCTTACGTACTATGTGTTTTGAAATGAGATATTGAAATGCCAAAATGTGGTATTTCAGTCTCTACTAAAGATGCCACAAAGGTTTTTAGGGGGTCCAAGGAGGCAAAAGTAGTCAATTTGGGGTCATCAAGTACTTCCACAGAAAGCTCATCCAGTATGGAGGTCACAGTCTCTAACAGTGACCTCTCCATTTATAGACTTCAGTGGGCATTGCAACGCTGTTTGGTTCTAGGTAATTTTATGGAGACCCCTGTTCTCTATGGACAATACAGCTCCCAACAGATTAACTCAGTCATACCTGGGCATCAATTTTTTTTTTTTTTTTTGGACACAGTCTTGCTCTGTTACTCAGGCTGGAGTCCAATAGCACAATCTCAGCTCACTGCAACCTCTGCCTCCCTGGTTCAAGCAATTCTGCTTGCCTCAGCCTCCCAAGTAGCTGGGACTACAGGTACACGCTGCCATGCCTGGCTTTTTTTAAGTAGAGATGGGGTTTCACCATGTTGCCCAGGCTGGTCTCAAACTCCTGAGCTCAGGCATTCTGCCTGCCTCAGCCTCCCAAAGTGCTGAGATTATAGGCGTGAGCCACTGTGCCTGGCCTGGTATCAGCTTTATCTTGCTGACTAGAGGAGGACAGCTCCCACCTGAGCAGTTGTGAATAGTCTGCTGGCCATGCAACCCTCCAATCAGATGTCTTTTTCTTCTAGTCCTCTGAACATCTGCACATGTTCTTCTTACTTCATATAAATCCTTTACTTGAAGTGTTCAATTGGGAAGCTTCTCGTCTTTTAGATTTTAACTCAAGCATCACCTTACCTGATAAGGCTTTCCTAAGTGTCAATGCACCTTAATAAAGCCTTCATTGGAAAGATATGCAATTATGATTGTTCAGTAAACCTGCTTGTTGGACCTATGAAGTATAAAATCCTTAAAGGAAAAATCACATAAGAGTTTAAGTCCTCGGTTTACAGGAGTTCAAACACCATTAACAAAATGAATGACCCTGAGAAAGTGATTTGGGGTACTCTTAAAGTCAGACTTAGCCCGGCCTACTTCCCCCAAAAGGTTTGCATCCTAAACAACTTAATTTGCTGGATCAGCAGCATCATTTTCACAACTAGTGTAAGTGGAAAAAACAAGGTATCAGAGACTTTGGTTCAGATTGTGACTCACCAAATGTCTAACAGCCATGTTTATTTTGTTTTCCTGAATCTCATGACCCTCATCTGAAAAAAAAAAAAAAAAACATGATTCTGATGCCTACCTGGATGAAATGAGTATTAGAGTATATAAAGTTGAATATGTAGAGTACCTGGCACATAGCCCATGACATAGAAGGCTATGTTCCATAAACCTTACTGGCTGACAAATCAAATGCAAAGGTAAGGCCGAATTTAGTAAGATTATAAATCTCTATACAGATATGGCAATGTTTTAATTTCATGAAAAGAACAAATTCTCATGATTAGGAATGCAAATCTTTGCCAAAGACAGCTGAAAAGAATTGTGTTTAATAGCAAAATAGCTTCTATTTATTGAATGTTTACTCTATTCCTGATTAAACATGCCACATGAAGCATCTTTTGATATTCACAGCATCATGAAGACTACAATCTTTTTTTTTTTTGGCAAATGAAATGGCAGATTCTGATGGATTAAGAATTTTGTTCTAGGCAACACAGCCGTAAGTGACAGGTCTCCCTGATGCTGAATCATGCCCTTTCCACCATAGTCTGCATTATCTTCAGCATGGATTCAGCACAGGTAAGCCCATGAGTCAGGGGAGCTCAGCAATTCTCCTTGTTGTGTTTCAGAGTTATCAGTAATAAAGACATTTGGCTTAATGATTTCAGAAACTAACTGGTCAAAACACTTATATCTCCTTGAATTTTTAGATTTAGTATTGTCCAAATGTCCATACTACCAAGAACAATCTAAAGGGTCATTGCAGTCCTTATCAAAATCCCAATGATATTTCACAGAAATGGAAATATCTTGAAGTTTACATGGATTCACAGAAGACTCCAAATAGCTAAGGCAATATTAAGAAAAAGTTGAAGTGATCACACTTTCTAACTTCAAACTATACCACAAAGCCATAGGAATAAGACAATATCCTATCAGCAGTAAAAATAGCATATAGGCCAATGAAACAGAATAAAGAACCTAGAAATGAACTCAAGTTTTCCATAAGGGCAACAAAAACATGAAGAATGGCACAGTGACAAGCACCTGTAGTCCCAGCTACTTGAGAGGCTAAGGCAGGAGGATTGCTTGGGGCTAGTTTGATTCTACCCTGTGCAACATAGTGAGAATCCCATCCCCTAATCTGTAGAACAAAAATACACAAAGGGGAAAGGGCAGAATCATCAATAAATGGTATTGGGAAACCTGGGCATTCACATGCAAAATAAGAAAATTGGGCTCTTCTCTTGCAACATGCACAGAAAAAAAATCAAAATGAACATTAAGACTTGTAAACCATAATTTTTTTTTTTTTTTGAGTCAGTCTCCCTCTGTTGCCGGGCTGGAGTGCAGTGGTGCAGTCTCTGCTCACTGCAACCTCCACCTCCCAGGTTCAAGCGATTCTTGTGCCTCAGCCTCCCAAGTAGCTGGGACTACAGGGCACACGCCACCACACTCAGCTAATTTTTGTATTTTTAGTAGAGACAAGGTTTCACCAATTTGGCCAGGATGATCTTCAACTCCTGACCTCATGATCTGCCTGCCTTGGCCTCCCAAAGTGCGGGGATTACAGGCGTGAGTCACCACGCCTGGCCTAAACTATAAAATTCTTAAGAAAACATGGGAAAATCTTAACATTAATCTTAGCAAGGATTTTGATTTTACATCAAAAGTATAGACAACACAAAAATAGACAAGGAATACAAACCAAAAATCTGCTTTATAGCAAAGGAAATGACCAGCAAAATGACAAGTCACTCAACAGGAAAGAATACTTGAGCAATATGTCCAATAAAGGGTTAATTTCCAAAAATATTTAAAGAATTCATGACTCAATGGCAAAAAAAAAAAAAAAAAAAAAAAAACTCCATAAAAAGAGCAAAGGACCTGAATAGGTATTTTTCCAAGGAAAACCTACAAATGGTGAATACGTTACATGAAATGATGCTCAACTTCACTAATCAGGGAAATGCAAACAAAAGTCACAATGAGATGTCACCTCACACCTGATAGAATGGCTATGATCAAAAAGATGAAATAACTTCAAGCAGTAGAAGAACAAACTCATACATTGTTGGTGGGAATGGAAATTGGCACAGCTATTATGGCAGACAATACGGAGGTCTCCCCAAAATTAGAAACAAAACTGCCATGTGATCCAACAATCCCACTTCTGGGTGTGTAACTAAGGAAATACAATTGTCTTGAAATATCTGTATTCCATGTTCATTGCAGCCTTATTCATAATAGCTAATATGGAAGCGACCTAAGTTCCGGCCAACATGAAGAAAAGTGGTACATACACAAAAGGATATTATTCCACTTTAAGAAATCCTGCCATTTGCAATATGGCTGAACCTGGAAGATATTATACCAGGTGATATAAGCCAAGCGCAGTAAGATAAAACTGCATGATCTCTTATGTAGGGAATTAAAATAGTCTTAGTAATAGACTATTGATTACCAGGGGCTGAGGTGGTAGGAGAGAAGAGATATTGGTCAAAGTGTGCAAATATTCAATTTTTAGATAAGTTCTAGAGGTCACATATGCAGCATGGTGACTTCAATTATAGTTATTAACTAATTAGCTAAGAGGCCTCAAGTATACTCAGATGGAACTGCATGAGGGAGGTATGTTAATGAGCTTGATTGTGGTAACTATTTCACATTGTATGCCTATATTACCCTTGTACATCTTAAATACATGAAATTTTTATTAATCATATCTCCAAAATGCTGGAAGATAGCCATCTCCTAGGTAAGGTCATTAATACAACTAGACAGGCTGACCTCAGATTTCAACCTTGCTCAGTTCAGTCCATACAAAGAGGCAGTTAGACCATTGATTATATTGACCTGGAAGGGATGAAGAGATTGCAGGAACACAAAAGCAGCATTTGGAGGAATTTTTGCAATAAGGAGTCCAAGTTTGATGGTTTCATACAACTAAAAAGTAGAAATTTTGTAGTCTGGAAGCACTTGGAAGAAACTCTAGGGAAAAAAAAAAATCAGACTGCCTCAAGCTGAGTAACTCAAAAAGCAGACTTCTCCAGATCCCATAGGGCTGAGTTTGATAAGGCTTTGGATCATCTGCACAGTGACAAAGTCTTGGTAGAATGTTCAATTTCTCAACATGGAAATCTTTCTCAAGTACTATTCCTAATTCAGCCCAGTTATGCCAACCCTGTGGCTCGACACAACAGCCTGGAATCTCAGGAATGCCTGGGAAGAAAACAGACTTCAGACCTTTCCAAACCCCTGGTCCCCTCTCCTATTGTACTTGTGAAGTAGAGCCATAGTCCTGGTTAGTCATCTGCTGCCAGGGCCCAAGTACCTCCAGCTTGGAAAGCTGGAAGTTTCCTTAGGTCACTTTGAGAAGCAAGCATGCAGTTAAGCTGCTGCATTGTCACCCAAAGCTGCAGCTGGGTCCAGGTTCTGTTTCTTTAGCATCAGGACTCCTGGTGTTCTCCAAGAACTGTTCCAGCTACAGAAGTCCCTTCAACAGGCAGTGAAAGGCTTCAGGGATTGTGAAAGCATCTGAAGGGATGTAAAAGTGGAAGGCTCATGTTGGACATCTACATTGAGCTCTGTCTTTCTCTGTCTCAGGCAAGTAGGGCAGTCACACAGGCAACAGGGGAGCTACTAACACCAATGCACATCTTGGATGAGGATTTTACACCAGCACAACTGTGATGAATGGGTCAGATATGCCAACTCAAAACAAAGATAGGCTTGAACCAAATGCTACATTTACTTAGTTTCATGAAGAGGATCCAGACCAGGAAATCCTTTATCTGCAATATCTTCATCTCACTGGGGGATTCAGCAGCTTTCCAAGTACACAGCTCCATTTGGCCTCTCACACAAGGAATGGACAGTGGCCCTAGACAAGAGACTAGTGCATGCGGGTCGTGTTAAAACAGAAGCTCTGGGCTCCATGTGTCATTAATCCTGTAAGTTCTATCCAAATAGGCAACCAGATCTGCCCGTTAACGTACCACCCCTGTAAGACCAGAATCTCAGTTTGTGATGCAGTCTCTTTCTGGTGTACCTGCTCTGAGTGTTTAGAAAGAAACCAGGTTCTATACATCTGGTAGTTTCTACTTATGTGAACCTTACCCACATAAAACTAATTGAAAGCACCTTCTACTCATGTCTATAAACAAACATTTTCCTCCTGACATAGAATTGTTTCAGAAGGAACAGGTTTTCTGCCTGTGTCATACTTCCTCTAACACAGATAACAGGAAACGAACAAGAAACAAACATGAGACAGCATGGAGGACAGCATGGAGAACAGCCTGGCTGCCTTTCTGGACTACTCAGGGGCTAAAGCTGGCCATGATATGGCCCACACATCACAGAAGGGAGTACCTGAAACCAGCCAAGACTTTCAAATTCCTCATGGGTATCTGAGCTCCATCCAATCAGATTGTTCCTCCCCTAGAAATTAGAACAGGAGAATTTATCTCCAGCAGATCAAACATTGGGTGGGTGGTTCAAAGCCCTTCCATTTATGAAAAGGGGGAAAAAAATCCAGCCTGTTAGACCCTCCTTGAATCCTGTCTTCTCTTCCCGTCACTTTTATAATGTGGTTAACTAGGTCCTAGGTTAGGAAAAAACATTTATTCAATCCTCCAACAAAACTAGGGCTCATATGAAAAAACACATTTCTAGTATATGTAACATGTAATAGCTCTGAAAATGAAACTAGATGCAAATCTCAGGCTTCTCCACAGGGCAAGTTCTAGCACTCAGTCCAAGATGAGAAAAGAAAGAATAGGTTAAAACATCACCGTCAATGCCAGTCACCTGTCCTTAGCCATAGTGTGTGCCTGGATGCTGTATGTGTGAAGTCAATGGAGATAGGAGTGGAAGGTTCAGGGAAACATGTGACATGGGGCTCATGCACACTACCAGTTGATTGCAGAGCCTGTAGAACCAATTTTACACCTACCAGTGATAAGGACCTTGGTGACTGTTTGTAGTTATAATAGTTAGGGTGACTCTGTAGATTTGGTGGAAGTCCAGCCCAAGGGAAACTTCAGTCTCAACTCGGCTGATTCATCACCTGATTGGACTCATGCCTCTCCAACAGACCCATTTCCCACCCAAATTCAGTTGACTGTTCCCAGAGAAAAATAAAGGGGTAAGAAAGTTTTCCGGCTTTATAGCTTCCAGCCCTTCAAACATTTTCCTGCCCAAGGCTCACTTCTGATACAACTCAAAGCTACGGAAATCTTTATGACCTAACAAAAGTTGCGTTAAGTGGGGGATGGGGAGTCCTAGGACCATTCCTCCAAACAAAATAACTTGTTTCTAGCTTTTGAAGGTGGTCTGGGTCAAACCATATGCTGAGAAACTTTGAAGAGACAATATTCAGAACCCTTAGCCCTCATTCATTGAGGGCATAGATTTAACCTTCCATAGCACCCAGGATCCTGTGACGTTGAGGTCAGAATGATCAGTCTGTTTGCATATATAACAGAGGCCCTCCTGTAACCCCTCTGGCTCTCCCATAGTCCTGGTCCCATGCTTAGATATCCCCCAAACAATTGACAGTTCAAGGGAAAAAAGCATGCTAGTACCAAGAAGGTCATGCTAGAGGATGAAGAGACCTGAAGTCCAGAAGGTTTCTAGAGCCCAATTCACACATGAGACTCCCATGAGAACCAGGGAAGTGGAATCCTCATACAGCTTGACTAAGAGGAAAGCATCACCTGCTATTTCTAGAATGAAAGGGAGGGATTTGCCATAGAAATTTTTTCTCTAAGAACCAGACCTCCTAGGATCAGAGGCTACTTATTCCTAGATTGTTACTTTTGCCTTGAGATCTCCCTACATGCACATGTGTGTACACAACTTCAGAGAAATGCTGTGTCTGTGGTAGGGTCAACTGAACATTTCTTCTTGGCTTTGGTATTAGCACCCAATGTCTACAGCCACAGGTCACCCTGTATTTAACCTCAGGTAGACCAACAACTACTAGGTGCTATCCCCAGATCTGTTGACTCTTGTTTTCAACAGTTTAATGTTGAGAACATACCATAAGGCTTCCTTGCAAAAAATCCTCCTACATTTCAAGGAGTAGGTAAATGACAGTGATATTTCAGTCTCCACTGAGGATTCCACAAAGATTAGGGTATCCAAGGAAGAAAAGGATCAATTTTAGGTTATATCTCCACAGCAAGCCCCATCCAGTGTGAGAATCTGTCTCCTACAGTGGCCATTTTATTCATAGTAGTCAGTGGGAAGGTACATAATGGTCATTTGGCCTAGGTAGTGGCATTCTGGTGGAAACTTGTTCTCTCTGGACAACATAGCTCCAAGCAGGCATCGATTTAAGAGTCATGCTCGGGCACCGACTTCAGCTTGCTGACTGAAGCAGAACAGCTTCACACCTGAGCAGCTGCGGGCAGCCTGCAGGCCCAGCAACCCACTAATAAGGTAACAGAGTAGCTGTCAATATTCAGGCACAGAGGGAAATAAGTGCAAAGACAAGCAATGGTTATGGAGAATCTCCCAGGGCAACGTTCAGCTTTGAAGTGGTTCCAAGGAACATCCAGTTTTTTTGTTTTTGTTTAAGTCCTCACTTCCATGCTTAAGGCCAGCGCTAAATCCTAGTGACACATCTCCATGTAGAATACACCTGTCTGTCATGTGAAGTACCTGTCTGCTGTTGAATTATGAAAACATTTTTGCAGAAAAACCATATGGTAATGTTACCTAGAGTCTTCCACAGGATTAGGGAATTGCCTGCTAGGTTTTCTGACTTTAGCCAGTGATGGATATACCCTGAAGATGGGAAAAAAAAAAAAAAAAAAAAAAAAGAATGGCAGATTCAGTGCTTGCTGAGCCAAGTATCAACTAGGGGTATACCTAGAGTGGTTAAATCTGATTAGTTGGTAAATTTTAGCTATGCTGCTAAAGGAATGGGGTTGGGGTTCCTCTGGGGACACATTCTATATTTCAATAGCAGACAGGTGCTTCATTCCCAGCAGTACTGTCTTGATCTGACATACTCACACATTTTTACCCTTCCTAGTCACTAATAGCCACCTTGTATCTATGAACTCTACCTTCAAGTGAACAAGGGTAAAGCGGAAAGTCCAGGACAGTACCAAGTCATTGATTCATTGATCTTGCACTGGTGCTTCTCAGCAGGAATGTGTCCCCAGAGGGACCCTGGCCCATTCCTTTTTACAACCAGCCTTGCAGAGAGGCTTCATCCTCAAAACCCCTTCCCTACCAAATCCGAGGCTATTGAAGGTCCCAAGACCCTGCATAATGATGAAATATGTAAAGGAAACTGTCTCTGGTCCTTGATTCAGGAATGCCAGTTCCCATGGTACAAGATAGCTTCTCACACCCATGCTGCCACATGAGCCACTAGAATGTTTCCAACTTTTAGTTTGTATGAGCAACTTCATTTCTAATTAAAACAAATTGGAAGATCAGCTTCATCTACACACCTGTTCTTTGAAGTCTATAACACTTGTTAGTCCTGTACCTACAAGAAATGCATACACTGCTTTCTATGCTGAGGTTTGCCTTGCTGGTGGAGCAGGGGAGTCATTACAGTAACTTGGATTCCTGAATCTAGACCCCATACTCAATAGTTCGCTGGTTGAGGGAACCATTGACAACTGGCTATCAGCTCAGTAACAAAGTGGTAAGAGAACAGATGGCCTAGACCATTTCTTTGAACACAGCATCCCAAGTGGTCAGACAGGGAGTATACTGTGATTTAACAGTATTCTGAGTCAGGCTTTTCCAGTCAGGAATGGACACACTGAGCTTAAAGCCTTTTCCATCCGCTGTTCCCATTGCTGCCCATCTTAGACTGTCCTAATGAACAAAGTTAGGCTCAAGGACAAGGGTCAGTGGGGAACTCAGTCTATTTCCCATTAGTGAGAAACACCAGGCCTGGAATTCACATTGGGAAGTGACACTACCTGGCTTTCAGGACCTCTTGCATCATCAGTAAGAATCCAGAACTTGATCCAAGCTCAAGCCTTCATTGGGCCTTTCATTTGATAGGCAAGCCATCTCACAGGCTACAACGTATGTATGGTACCAAGTGTCACCTACAGCCTTCCAAGTATTAGGAAGTTCTCTAGAGTTGTCTGGGGGGAAACAAGCTTAGAACCTTAAGTTTTCTAATGAGAGACTGTAGTGCTAACATTGGAGTCTCTACAAAACTGGAGCAAAATATTTTGTAAATATTCAACATAGTCCATAGTTTCACAGAAAAAAAACATTGTTAAACTAGAAACCATTTTCTTGATTCTCCATCTCATACAGATGGTGGCCCTGCCATATGGATAATCTGTGGAATTCCAAAATAATTTCACATGACCAAGTAAAGGGAAGCTGAATACTGCTTCCTCAGTCCTGATTAAAGAGATGGAGTAACTATGGCACTAAAGGCCAAGAGGTCATAGGGATACAAAACATGGCACCTACCCTCCAAAACAGGACTCACATGTGACCACTCCCAGGCTAAACAGACAATTGGCTTAGCTGGTGTTTTTGGAACTCAAGGTTAGAGTTTTCCATTGGAAACTGACACCATAGTTCTCCTGTCTGAAGCTGGACAGGTGGAACAGACTCAAAATGAGGTCTGAGGTCTGAGGCAGTGAGGACATGAAGCACCTTGGACTCTCCCCTTGCTACCATCCACAGTGTTCTGCCAGCTTCTCTCATTGACAAGTCCTGGGTGGAAGAAAGCTGGTACTGTATTTGGGAAACAGGCTTAAAGGTAATGTTCCTTGTGTTGGAGGGAATAAAAGGAATTGAAGTCAGACAGGACGAATAGCCACATAGTTACTAAGTACAGATGAGCTGCTCAGACTCCAGAGTTCTGCTGCATGCCATTTAGATGGACATTTACCATTAGGGTGCAGTTTCAACACAAGCTTGGTGAGGGGAAGAAAAAAGCATCTTTGCTTCTTTGGATTGTCTTAGTTTGAATCTGGATCAGATCCTTATAAGAGGCCAGTATTAGGGAATTGCTTACTGGGGACTCAGGCTCTAGACCAAGATAAATGCCTCCAAGATTAAAAAATACATACTTGGCTCATCTAGTCCTGGATCTGCCATTTAATCAGGAGAATCTCTCCCAAATGCATTAGGACCAGTCCTCCACATGCAAGGTGAAGGAACAACAAAAATCAATCATGACCTACACCAAGATGCAGACAGTTATATATTAGTCACTGTAACTATTCTCTATGCTGAAAAAGTTACATGGCTATACAATTCTTGTACGTTCAGACAGTTGTCACTATGTCTCAGATGTCCAATAGGAAACACATGACAAAAAGTTGAACTTTGGAGAGGCCATTGTAATGTGCAGTATGAAAACAGTGGATGGAATTAACCTCAAGTTAGATCTTATACAAGTACTTAGAATATGTCCAAAAATGACAAAACTTGAAGGATACATGGGAAAGTGAATTGTATACAAACTAAGTAGTGAAGTAGACATACAAATAGATTACCTGAAAGAAATGAAGAAATATTGATCAAGTTTTCCATGTGAAGACAACTATAAATCAACATGCAAAAAAAAGTCACCCAGAGTGCAGAATGTACATTTTAAACACCCACAGAACAAGTTGAAAGTGAATCAAAATTAACAGACTCACTAGTTAGAAGATGCCAGTTTACTGTGTCAATTGAGTGTCCCATTGCAGGTGATATTTTCACTCTGGTTAATAACCAGACAATCCTGTTATTAACTAGGTGTAGAACAAGGAAAGAACAATTCTGTATACCACTGGTTTATAACCTCCTTATGCAAGGGCAAGTTGACCGAGGGAAGAATGGCTTCTTAATTCCTCTAACCCTCAAGTCACTCCAGAGCCTCTACTTTCATTCTCAAAAGGAGGTGATTATGAATCTACAGGCTGGAGGGCTGACTTACTAGCTCCTGGATTGAGATGAATCACAATATGGGGCTACTTAGTGTCACTTGCCTGGCTGGAAACCTCAGCCCCCTAATCTACACAGCTGCCTAATGGAAACAAGTCTCCACTATGAGGAGAGACCATGGCTCAAGGGCAGACAGACATGCTTCCTAGTCTCCTGATTCAAGAGCTCTATTAGGTTGGCACAAGAGTAATTGTGGGTTTTGCCATTAAGAGCAATGGCAAGAACCACAATTACTTTTGCACCCACCTAATACCTAGCCTACCATATTAAGCCACAAAACGATGTCCCTAGCAACATCAGAATATCCAGATCCTCACCTTCCTTAATAATTAAACCCTGAGAACTGTCAAATGGTGTCTCTGCCAAGCAGAGGTCCAGTGCATAACAACTCTTTTCAGAACAATCTTAAATAATCCAATTTCTTCCCCTATACAAACTCTGATCTAGTATTTTTTGTCTCTACTGGTTCGAATTACTGGGACTTGTCTTCATCTACATACTTTCAGGTGTGAGTAATCTTCATGCAGGTCAACTTCAAGACAACTGGGTGTCAAGAGCAAGGAAGAAGACGGCCTATGAAGTGAATTTAACATACAATGATTAAAGGAAGTGCTACACTCTGCTGCCTCCTGCAAGTAGCACGTTGAAGACAGCTAAAGTCGTTCAAAAACCTGGAAAGAATTACTAAGATCCATAAGAGTTGACAAGAACGTGGAAGACTCCCATAACCACCTAACCGCATCCTGTGCGAGCCGCATAAGATGGTTTCTGGAGCTACTGTACAAACAGGTACAGGCTTCAGGAATACGAGCCTAGGTAGAGCAGCTACAAGCAAGCCTCTTACCTTAGGTTGCTGGAAGAAGAGATGTTGCTGACCCAGTCCCAGCCTCTGCATCTAGTCAGGGGAAAGGACTGTCACTTTGAGAGGCCAGCAGCTCAGACACAGGGACTGGGGATAACTCCTGCCACCACCCCAATCCTGGGATGAGCATTGTGCACACGTGTAACTGTGGGGATAGGGTCAGGTGGCAACTTGGAATACACACTTGGCATTAACCAAGTATTATATTTACTAGGTTGTATAAAAGGATCTAAGACAGGAACTGTTATCTACATTGTATTCATCTCTTTGGGGGACGCAAACTTTGTACATAGCTTCCTTTGGCCTCTCACCCACACAGGGCAGGTACAATGTCCACTCACAGGAGTTAAATGCATGTGAGTCACTTAGAGCTCAATGTACAGCTCTATGTACCCAGAAACAGTTTTGTACCTGTTAGGGCTCACTAATCTGTTATACTGTAGCCTGTCAATGCATCACTCCCCACTCCAGTTAAGGAAGAGTGCCACACATTAGGGGCTGTTCAGGAGTTTGACAACATTCTCCCCATTTATCTTAACTCTAGAGCTTGGCAAAAACCAGCCATAGAAGCTGTGAGAAGACAGACTTCAAGTCATTTTTATAGGCAGACCTGGATCAACACAGCTTGAGAAGTAGGAACTTATCAAAGCTCTTATGTGGAAGAAACTTAGATGACCACCTGCACTGACCTGTCCTGGATGAAAGGATGTCACTTTCCTTGTCTCTTCTCTCACATAAAGTCTAATTGACCTGGTATATTTCATTTCAAAGGATACCAAGTACTGTGCTTCCCACCTCATATGCCCAATAGAACTGTTCGTGCTCATTTTGCCCTAGTCAAGTGTCATTCATCCATCCTTTTCTGAACACTTCCAAGTTATCTTCAGTCCCCTCGTCTTGGTCCCAATGCACTCATGAGGGATCATCTGCCTTCTGACTTTATTCTTCCTGTTACAAAGGAGCACATCTGAGTAGAGGAGAGCACCAACCCCAGGGAGCCCCAAGCCTGCAAACCTGTGTGAACCCTGAATGGGAAGTGCAAGACTCAACAACCCTTCACTGCTAGTTTTGCCACTATGGATATATTGTAGACAAACATCCAATTTTTCTGGATAAATTTTACATTGTCTTAAATGTACTAGAGAGATCTTTGGTTTGACATTTTCACAAGTACTTTCTCAGTTTTGTTTACATAGAAGATTTGTCAAAATCCTTCCTCCTCTGTAGCCGAGTCAACGACACAGTCTCCTTTCAGAACATTTGTTCCTCTTTTGAGTGTCCTAGTTCTTGTTAGAAACCAGATTCTATGGATGCACGTTGGCAGCCTGCAGTTATGTGAACCTGAACACTGAAACATGGTTGAAGCACTTTCATGTCTATAGAGATGGCTCCTTTCAAACCCACAGACCTGTTTCTGCCTTGTCTTCCCTGATCTGTGTGCCCAGCACCAAAATCCCAAGAAACAAACCTGAGGTGGTTTGGTCTGGATAGGCCTGGATGTTCTTCCTGGCCCACTTGGGTGCTACAATTAGCCACAAACTCTCTACGAAAGAAGAAACGCCTGGATTTGGTCAGTATATACAATCGCTTTTGAAAAGGAAACTGGCTTCATCCATGTCTCTGCATTCTCAGCAAACTAACACAAGAACAGAAAACCAAACACCGCATGTTCTCACTCATAAGTGGGAGTTGAGAAATGAGAACACATGGACACAGGGAGGGGAACATCACACACCGCGGCCTGTCGGGGCATGGGGGGCTAGGGGAGGGATAGCATTAGGAGAAATACCTAATGTAGATAACAGGTTGATGGGTACATCAAACGACCATGGCACATGTATGCCTATGTAACAAACCTGTACACTCTGCATGTACATGTATCCTAGAACTTAAAGTATAATAAATTTTAAAAAAAAAGAAACCAGGAGCAAAAGCTCATGGGCTTCTATCAGTGACAACTCCTAGATATCAGTTTATGAAGCTGAGAAAGGCAGGAACCACAGTTTAGATCTCACCACCCTTAGAGCCAGTCACTTGTAATTGGCCACAGAGTGCCTGCTGCTCTGAATCTAAGCACAGAAGCAGCAGCACACAGGGGTGGAAGGCATTAGATAATGTGAGACGTAGACCATGTACACTACACTTTGTGCCCATTGAGCCTATAGAATAATTTTGTACCCAGTAGTTTAAGGAAGTGGTAACTCTGTACTTCAATGGATGTGACAGATGAGAATCCAAACACACAGGAAAACCTCTACCACCACTCAGCTGACTCTTCCAGCCCTTCTCCAACACACCTATTTTGTAACACAGTCCAGTTTAATTTTCCCAGATAATAGATCAAGATGAGCTAGCTCTCTTGCATTTCAGCCCCTAGGTTTCTCATTCTCCAAGATTCACTCCCACTGAACTCAATTCACCTGGTTATACAAAACTTCAAGGATATCATTTTTTATGACCCAAAAGAAACTAGTTATTAATGAAGTGTTCCAGATTATTCCTTTAAACAGGGTGATTTCCATGTTTTCAATTTCAGCTTTTGAAGATGGTTTGATCAAGATACCCTGAGAACATTGGAGCCCAACATTCACATCCTGACAAGATCTCATTCACCCTGGGCATGATTCTTACCCCTGAGCCACTCAGTCTGATGTGTTAGCAGCATTGTTTTGTATACCTAGTGTGAGGGTGGGGAAAAACTCCAAGGTGTCAGACTTTCAGATTTTGACTCAGGTTACTAAGAGGCATGTTTATGTCATTCCTGTGAATCTTATAATCCTCACCTAAATAGATGATTTTAGTATTGACCCAGATGAACTGATGAGTATTAGAGCATATGAAGTTAAATATACAAGGGTACCTGACAGCCTGTGACAGACGGTCTTCCGTAAACATTCATATTAGCTTATAGAAATCAAAACATAGGATGAGATTTAACTAGTATGATTAGCAGCTTTCTGTAATAGATATGAGGGTATACTTTTTTGGAGAATAACTTATGATCAGTCATGCAAATCTTTGGCAAAGGATTGATGGTATGGTGGTGTATGGTGAAGGGAATTGTACTGAATTGTAGACAGCTATCAGTTATTGAAACTTATTCTGTGCTAGACATTCATCCAAAATATTCCACATGAATTACATCTTTTAGTTCTTGGTTTTATGAGGGGATTAGCAGTCCATTTTACCAGTGAGGTATAATAGATTCAGAAGGTTTACGAACTTTATTCCGGGCAATCCAACCAGTGAATTACAGAAGGGTATCTGATGCCAAGTTATGCTCTTACCCCAGCCATCTTGACCCTCGTATTGGATTCAGCACAGGTAAGTGCCTGCAGCAGGAGAGCTGGGCAAGGCACCTCCCTTTTGGGCTTCAGTTTCATTATCTGAAGATGAAACATGACTTGGATCATGAGAATTCAGGAACCGCCTAGTCCTAGACATGACTATCTTCTGAAGTTTTAGAATCAGTGTTGTAACGTTTATACTACCCAAAGCAATTTGGAGACGTAATGTCTTTCAAAATACCACTCCACGGCTGTTCCACAATGAGGCTGTAATTGTGTTTCACATGTATCTTAACTCTGCAAAGAGCCACAGGAGGCTGAGAAGATAGACTTCAGGTTTCTTAGGCAGGCCTGGGTTAGCCCAGACCTGACAAGGATACCCAAGTTTCACATGGAGGAAACTCCAATGTTAGAGGCTCAAACATGCCCTGAGCCATCCTAGACAATGGGGTGTCACACTTTGTCCGTCCTCATATCAAGTTTTATTGACCTATATTTTATTTCAGCAAAGGTTGCTGAGTGCTGCCTCTACCACCTCCAAGCTCAATAGCAGAGCAGTTGGTGTCAATTTTGACCTAAGTAGATGTAATACCACCACCCCATTCCTTCCTAAATGAGACTCCTTCCTAAATTGTCTGCAGTTCCTTAATCCTTGTACCTATGTGGTCATAACAGAGCCTCTGCCCTCTGACCTCATTCTTCCCATTACAAAGAAGCATATCTCAGCCTGGCCCTAAGGAATCCTGAACCTGCAGACCTGACCACGCAAACCTGGCTGAGGCTAGAAAGTACAAGTTTTAACCCTCCACTGCTAATGTTCCCACAAGAGACAAACATTCAATTTGTCTGGATGAATACTTAGTTTTACTTTGATGTAAGTACTCCCAAGTATACATTGGGATGTCAATATTTTTGCAAGTACTTTGTTTTGTAAACATAGTCAGGGAATAGTAAGTTTCAAGAATCCCCTGTAACAAGAAATTTAGCTTATGATATAGTCTTTTTCAGAAGTATCTGCTCCCCTTCTCCTGAGGATTTTGGAAATAAACCAGGTTCCATGAGTCTTCTGGTCTCTACTTATGTGAATCTTGCCCCATAGGACTGATTGAAGACACCTCTATACATATATGTCTATATATAAACATTTCCCTCCCGCATGTAGGGCCATGTTTTGAAAAGAGCAGAATTGGTTTCCACCTATGTCATGCCTCTCTCTACCACTAAGATCCTAGGAAACAAACACAAGACAGCATGAAGGACAGGCTGGGCTGCCTCCGGGCCACTTGGGGAAACAAACAACTGGTCATTACAACTATCATAGAAGTGGGAGCGACTGCTACCAGCCAGGATGTTAGTGTCACCATAGACACCTGAGCTCCATTCACAGCTAACTTGGTTGACCTCAAACTAAACATTCATCCCCATCAAATCAACATCCAACTGTGACTCAAAGCTTTCACATCAGGAAAACTCCTTGATTCCTGTCTTGTCCCGTCACTTTTATGTTGTGGCTCAAATTCAACTGAGGGGAGGATAAATCAATTTTTCAATCCTACAGCAAAATCAGGGCTTATGTGAAAAACACGCTTCTAGTGTATACAATAGCTTTTGAAAATGAAGCCAGGAGCAATAGGCTCATGGGACCCTCCATCAAGCAAGTTCTAGATTTCAGAAGTGTAAAAAGCTAAGAGCAATGGTTTATGACATCACCAGGAATGTCAGTCACCTGTGCTTAGATATAAAGGCCCTGCTGCAGTAAGAACAAGTAAAGGCACATGGAAGGTTTAGCTAGTATAGAACATCACTCAATGCGCACTACTTTGTGCCCCTAGAACCTGTAGAATGAAATTCACACCCAGCATTTTAGGGAGTTCGGCAACTCTGTAGATATAATGGCTGGAAAGATTCCACATTCACTGATAATCCCACACAGAGGAAGTCCGTCTCTCATGAGACCAATGGGAAGATGAGTCAGCTGAGATTCACAAGGCTCTTCAGCATGCCTATTTCGAACATTTCAGTTTAGTTTTCAGAGAAGAGGCAGAGATCAGAGAAAACTATCATCCTCCAGCCACCAGGCCCTTAAATACTCCAATCCAAGACTGACTCCTGCTGACACAACTCTAATTATGCAGCCCTCCATCAAGATCTGTTACCTAGCAGAAGCTGAGTGTTAATAGAGGGATATTCTGGACTACCCTCTATATAGGCCTGTGCTGGTTAATGGTTGTTGACTGGATTAAGGAATACCTAGGGAATGGGTAAGACAATTTGGGGTATGTCTACGAGGGTGTTTTCAGAGAATATTGAAGTGCGAGTTAGTGGACTGAGTGGGAATGATCTGCCCTCAATGTGGGCATGCACCATTCAATCAGCTGGGGCCCTGAACAAGACAAACTGGTCTGAGCTGGAATTACTGTTTTTCCTGCCCTTGGAAATCAGAATTCCAGGCTTTTCAGCCTTTGGACTGCAGAATTTACACTAGTGGCCCCCTGAGTGTTTAGGCCTTACCAATGTGGTCTGAGCCTCACTACCAGCTTCCCAAGGCCTCCAAGCTTGTAGACAGCCTGGCATGGGACTTTTCAACCTTCATAGCTGAAGGATCCAATTCCCCTATTAAGTCTCCTTTCATGTATCTACATAACTTACTGGTTCTACGTCTAGAGAGCCTTAATATATATTGGTACCAGGAGTAAAGAAGAACATTTACATGTAGATTTTCTTAAGTATCTGGAGTTGGCTCTCTTATAAGATCCCAAAATTCTAAGGACTCTAGTAGTATAGAGAACATTGATAGCCCATGGCATGAACTAGAGAGATGAACAAAATAAGTATTTGTAAGTAATTCACCACTTATGAGGCAAGGAGCTTGGTGACTCTGCATATTGGTGACTCCACATATATTTTCAAACATTTGTAGAAAACAAAGGAATATGAATGTTGGTTGATCCTAACATCACTGGACAAAGTGAGGAAATGATGAGGTTCAAGAATTCAATTTCCCAACTCCAGCTCCAAATAGCCTAAGTGGTTGAGCATCTAAGTGTGACCCAAGTTGATCTCTCCAGTAGCCAGATCTGAAATTCCTAAGAAGTAAAACAAAAACCCTCAGGTGAGTGGCTGAATTACAACAGAAGTTGAACTCTCAGCCTCGCACAGTGTCTTTTAAAGTGAGGGCATTGGTTGGGAAAGAATGGAATCCTGTAAGTTGGGATGGGGACAGCTGGGAACATCCTGATGAAGCTGGAGACATAGAGTGCCTAAAATCCCGATGAGCCTTGTTTGTCAGGGACAATGACATCTTTACCCCACCCAGTGGTAGCCAGCTTTTTACCTCTGAGATTAACTCTGCATTGCCTGAGAAAAGAGTAATAGCCTCCCTGAGGAGGTTGCCAGAAAAGAATGCCAATTCTCCTCAGGATCCACCCTATATTCCTTTTTGCTTCGAGACCTGTAACTAGACTCATGCCCCAGCAGGCTCCCAAAAGATGAGAAAGTATGACTCATGAAGTGGTATGCTACCCAAAAGAACTGAGTTTTCTAATTATACAAACATATCTGGGGAACATATGAGGGAATGGATATTGAGGGTTTGGGGTAATCATGAAAAGAAACAAAGTTGGATCAGGCTAGATGTATTCATATGGGCCCACTAAGCAGAGATTTTGCATTTAACATTGCAGCTTGGAGAGTTAGAAAAGGCACTGGTTGGCCAAGATGTGAATGGATGACCCACTGAGCTAGCTGGAGATGCCTGGTCTTCCTTGGATTAAGGTGAGGCATGAATTAAAAGGCTTAGGGCGGTTGAAATACTAGGAAGTGTTTGTCACTTAAAACCTGCTGACTCATACTGAGAGGGTCTGGAAGACATACCTTTTGCTAATACTCTAATAGATTTGACGGAAGCCCTAGCATCCCTGAAGAGCTTCATATTTGTTCTTTGTGGACCAGATCTTATAGGGAGAACCACTGCCACTGAACTGGACAACTTAAATGTGGTGGAAATAATTAGGTCTTGGGGTGGTAGGGGCCAAGTGGTGGTATGCAAAGACAAACTGGACACAGTCATCACAATTGTCAGAGACCAACAATCTGAATTACGTAGATCCATGGCCTTGGCTAGATAATGTTTCTAGAAGTGAAACAGAAAGCCTACTAAATTTTTAGTTAGTCTGTATAACCAGGAGACTTCCAGGTCAAACGAGCAGTCTGACTCAAACAGAATCAAAATGGAATCATAGTCCCTCAGTAGATTCCCAGACTTGAGCCAGTTTATGAACCTAGAACCTATTGAATAAAGGGGAAGCCAGATCCCCTCCAGGACGGACCCCAGTCCAGCACCAGAAGTTTGTATATTAACCTGTCTCCCATTCTTCCCCCAAAGGGACTTACAGCCTTTAACCAGGGAAACTGCATCAGGGAAAAGCAGAGAATCAGAACTTTCAGGGACTGCTGGACACTGGATCTGAACTGACTTTAATTCCAGGAGATCCAAAACATCACTGTGGCACTCCAGTCAGAAAAGGGGCTTATGGAGGTCAGGCAGTTAATGGAATTTTAGCTCAGGTCTGAGCCCATTCTGTGGTCATTTTCCCAGTTCTAGAACTCATAACGAGCGAACATTTAGCTGGCAGAATCCTCACATTCATCCCCTAACCTGTGGGGTCAAGGATATTGTGTAGGAAAGGTAAGATGAACACCATTAGACATGTGTCTACCTAGGAAAATGAAGTCAAGAATAGTATCAAACCCCTGGAAGGATTGTAGAGCTTTGTGACACCATCAGGGACTTGGGATGCAGGGGTAGTGATTCCTACTACATCCCTGTTTAGCTTTATTTGGCCTGTGTAGAAAACACGTGGATCCTAAAAAGTGATAGTGAATGACTAAGCTTAACCAAGAGAATTTGGGAATGGAAATTATAGCTTCTGTACCTGATGTGGTTTCATTGCTTGAGCAAATTAACACATCTCCTGGTACCTGGTATGCAGCTATTCATCTGGCAAATGCCTTTTACTCTGTTTCTGTCCATAAGGCCCACCAGAAGTAATATTTTTCACCTTCTTGGTCTTATCTTATGGGTGTATCAACTCTAACCCTATGTGGTAATTTAGTTCAAGGGATCTTGATCACCTTTTCTTCCCAGAAGATACACTAGTCCATTACATTGGTGAACTTATGCTATTTGGACCTGGTGAGCATGAAATACCAACTAATGTGCACTTATTGGTAAGATATTTATATGTCAGGGGCAGGAAACAAATCTAAGATTCAAGGACCTTCAACCTCAGTGGAATTTCTAGAGGTTCAGTGGCATGCAGCCTGTTTAGATATCCCATCTCAGGTGATGGGCAAGTTGTTGCATCTGTCCCTTCTCACAGCCAAGAAAGAAGCACAATGTCTAGTGGGCCTATTTGGATTTTGGATGTAACACATTCCTCATTTGAGTGTTACTCTGGCAGTAAGTGACCCCAAAAGCTGTTAGTTTTAAGTGGGGCCCAGGACAGAAGAGAACTCTGCAACATATCCAGGCTTTATACAAGCTGCTCTGCCACTTGGAACATATGATCCAATAGATCCAATGGCATTTGAGGTGTCCAGGGTGGATAGGATACTGTTTGAACCCCTTGGCAAGGCTTCATAGATGAACTGCAGTGGAGGCCACCTTTAGGATTTTGGAGCAAGGGTCTGCCATCTGCGGGTAACTTTTGAGGCAGCTTTTAGCCTGCTACTATGCCTTACTAGAAACTGAACACTAGACCGTGGGCCACCAAGTTACCATAAGACCTGAGCTACGTATCACAAACTGATCATCATCTGACCCACCAAGCTATAAGTTTGGGTGTGCACAGCAGCACTCCAGCAAATGAAAAGGGTATGTGTGACTCAGCCCAAGCAGGTCCTGATGGCACAAGTTACATGAAAAATTGGCCCACTTACCCATGGCTTCTCTCCACAAATGCCAGCCATAAATATGGAGAATGTCCCAAGCAACATCCTTCTTTGAAGTGGTTGAGCAATATACCATACTCTTGTACTGAGTACTCAGAGCCATGCTTCAGCTGATGACATCTTTAAAGCCTCATGAACCATTTCTACATGAAGTACCTTGTTTCTAGTTAACATTCCTAGTTACACTGCCTTCTCACTGTCTGGACCTATGGACTCATGAATATCCTATGATCAGTTGACAGGAGACAAGGGCTTGGTTTCCAAATAGTTCTGCACAATATGAAGGCACCACCCATAAGTAGATAACTATAGCTCCTTTCTGGGACATCCTTGAAGGACAATGGTGAAGGAAGTTTTCCTGATGGGCAGAATCCCAGGCAGCTCACCTGGTTGTGCACTTTGGAAGGAGAAATGGACAGATGGGCTATAGCCAGTGGTTTGGCTAGATGATTAGGAACTTGGAAGGAAAGTAACTGGAAAATTGACAGACTTAGGGAAATGGTAAGTGGAGAGATCTGCATAAGCAAACGATGTAAAGATACTTGTGTCCCATGTGAACGCTGAGGTGTGATCTTGGCAGAGAAAAACTAACGATCAGGTGGATAGAAAGGACCCGTTATGTGGATACTGGGTTAGCCTCTTTTCCCAGCCACCACTGTAATTGCTCAATGAACTTGGAGTGGCCATGGTGGCAAACATTGAGGTTATACATGGGCTTAACAGACTTCCTCCACTGAGAGCCCAATCTGACAGCAGCAGAGACCAACACTGAGCCCCCAGTATGGTGCCATTTCCCCAGGGTAATCAACCAGCTACCTAGTGGCAGGTTGATTTCATTGGACCACTTCTGTTATAGAATGGACAGCATTTTGTTCTTACTGGAATAGACAGTTACTCTGGATGTGGATTTGCTTTCCCTGCATGCAATGCTTCTTCCACAAAATACTATCCATGGAATCACAGGATGCCTTATCTGCCATGTCCTTTCACATAGCACTGCTTCTGACCAAGGAATCAGTTCACAGCCAAAGTAGTGCAGCAACAGGCCCGTTTTTATGGAAGTCACTGGTGTTACCATGTTCCCCACCATCCTAAAACAGCTGGCTTAATAGCAGAAAAGCCTTTTCAAAACATCTCCAGTTCCAGCTAGGTGACAATAATTCATAGGGTTAGGACAAGGGTCTTCAGAAGGCTGTATATGCTCTGAATCAGCATCCAATATATATCGTATTGAAATGGAACTCTGATAGTCAGGATTCACAGGGTTCAGGAATCAAGGAGCGGACATGGGAGTGGTACTATTTCACCATTACCCGTGGTGGACACTCACTAGCAAAGCTTTTGCTTCCTGTTCTTGCAAATTTATGCTCTGCTGGCCTAGAGGTCTTAGTTTCAGAGGGAGGAATGCTTCCACCAGGAGACAATGATTCCACTGAACTGTAAGACAAGACTGCCACCCAGCCATCTCAGCTTCTCATACCTCAGTCAACAGGCTAATACAGGAGTTAGCATTGGCTGGGGTAACTAATCCAAACTGCCAAGGGGACATCAAAATGCTATTCCACAATGGAATTAAGGAAGAGTATGTCTGGAATACAGGAGAGTCCTTAGAACATCTTAGTGTTACCATGCCTTGTGATTAATGTCATTGGAAAATTACAGCAACCGTATCCAGGAAAGACTAGGAATGGTCCAGACTGAATACAAATTTGGGTTGCCCCATCAGGTAAAGAACCGTGACCAGTTGAGATACATCTGGGAGGTAAAGAAGATACAGAATGGGTAGTAGAATCCTGGTTATAAATGTCAGCTATGAACACACGACCAATTACAGGAAGTAAGACTAGTTGTCACGCATATCTTCTTCCTATTCTTTGTATATATATGCATAAAGTAAATACCTTTGTTTTCATTCCTCTTATTCCTTTATCTTGGAAGATTTGACTTTATATTGTGTTTGCATATTAATTATTCATCATAGTATTTAAGTTATGGAGTATCATAAGAATCATCCAACAACTCTACCTTCTCTAAGGCATTAGTGCATTTTTAGTTTTATGCATGATAGTTGTATCATATTAGGTGAAACAATTATCTTATTGTCTTTATTTGGAAGTTAGATGTAGTTTAAAGAGGTGCTTATGGGTGGCTAAGCTGATAAGGAGTAGACTTTTGATGGTTAGTTTTAGGTATCAATCTGACTGGGTTAAGGGATACTTCAATAACTGGTAAAGCATTCTTTCTAGTATCTCTGTAGGTGTTTCCAGAGGAGATTGACATGTGAGTCTGAGCAAGATCTGTTCTCAATGTAAGCGGGCACCATCCAACCAGCTGGCGTCTGGATAGAATTGAGAGAAGGAAAATTCACTCTTCCCCGTGAAACTGGGATACACTATTGTGAAATAAGAATTTCGGGCTCTCTAGCCTTTAGACTCTAGTATTAGTTCAGCAGATCCCCTGGTTCTCAGGCTTTCAGATGTAGACTGAGCCATGCTATCAGCATCCCAGGTCTCCAGCTTGCAGAAAGCCTGTCATAGAACTTCAGACTCTAGTCACATGAACCATGTAAACCTGGGCACGTCCAGAAGTGCCAGATTCAACCCTGCATTGCTAATGTTGCCACAGGGGAAAAACATATCCAACTTGTCTGAATAGGGGATTTTAAAAATACTCAAAGAAAAAATGCAAAGCACCCTGTGGGTTGTCCACTGTTTTGTAAGCACTTGCCCGTGTGAAGAGAATTTGGAAAGGCCATATCTGTTGGAATCCTTCCCTCTGTGCCAGGATTTTAGTCTGCTAGTCTCTTTCAGGGCTACCTGTTCCTACCGTCTTAAATCTTTACAGAAACCCAATTATGTAGTCCTATGTCAGATAGTATATTTATGTGAACCTTCACATGTGGAACTAAAAGCACTTCTCAAATTGATAGAAGATCCCTTGTGAGCTATTAGTTCATTTGCCCAAGTCATCCTTGATGTCCACCTAGCATTAGAATCCCAGGAAAAAAATCATGGAGGTAGCATCGAGGACAAGCCTGGCTGCCTTTGGGGTCTGCTTGGGCATGACAACTAGTCGATGACTGTCATGGAAGGGATGTTAGTGTCTACAACTGGCTAGAACATTCTTATTCATCATGATACTGGAGGTCCATTCATCACAGGCAGCCTGATCATCCCTGTCTTACATAATGGAGAAAAAGGTATCTCCAGAGAAGACATCTAATTGGAGACTCTCCAATATCTTTTACAGTCCTGAAGAAGTCAGACCCTATTAGACCTTGCTTAATTCCCATCTTCCCTTTCCATCAATTATATAGCTAAGTAGGTCATAGGTGACAGTGTATTTCTTCAATAATGCAATAAGATCAGGGCTCATGCAAAGCATTTCTAGCACAGCCTTTGAAAATAAAGCCAGGAACAAACTCAGGCTTAAAAAAAACACAAGACAACAAAAAAACCCAAGGGGTAAAGTCCAAGAAACCAGAAGTCTATGAAGCTAGAAGGGACAAAGCAGTAAGGCATCATCCTTTGCAGCAACGTGGATGGAGCTGGAGGCTATCATCCTAAGCAAATTATACAGGAACAGGAAATCAAATACCACGTGTTCACTTGTAAACAGGAGCTAAGCACTGGGTACACATGGACATAAAGACCGGAACGATAAACACTGGGGACTACTAGGAGAGGGAGCAAGGGATGAAAGGCTACCTATTGGGTACTAGGCTCAGTAGTTGGGTGATAGGACCATATATACTCTACACCCAAGCATCATGAAATATGCCTACATAACGAACTGCACATGTACCCCTGAATCTAAAAAGTTGTAGTGATCTAGTTTTTACTATTTAAGTGTACATTTCTAAGATAGGTAGACATGTTTATGGGGAAGATTAAAATGACTTGTGTTTTTAACATTCTTCATAACATATACCAACCCTTGATCTCTGCAGGAATTAAGAGTTTCTACACTAGTTTGCCAGTAACTTTGCTGAAGGAAATTACAAAAGCATGAATTCCTGAATCTGGGCCCCACACCCAGTAGTAAATAACCAACAAAGACCTATGAATCTAGTAACGAAGTGCAGGGAAGGACCAGGTGGTAGACCACACTGTTTCATTGAGCACAACATCAAGTGGTCACACAGGGTGTTTTTGGTAAACCGTCTTCTGAACCAAGCTTGTCTAAGAAATGGACACAAGACTTAACATTGCCCCTCTTCAGTTTAAAGCCTTCTCTATCTCCTGTTCCCACTGCTGCCCATCTTAGACTGTCCTAATGAACAAAGTCAGCTCCAAGGCCAAGGATAACTTTAGTCTATTTCATATTAATAAGAACTAAACCTGGAACTCATTTCAGGCAGTGACACTATCTGGCCTTCAGAACCTCCTGAATCATCAGCAATCTAGAATATACTCCTGAAAAGCCCAGTGGAGGCTGAGCTCATTTGATAGGCAAGCCATCTCATAGGCTACAATATGTGCATGGCTCCAGATGTCCACTAGTCTTAGTATTGGGAAATTTCTTAGTATTTCTGGGGAGAGGTATGAACCTAGAACCCTAAATCCTCTTTGAAGTACAGAGTCCCATGATGAAACTACGATAAAACATCATTGTTAAGACTCAGAGGTCTAATTCTGAGGCTCGCAGAGGCAAGGTGTTGTGTTTTTAAACCAGAAGACATTTTTCCTTAATTTTACCTATATGAAGAAAACATATGAGCTAGCCCTGAACATGGATAAGGTGTATGCAATTCCAGACATCTATAATAGTTTTATATTAAACAATTAGAGGAAAGCTGAATGTTCCCTCACTATTCCTGAGGAAGTATGTGGTTACTTATAATACTGTGAACCAAAATTCCATGCAAAGGAATGTGCCTGGTCTCCAAGAAAGGCAACTCATTTGCAGCCATTCCCAGGCTGATTGGACACTCAGTGATTTGAAGCCCAAGGGTAGAGCCTCCTCCTGGAACAATGACACCATGATTGTCCTGTTTCATGATGCTGGAGACATGCAGCAGACTCTAAAACATGGTCTGAGGCAATGAGGCATTGAAGCACCTTGATACTTCATTTCCTTGCATTCTCAGTCTTCTACCAAGTTCTCCCATCGACTGGACGCAGAAGACAGCAAGTTGGTACAGTACCTGGAAAATGTATGCTGAAAGTGTGCGCCATGACTGACTAGTCCATTCCTTCACTTCTGTGAGACAGGACCAATAGCCACATCAGTAGATACAGGTAAGCTGCTCAAACTCTGAAGTTCCACCACATACCATTTCAACAGATATTTCCCCATAAAGATGCAGTTCTAAATGAGGCTGGTAAGGGAAGAGAAGCAGCATTTGCTTCCTTGGACTATCTTAGTTTGAATTTAGATTTCAGTTGGGTATAAGAAATAGCCCAAACCCATTATTCAACCTTGAGAATACATTGGGAACCAGTCTTCCTTGTCTGTAACATGAGCAAAACTCAATTGTAAAGAGAGATAGATAACATTAAGTTATGTAACTTGTTATAACTTTGTTCCATGTATTGAAAAGCTATATTTAAGACATACATGGCAAAAATGAGCTAAAACTTTTAGAGATGAAGTCTTCACATATTTTATGTGCATGTAGAAATCAGTGGATGTGAAGATGAGATCGTAGAGGAAGATTATTGAACTTAAGGACAGCAATAGAAAATATCCAAAATGACATGCAGATAAATATACATGAACAGAACAGTAAGTTGCAGGCAAAAGTGGCCTAATACATGTATAAATGGATCACCTGAAGGACAGAGGGAGACATCTGAAAAGACAGTGGCTAAGATTTGATATTGGAAGACAACTGTAAGTCAATATATATTAAGTCAAACCTCTGAAGCACAAAGTGTATCTGAAGCACACATGGGACAAATTAACCGGATCAGTGAAGTGAATCATGGCAGTAGCAAGGACTCTTTAGAGTCCTCGATATCTGCTAGTCAAAAAGTGCCAGTTGGGAGTGTCAATTAGGTGTCCCATGGGAGTTGATGATTTTGACTGATTGATAACCAAGACCAGGCAATCCTGCTAGAGCCTAGGTGAGGAGTAGGTATGACCACCAGCAAGCAACATCAGCACCTCCTGGTTTATAAGCTTCCCACAGAAGTTGTCCTTCCAGGGATCAACAACTTCTACCTCCTTCCAACCCTCATATCACTCCACAGGCTTCAGTTTCATAATCACCAGCTTTGATAATGGAATCTGTGGTCTGGAAACTATCTTATTAGCTCCTTTTGTTGAAAAGAATCACAATATGGGTCTACTTTATAGTATCATTTGCCTGGCTGGTAAACTGCAGCCCCTATCCATGCAAATCCCCCATGGAAACAAGACTTTCCTCTGCTATGAGGAAAGAATACAACTTAGGGGTAGATAGAGAGCCTTCATACTTCCCAGACTCCTGATCCAAGGACTCTTACTACTACCTAGACCACCATTAAACTAAAAACACAATGTTATGGGAAACAGATGATCTTTGGATCCCTCCATTCCTTGTTAAGCCTTGTCTGGAAATTGCCAAGTAGCATCTGGACAGATGTTCTTTGCACCATGGCAAGAAGGCTCTTCCCAAAAAGTCTCCAGAAAATTAGTCTTTACCCATATGGATTCTAATATTTTAGCCTTTACTGGTTGCCTAACTACTGAGTCGTGAGATTGTCCCATCATCTAGGTACTTAAGAGTTGAATCAGCTTCACGTGAACCAACTTGAGAACTGACAAGATACCAGCTGAAATGTATTTTCTATTCACGACGATTCAAGGAGTTTTTCACCTATGCTGCCACCCTCTCAGAGGCACACTTGAGGACAGTTTTGAAAAGGATCAGAAAATAAGATCAACAATGCTTGGCCAGGACATGGAAGATTTCCATGAGTTTCTGACCATATCCTGCAGTAGGGTCATGAGATACTTTGAAGACAAATTGTACAATAAAGGAATATTGTACAGTTTCAGGAATATGAGCCCAGATGGAAAACAGGCCAACAAAATAATCTTTTATGTATCTGGAGGAAGCTGACCCAATCCCAGCCTCCACATGTAGCCAGGGGAAAGAATCACTTTGAGGCCAGCATCTCAGACACAGGCACTGGGGATAACTCCCACCACCACACCCCTATCCTGAGGTGAGCATTGTACATACATGCAGCTGTAGCAATAAGTCAGGTGCTAAGTGAGGTGACACTCAGCTTTAATTGAATATAGGTTTTATAAATGGATCTAGGACAGAAGATCTTTAATGTCTTCATCTCACAGGGAAAGCCAGGAACTACTCAAAGACACAACTCCCTCTGTGTCCTGTCTCCTACATGAGGCACACACAGTGGCCAGGGACAAAAGCCAAGTGCACATAGGTCATCTTGAAACCAGTTTTGGGCTCCATGTCTCACTGATGTCTTACTACTTTCTAGCCACATAGGTACCAGAGCTGCTGGCAACTGTCATTGCCCCTCCAGTCAAGAGTCCCACACATCAGGGGCTGTTTTTATAGGAGTTGGACACTATTCCACATTTATCTTAACTCGAAGCCTGGTAACAAACAGCTGCAAAAGATGAGTGAAGGCAGACTCCAAGTTATTTTCCTAGGCAGGCCCTAATCAGCCGAGACCTGATGAAGACTGTCTTAACAGCTCACATAGAGGGAACATTGTTAAAGGCTCAAATCTGTACTAATCTCTCCTGGACAATGGGATGTCACACTTTGCTTGTTTCCTCTGACATCAAGACTTACATACCTGATGTATTTCACTTTAGCAGAGACTGCTAAGCACTGCCGCTTCTGGCCAGTTCTCAATCACAGAGCACTTGGTGCATATGTGGACTTAGGTTTACATGACCCTTTCATTCTATCTCTTCTGAAATTGCTTCTCTGAGTTGTCTACAGTTCCCTCTTGCTGGCTCCTATGTAATCATGAAGGAACCTCTTCAGTCTGACTTCATTCTTCCTACTATATGAAGTACATCTGAGCTGAGGAAGCTGGCCCTCAAACCCAAGCCTGCACACCTAGCCAAGTAAACCTAGGTAAGTTCAGGAAAGAAAGTGCAAGATTCAACCCTCCACTGTTGGTTTTGCCACAAAAGACAAACATCTAATGTGATAAAGGACTTAAAGGTTTTTTTTTTTCCTTTGCTTTGTTTTCAAAGCATCAGTATTCCATGGGTGTCAGCTTCTCTGAAGGTACTTTCCCAATCTTTACATGATAAACAGGGTAAAGACACTTTTATTAAAGTAACTAGAGCTGTGTCACAGAGTGCCTGATGCTCTAAGCACAGAAATAGTGCTTAGGGCTACTCCTTAGGACTCACTCACACAGGAGTGAAAAGCTTTAGATTGCATGTGGCATGGCTCACACACGTTACTTTGTGCCCATTGAGCCTGTAGACCAAGCTTTGCACCTGGCAGTTTAAGCAACTGTTGACTATACCTCATTGGAAAGATTCCCTAGATTCCCATGAAAGTCCATCATAGGAAAACCTCTATCACACTTCAACTGACTCTTTCAAGTGGTTTCATGGGATTAGCAAGGCCCTTTTACAACATCCCCATTTCCCTACACAGAAAATAAATCAAGATGAGACAGCTCTCTTGCTTTCTTCTAGGGTAGCCTTCTCTGCACTAGCTTGGGTGCCCTTCACCTGGATGTCAAATGTTTGATTTCTGAATATGAAACAATTATGAGAGCAGAAGAGTTACAAGGAGTCATCATGAATATATACACATGCTGGTAGCCTGGGCCACAGACCCTCGAATGCTTTTCTCCAAGACAATTCCTGCTGACACAAGTGAATTAGACTCTCAGGAAAGACTGCTTTTTACGACCCAATAAGAAATATGAAAGAGGTATTCTGGATCACAAATTTAAACAGCCACTTCCATATTTCTATTATTCAGCTTTGAAGGTTGTTTGATTAAAATCACCCTGGGAAAATTAGTCAATACCAAGACCCTTAGCTTAAAAGTTCATTCTGGGCATGAGTTTTCCTCCACAGCACTTAGGCTTGTGTGTCTTTTAACTCAATCACCAGAATATGTACCTCTGTTCGTGATGCCATCCTACAACTCTTCGGCCTTAGTTGTTTCATACTCAAATGCCAACATTTGACATCCAGGTGAAGGATGTCCATGCCAGTGAGAATAAGAGGCTACAGTAGAGGAAGACATCATTTCCTGAAGTCCACGAAGCCTCCAGAGTTTGATTCACACAGGAGACTCGCATGAGAATGAACCAGGGGGAATGGGACCTCCACGCAGCTTGACTAAAATGAAAACATCACCTGTTATTTCTAGAACTACGAGGGATTTTATAGAATTGTCCTTTTTTTATGCAAAGAGTGAAGCCTTTTTTCTAGGATCAGAGACTATTTATTCCTGTGGTTTGTATTTTCTGCCTTCAGGTCAATGTAACTGCATGTGTGCACACAAAACCTGAGTTATGCCCTGTTCATGCAGTCAATAAAACTGTCCTTCCAATTAGCACAGAGTCTACAACAGGTCACCACATATCCAACTCCCACATTGAATCAGGAGTTGCTACCCCCAATATCTATCTGGCTTAGGCTTTAACAGTTTATTTTATCTAAGAAAGTGCCATCAGATCTCTCCCATACTATAAGGTTGTAGGTAAAATGTCAAATAGTCATTTTCTGATCTTCACCGAGGATGCATCCCAAGTCTTTTAGGGCATTCAAAGGAAGAAAAACACAGGTAGTCCTAGGTCATGAAGCATCTCCATAGACAGTTCATCCAGTATGAATATCTGCATCTTTTACAGTGGCCTTTCCATCTGTAGACATCAGTGGGCATTGTCATAAGGGCCACATGGTCCTAGGTAGTGGCATTTTATAAGCATCCTTATTCTCTGGAGAACACAGCTTCAAACAGCTATTGAATGTGATGCACTTGTGGGCATCAGCCTCAGGTTGCAGAATATATCTGAACAGCTTCGCATCTGGGCAGCTGGGGACAGTCCATAGTCCCAGCCGTCCCCAAACTGAGGAAATAAAGATTGATATTCAGGCAGAGGGAACACTGAGTAGATGCAAGAACACAAAGCCATGGGCACAGAGAATAATTTGTCAGAGCAACACCCAGCTTGGACGTGGTTCCAAGCCACATCCGGCTCTTCCACCAAGTCCTCAGTTCCATGCTTCATTTAAGGCCAGCCCTAAACACCAGTGACATCCCTATGTGAATTACCTGTTCCTCACGAAGCTTATGAGCTCAGATTTACCAACTTTGGCTATGTCCCTAGTCGGTGGATTGGCAGATCTAGTGCTGGCTAAGCATGTTGACTTCATCTTGGGGGCAGTCATCTTTGACTAGAGTCAAAGACCCAGTAGCAAACAGGTCCTTCATTTTCAGGCAGTGTGGTCTTCTGATTTGACAGATCACCACGAATCCAACCCAACTTGTGGAAAATCACTCTACATGTTTTTGTTCTATATCCTCATTGAGTAATAGGTCAGTGTTAGGAAGGACTATTGGCTCCAGTCATGAAAAGCCACACTGCTCTGGGTTTGTCACACCAGGCTTTCCTTACACCTATACTGTCCTAGTAGGTCACCTTTAGCCACCTTGTGTCTGAACTCCATCCTTCCTGAAGGAACAAAGGTAAAAGGAGGTAGTCTAGGAAAGCAGCACTTCATTGACATTCCCTGGCACCCCTCAGCATGGAGTTCCTTCCCATAGAGCCTCATGCCCTTTTTCCCTGTAGAGCCAGCTCTTCAGAAAGGCTCCCTCCAGAAAACCCATGTCCTGCCAGACAGGTTGGAAAGGCCAAAGGCTCATTCTAAGGGAGAAACAAGGAAACTGGGATCTGGTCTTTCAGAATCAAGCACCAGAGACGGTTCCAGAGAGCCTTGTCACCCACAATGTCGTGAAGCATTAGAATGTTTTTGATGTTTACTATTTATAAGAAGTTTAAACATGAAAAAAGTCAGTTAAGTTTGTATGTATTTGTAACTCTTCAGAATTTATCAGAACTTTTCTTGCAGAAACTGGAAATACTTCCTACACTGGGGTTAACCAGTAGCCTTGCTGGTGGGTAAGTCATTACAAAAGATGGGATTCCTGAATTTAGACCCCACATTCATTCAACAGTTCTCTTGTTGGCCATTTACTTTTAGTCCAGGTAACAAAGCTGAGACACCCCAGAATGATAGATTACATGTCATAGAATATATAACATACCTAATGGTTGGACAGGGTGTATGCTGGGATTTGAGTAGTCCAAATCAGATTCATCTGACTAGATGAGCACAAGACTAAGCATTGATTGCCCCATTCAGTTTACAGCCTTCCCCGTCCCCTGTTCTCATTACTGTCCGTTTTGGACCATCCTAATGGGCAAAGTTAGGCTCAAGGATAAGTAGAGAATGCAGTCTAATTCCTATTAATGACGAAAACTAGACCTGGAATCTACTTTGGAAAGTGACACTACATGGTATTCAGAACTTCCTGCATCAAATTTAGCATATGCAGCTGAAAGGCACAATGTAGCCAGAATATGTTTTATAGAAAATCCATTTAATATAGAGGACAAGACATATGGCCCCAAATGTAACCCAGAATATCCCACTTGTGGATAATTGGCTGGTATTTTGGAGAGACGTTTGTGATGGTTAATACTGAGTGTCAACTTGATTGAAGGATACAAAGTATTGATGCTGGGTGTTTCTGTGAAGGTGTTGCCAAGAGAGATTAACATTTGAGTGACTGGGCCTGGGAAGGCAGATCCACCCTTAATCTGGTGGGCACAATCTAATCAGCTGCCAGCAAATATAAAGCAGGCAGAAAAATGTGAGAAGGCGATACTGGCCTAGCCTCCCAGCCTACGTCTTTCTCCCATGCTGGACACTTCCTGCCCCTGAACATCAGACTCCAAGTTCTTCAAGTTTTGAGATTCAGACTGGTTCTCCTTGCTCATCAAGCTTGCAGACAGCCTATTGTGGGACCTTGTGATCATATAATAAACTCCCCTTTATGTATCTATCCTATTGGTTCTGTCTTTCTAGAGAACCCTAATACAAAGTTCAAGCCTGGAACCCTATGTTCTCTAATGGTATAGGTAAATCCTGAACAAAAAGCAGACCTGGAGGCATACCACCTGACTTTAAGATGTACAATACAAAGCTATAGTAGCCAAAACAAAGATACTGGCATAAAGACACAGAGAAGACCAATGGAACAGAATAGATAATCCAGAGATAAACACACATGTTTATAGACTTATTGTTGACAAAGTTGCCAAGAACATTGGGACAAACTTCTGAGTAGTGCTGGGAAAACTCAATATCCATATAAATGCTAGATCTCTATTGATCACACCATAAGCAAACACCAAAGCAAAACATGAAGACTTAAATCTAAGACCCAAGACTGTAAAATATTGAGGAAATGCTTCTGAACATTGGTTTGGCAGACTTTTTGGGTAAAACCTCAGCAGCACAGGCAATAAAAGCAAACAAACAGGATTATAGCATGCTAAAGCTTCTGCACAGAGATCAGTGAAAAGGCAACCCACAGAAGACGACTCCACCCCACAGAAGACGACTCCACCCCACAGAAGACGACTCCACCCCACAGAAGACGACTCCACCCCACAGAAGACGACTCCACCCTGTACGGTGAGTACTGCCACAGAAGACAAAATTATGTGGTTAAGTTGCTTTTAAAATAGCTTAAGTCTACCAGATTCTCTCCCAGTTTGTCAGCATTTTGTTGTGTAAGGAGAATTGGGAGAGAGAAAATTGAGGGTCCTTCTGAAACCACAACTTAGTCTATGACAGTCCTCTTCAGGATCTCTGCTCCTCTTCTCCTGAGTCTTTACTTTGAGAGAGAAAGCAGGGTCTATAAACTGGTATTGGTAGTCTGTCTTTATGTGAACCTCAACATATAAAACTAGTTGAAGCCCTTTCTATATCTATGAAGCCTTCTCCAGAATTTCAGTCCTGCTCCTTCACTACCACAGATCTTGTCCTGTGAGTTCAGTGTTGAAAACTCCAAGTAATATGAGGCAACTTCAAGGTCAGACCTGGTTGCCCTTTCTGAACCACACAGGGACCTACAACTGGCTGTGACAACTCCTGGATGGGAGACTGCTATTAACCAAGACTTTCATTATATGTGATGGATACTTATGACATTTATATCCATCTTGAGTGTCCCTGCTTGAACTTAAAATTCATCTCCAGAGCGGATATTACACGGGTGACACCTAAAGCCTTCCACTTCTAAAGTCAGATCCTGAACTTCCTAGCACTCCTTTGTAGTTAAGACCTAGGTGGAAACAAATCGTTTTTCTCCATTCGCAATGACAGGAGAGCTCATGTAAACAGGATGTTCTAGCATATGCAATAGCTTTGGAACACAAAACATGGAGCAAAACCTCAGGCTTCTCCACAGAGGTCCCAGCTCTCAGATCTAAGCTGAGAAGAGAAAAGCAGTTAATTAATGCTGGCCACCTGTGCTTAGCCAGAGATTATACATTGATCAGACCCTTAGTAGGGAACAAGTAGATGCACACTAATGTAAGGCTTTAGGTAATGTGTGACATTGCTCATGCACACCACCTGCTGCCCACTGAGCCCATAGAACAAACTTAGCACCCAACAGTGAAACTCTAACTCTTCATCCTTTCAATGGCTGGAATGATTTTGTATATTTGTAAGTGTTCGACATCCAGGAAAACCTCAGTGGTATCTCATCGGACTTGTCTTCCAATTTTTCTCATGGGGCCAGGCATGGTGGCTCACACCTGTAATCCCAGTACTTTGGGAGGCTGAGGCAGGTGGATCACCTGAGGTCAGGAGTTCAAGACCAGCCTGGCCAACATGGTGAAACTTGGTTTTACCAAACCCCATCTCTACTCAAAACAAAGATTAGCCGGGTGTGTTGGTGCACACTTGTAATCCCAGCTACTTGAGGAGAATCGTTTGAACCCAGGAGGTGGAGGTTGCAGTAAGCTGAGATTGCACCACTGCACTCCACTCTGGGCAACAGAGCAAGACTCCATCTAATTAACACACACACACACACACACACACACACACACACAATTTGTCTCATGAATATCACAAGTCTTCTTTAACATGCCCATTTCCTAAAAACTCAGATTTCAGGATAAAGGTTTAGGAACTTTCTTTTGCCTTCCAGCCTCCAGCTCCTTGAATATTCCATCGGAGGCTTAATATGGTGATACAACTCAGCTATACAAAGGTACACAGAAAAATGTCATAACAGAAGCTGGATGGTTTTTGGGGGTGGAGTGTTCTGAACTGTAACTCTAGTTGTGAACTTCGAGAAAGTTATTTTTAAGACCACCCTGAGAACAAAAGAGCCAACATTCAGATTCTGAGCACAAGAATTCAATGAGGGCATGAGTTTTACCTTCCATAGCACAGGCTCCTGTGACATTGGAGTCGGAAGGACCAGACGATATGTGAGCCTTTCCTATAACCACTTCTGTGTCATCTTGTTTCGTGTTCAGACATCCCCCCAGCAATGGGAGCAAGTTCAAAGGAATCGGGCATGCCAGTGCAGAAGAGGTCACACTAGAAGTTGAAGACAGTTTCTGAAGTCTGAACTTTGCAGAGTTCAATTTCACATGAGACCAAGAACTAGGAAAATAGAACCTTTACACAGCTTGATGAAACGAGTGCATCACCTGCCGTTTCTAGAATGACAGAGGAATTTGATAGAGAAATAGTTTCATTTCTAAGAAGGAACAAACCCTCCTAGATCAGGGACTACCAAATTACTAGGTATGTGTTCATACTGAGTTCTTCTTGCACACGTGTGTGTGCATATGATCAGAGATACACTGTCCCCATAGAGCCATTGGAAGTCTCTTGGCCTTGCAGTTAGTTCAGGGCATTTATAACAGCTTATCCCATATTCCCCATATTCAACACCAACTTGAACCAGAAGAGGTGCTGTCAAGCCTATCACAATCTGGCACAATCAATCTGGCTTAAACGGTTCATTTTAACCAAGATACTATTAGGCCTTTTTGCTAGAGTCTATTATGAGGAATAGGTAAAATGCAAACCAGTGATATTTTAACTTCACTGAGGATGCCCCCAAAGTTTAGGGGATCCGAAGCAGAGTCAGTTTCAGGACATGAAGTATCCCAACGAAAGCCCATTCAGTATAACATCTATAGGCCTTTCCATTTATAGATGTCGTTGGATATTGGAATAGTGGCCTCATCTCCTAGATAATGACGTCAATTCTTGCTCTCCGTTGTGCAAAACAGCTCCAGAATAGTCAATTCTGAGGACCAGGCTTAGATTTCAGCTTTAGCCTATTGATTTGAGCAGAACATCTTCATATCTAGGTGGCCGGAGAAAGTCTATATCCAGCAACCCCCAAATCAGTGAAGAGATTTCCTATGTGCCTGAATATTGTCAAACAGTACGTGCAGAGAACACCAGCCATGGGTATGGACAAGAGTTTCCCAATTTTGAAGTTAGTAAAAGCATGAATGTGGCTTTGAACAAGTCCTCAGTTTTGCCCTGTAGTTAAGGCCAGCATTAAGTTCGAGGGTCCCATCTGTGTGATGATCTTTGTTCTTAGCAAGAATTCAATCACCCCAAATTTTCATTCTGAGTATGCCCTTAGTGGGTAATTTGGCAGATCCAGTGCTTTCTGAGCCAAGTATGTCGATTTCATCTTGGAGGTGCCCATCATTGCCTAGAGTCACAAACAGCTCAGTAGCAGACAGAGCCCTTATTCTCAGGCAGTGTTACTGTCTTCTCATTTGACAGGCGACTACACATTTTCCTTATACTGATAAAGTATTTTTTCTGGGTGTGCCTGAGGATGTTGCCAGAGGAAATTATCATGAGTCAGTGGACTGGGAGAGGAAGATCCACCCTCAATGTGGGTAGGCACCATCCAATCGGCCGCCAGCATGGCTAAAACAAAGCAGGTGGAAGAACGTGGGATAAGCTGGCTTGCCAAGTCTTCCAGCTTTTGTCTTCTTCCCGTGCTGGATGTTTCTGGCTTTTGGACATCAGACTCCAGGTTCTTCAGCCTTTGGACTCCTGGACTTACACCAGTGGTTTGCTGGGGTCTCTCAGGCCTTCTCAGCCACAGACTGAAGGCTACACTGTTGGCTTCCCTGCTTTTGAGGCTCTTGGACTTGGACTGAGCCACTACTGGTTTCCTTCTTCAGCTTGCAGACAGCCCATCATGGGATTTTGCCTTGTGATCATGTGAGTCAATTCACCTTAGTAAACTTCATTATAGACATATCCTATTAGTTCTGTCCCTCTGGAGAACCCTAGTACAGTATGCATTGGAAATGTAATTTTTATCAGTTAGGAAGTCAGTTTTAAAATTTATACACATTTTAGCAACTATTCCTACCATTTGCCAGCCCTGTACCCATGAGAATAAGAAGTGCTACTTTCTACACTGAAGTTTGCCCATATCTGTGTTGAAGGTAAAGTTATTACAAGAACTTAGATTTCTGAGTCTAGACCTCCGCACCCAAGTTATCTATTGGGTTATCTCCTATGGGCCCAGGTAACAACGCTGAAAGACCAGGACAGAAGACGACATCACTTCATTAAACACCATGTCCCATGTGGTCAGACAGGGTATGTGCTGTGGTTTTATTTAACACATTTTGAGCCAGCTTGTCTAGAGACATGGACAAGACTAAGCACTGTCCCCATTCTGTTTGAAGGTTTCTTCCTACCCCATTCTCATTGCCACCCATTGTGATTTGTCCTAACCAACAAAGTCAGGCTCAAGAACAAGGATAAATGAGAACCTTTTTCTATTAAATGATTGAAATTAAACCTGGAGTTTACTTTGGGAGGGGACACTACCTGGTCTTCAGAATCTTCTGATGAAGAGTGGCAATCTAGAACAGTCTTCTGAGAAGCCCAGTGCAGCCCGAGTTCATTTGAATAGGAAGCTATTTTATATGGTTCAGTGTTAATGGCACCAAAAGTCAACTTCCAGGGTTAGAAAGTTGCCTACAGTTTCTGGGGAGAAGTTCAGGCCTAGAACCATATATTTTTAATTCCATAGGTAAAAGAAGTCTCTGAAACTGAAAACACTGCTTGTTCTGTGAACCTATGGATATTGAGTATGACAATGAGTTGTGTTTGTAAACTGAAAGCCATTGTCCTGTAATTTTACTCAGGGGATACAAGAGTTGGCCATGAAGATGGAAAAGGCACATGAATTCTAAGTGTCAAAAAGAATTTCATGTAAACAAGTAATGGGAAGCTGAACACTCCCTCACCCTTCCCTGAGGAAAGATGTAACAACCTGACAATAGAGACCATGGAAATGCAAAGTAGCATGCTTGGTTTCCAAGAGGGAAGACACTTGTGACCATTCCCAGGCTGACTGGGAAATGAGGTTAGCTGGTGTCTTTGAAACACCTGGATAGTCTCCCATTGGAGACTGACACCGTGGTTGTCCGGTCTGATGAAGCTGGGCCCATGGAGCAGACTCAGAATGAGGTCTGAGGCAGTGAGGAGGTGAAACATGTTATTACTTCCCTCCCTCCCATCCTCAGTCTCCTGCAAGCTTCTCCCACTGGCTAGGCCCAGATGAAAGCAAGCTGGTATTGTACCTGGGAAACAGTATGCTGAAAGGTAATGTGCCCCATGATTGACATAAAAGGAATGGAATCAAAGTCAGACAAGATGGATAGCTGCATCATCAGTTAACAGAGGCAAGCTGCTCAGACTCTAAAGTTCTACTGCACACCATTTAAGTAGATATTTACCCATAGAAATGTAGTTCCAAATGAGGCTTGTGAGTGAGGAGAAAGAATCCTTGTTTCTTTGAACTGTTTTAGTTTGACTCTATATGAGATGAGGAAGAGGCCAAACCAACACTCAACCAGGAGAATGCAACAAGAACTGGTATTCCACATGCACCAGGGGAAGGAATAAAAGTTGATTAACAGATACAGGCACAAGGAATATTTAATTGGTTACCTTAGTTGTTATAACTTTATACCACTTAAAACTTTGAGGCACTTTCCTACAGATATGAGTCATGTCATGAGTGTGAGTGGCTAAGTCTTGTTTCCTAGTGGCCATCACATCCTGTGGAAGACTTCAATATTTGGTCATAGCGTTAAGAGCTCTTGGTTTCACAGCCCACAAGCCCTACAAAATGACCTATGAGCATATGGTTATAGGAGTGTTTCATTATCACTGTCTTACGTTCAATAAAACATGCACAATGTAGAAGATGTCTAAATCAAACTTAGGAAGTCTCAACATCTAGGATGACAGTTACAGTGGTTGGGAATAGCAGTAAGCTGGATATTGCAGAGGAATTTATTGAACTTAAGGATAGAATAGAAAATATCCAAGTGAGAAAAATTAGGTATACTGTACATAGGTGAGTTATGGGCAAACTCAGTGGCCTAGTAGATGTGTAAGTGGTGTAACTGAATTAAGACATAATTCTGAGGAGATAATGGGCAAGATTTTTATATTTTAGGACAACTATGAGACATGGAATCAAATCCAAGATGTACAGGATACAAACAAGTTAACTGAATCAATGAAGTGAATCATAAGATTTAGCAGACTCATTTTAGAGTCTTTGATACCTACTATCAGAAAATGCCTGTTCAGTGTAATTCTTAAGGCAGATGATGTTTTAGCTGATTAATAACCAGTAAGACAATCCTATTTCTTAGGTGAGGGGCAAGGATAACCACAACCGCCTATGAACACCACTGGTTTATGAGCTTCCCGTGAAAGGCAAATTGTTTTTCCAGGGGAGAATAACTTCTTTCTCCTCCAACCTTCACACCATGATATTCAGTTTCATAATCACCTTGATAATGGAATCTGTTGGCTGGAGATCTTACTAGCCCCTCGGTTGAAATGAGTCACAATATGGGGTTGTTTTATATAGTCACTTGCTTGGCTGGAAACTTCAGCCCACTATACACACAGCTTTCTCATGGAAACAAGTCTTTGCCAAAAGGAGCAAGGACAGCTCAGGAGCAGAGAGACATCCTGCTTCCCAGGTTCCTGATTCAAGGACTACCACCTATCCTGCCATTAAGCCACAAAACAATATTCTTGAAGATATCAGATGACATCTAGATCTTTCTATTTAAGAATAATTAAGCCCTCTCTGTTAACTCTGGTACCATTTGTTGGGCAAATTTTTCTAGTATTTAGTAAGAGAAGCCTTTTTCCAGAAAAATTTCAAACATGAGACCCACTTCTTCCTTCCAGGTGAACTTTCCCTTTAATCCCTCCTGGTTCTTCTAACTACCAAGTCACGTCCCTGTCCCTTCCACCATTTAAGGTTCTTGTTAAGTGTCGAGTCAACTTAACACAAACCAACTTCAAGGTAACTGGCTGTCAAGAACCAGGAAGAAGGGGGCCAAATGTGGTTTTTATTCAGTCAATTTTGAGAAGTGTTTTGGCTATGATTCATCTGCCTTAAACAGCAAAATCCTCAAAAACCTGGCCAAGAAAATCACCAGGATCAGCAAGGCTTAACCACAACAGGAGTCCCATGAGCTTCTGACCATATCTTACATGAGGGACATTTGATGGTTTTAGGAGATATACAAACACTATTAGAAGGCAAGGTATAAATAAGTTGAAATAGTGAGCATTTTGTGACTATCTGCTCACTTTCAGTTCAAGCGATCATTCAAAGGCATTCATAGGACTTTCTCTCCCCTTCAGTAGTGAAGGCACATGGTTGTGGGTGCAAGTCTCAGGAGACTAATCTCTTTCCAAACTATTTCAGTACATCAGAAGTTATTGTCTAAACATCTAGATCCTGCATAGAGAACAAAAGAGAACCCAATTCCAAGACCATCTGTCTTAGAAGACTTAGGACACCCATAAAACCCTGTAATTTCTGCAGAGTTAGCAAGTTGGCAACTTTAAAGTCACACATTTTAGAAACAGGAGAGGGCAGATGGTCATGTTTATATAAAGAAAGACAATTTCCCACAGGCTCAAGAAAAAGGCAGAATTTAACCTGAATGGAGAAATAGGAAGAATGCTATTTACCATAACAAGTCAGAAGTATGATTGGCTCCTGGTTAGTCACAGGTCTAAAGGTGACTGAATCAGACTGAGTTTTTCTCCAGCACACCACGTATGTTCTATTCCTTCTGTGGAATGGAGAGAGGCCACTCACTGCCACTGGGATGGGGAGTCATGGCACAGTCCAGGATACAGAACTGCACAGCTCAGAAATGTGGGCATGATGTTGACTTCGAGAGCCCTTGGCTGTCCCTCTAATGGCCACTGTGGATCAAGCTCTGAGACCCTAACAGCTTGTTTCACAGCTCCCTGGTGACACTAGTCACAGCCTAGACTAGGACCAACTCAGCAATGGGACTCATCCTAAGATGAGCTCAAATACTTTGAAAAAACTTCGTGTCTGGTAGCAGAAGATGAGATGTGGACTCTCTCGGAGAAGGGAGGGTAGTCTACTTTTTGTTTACCCTGAGTCCTTGTTCTGAGTGGTGGATCTTGCTCAATTCAGATTTGATTATATCACGTGGCAGATTCAGGTCACACGATGACCAGGAGCTACAAGTAAATCAGCACTTACATTGGAGGACCAAGTGCAGGAAGTAGAGTACACAGTAGGTCCTCCCCTTGCCCCATTGGCAGGTTATGGTAGCAGTCTCACCATAACACAGAATGTGGAACTATTTTGGGTAAGATAAGACATCTCATCTCTAGCTGGTCACTCGGGGATCCTGCACTCATGGCTGGATTGTGATCTTGACAGATCTCACCCCCACCCCTAGACACTGATGTACTTGGCCCTAGGAGAGCAGAATCTGGTAGCATCTGGCTCCTGTTCACTCAGCACATGAAGTCCCTGTACATGCCAACATCCGATACTGTGATCAGTGGCTTTTTAAAGATCCTAGGGCTTCAGCAATATGAAGTGCAGGCCAAAGTTCTGGTGAATTCACAAGGCCCAACTTATGATGGACGCAGTTATTACATACTAAGGCCCCACCCTGACCAAGATAATGCTGAGGTAGGTCCCCAGTGTATCCTGAAGTTTAAGTGAGATGGACCTCCAGATGCATTGAATGGTAACTTGTTTACCTCAAAGTCTCACTTACCCACCGCCCTACAGATGCTCATGGGATCATCTCCCGTATCAACTTACATACCTATCCTCACCCTCAGGTTCTGCTTTATTAGTCAGCTTGACAGATGAGAACATAACTTGACCTGGAACTCAAGAGCAAGATGGGATTCAGGAATTGACCACAAGGTCCTAATTTGCTGGTTGTTGAGTGCAGTAGCAATACACCACTGCCACCCCTCATGTTCCAACATCACAATTCCCAAGACCCTCTAGGGAGGGGGGATTGGGACATGGTGCAGGCCAGGCAATATGCTGGTTTATATAAGGGCTCAGACACCATGTTGCATGGTATTTCCAGCAACAAGACAGAAAGGAAGGTGTTGCAGGGTGTTTCAGATGCACAGTATTTATTCTGGAGCTCTGTGATATGTTGATGGAAGCTTTAGCTGGACTTGCACCACAGTTCAACATCTCCTAAACAATCTTGCTTTCTCCTCCCATTCACTGACATTATCCCTGATCAACCTATCAACTCCTCAAACTCGGCATGTCCCTATATGCTGAGAATAGTTTAAACAGTGAAACTTACCATGTGTCAGCTTTGTGTCATAAGGCTTTAAAAATGGAATCCTTGTTGTAGTTCTCTGTGGGCACCCAGAAGAGATGGCAGAACATTGCTAGTCTGTTCAAATGGTCTGATAAGATCCAGGTTGTGTTTTCCCTCCCAGTGGCTTCAGAAGTGAGCTTTTCCAGCGATACCTTGGGAAAGGCTCATGGACCTCCCTGCCTCAGCATCTCAGAAGCCTGAGATAGGTTGGTCCAACCACTGGGAAGGCTTATCTCCTACGTCTCATGCCATGGGCCGTGATCCCCACATTTGATGTAAATTCTCGGGCTGTGTGATGGTTGATACTGAGTGTCAACTTGATTGGATTGAGGGATGCAAAGTAGTGTTCCTGGGTGTGTCTGTGAGGGTGTTGCCAAAGGAGATTAACATTTCAGTCAGTGGACTGGAAGAGGCAGACCCCACCCCTCAATCTGGGTACCATTTGATCAGCTGCTCTCACAGCTAGAATAAAGTTGCCAGGAGAAGATGGAAGAAGACTTGCTGAGTCTTCTGGCCTTCATCTTTCTCCCTTGCTGGATGCTTCCTGTCCCCAAAACATCAGACTCCAAGTTCTTTGGCTTTTGGACCCTTGGACCTACACCTGTGGTTTTTTCAGGGGCTCTTGAGCCTTCAGCCACAGACTGAAGGGCTGCACTGTTGGCTTCCCTACTTTTGAGGTTTTGTGACTCAGACTGATCCACCACTGGCTTCCTTGTTCAACTTGCAGACAGCCTATTGTGAACTTTACCTTGTGATCATGTGAGTTAGTTCCCTTTAATGAACTCACTCTCATATACGTATATTCTATTAGTTCTCTCCTTGTAGAGAATCCTAATACAGCCTCTCATCCTATGTCCAAGTCAATTTGACCTGCCCAAAGCTTGTTTGGAGGCCACGTAAAATTCTAGCTTCTCTAACCATTTTTCCAAGTCACCCCGTTTTCTTCCCCCTCTGGTCACAATCTTGTGATTGTTTCAGCCACCCTCACCCACTAATCCTTCAGCTATCCATCTCCAGGGTTTGATAATGTATTTAATTTTAGGACCTAGAGAACATTCTCTTGAATTTGGATCTGCAGATTTGAGATACTAGTATCTAGGCAGGTCATAATAACCCACAATTTCCTAATGATCTAGTGCCAGCTAATTCTGTAAAGACCTCAAAGACACGGGACCAGCATAACAACTTTTTAACAGACATCCAGATTAGCTGGTCTTTTCAAAAAAAAAAAAAAAAAAAAGATACTTAGAGTGATAAAAGCTGATGGTGTAGAGTGAGTCCCTAGTGTCACTCAAAAAGGTTTTCAGATTATACAAAAACAAGCAAGCTCCTGGAGCCAGGGTGTTACCTTCATTCCAAGGTGGCCTGAGAAGTCTTACAACAACCTTTGCGTTTACTTCCAGAGATCCAGAGAAGAATTAGAACAGTTACTGTTTTTTTTTTTTTTTTTTTTTTTTTGGTAAGGAAGCTCTCCCATTTTTCTCCTCTCCTTGACTCATTATTAGGCAGTCACCAGCTCAGTGGCAGGTAGACATCTCAAAGTCCCTCAGTCTTCACCCTTGGGGTCTGAGATGGTTTGGCTGGGTGTCCCCACCCAGATCTCAACTTGTAGCTCCCATAATTCCCACATGTTGTGCGAGGGACCCCAAGGGAGATGATTGAATCATGGGGACATGTCTTTCCCATGCTGTTCTCATGATAGTGAATGGGTCTCAGGATCTGATGGTTTTAAGAACAGGAGTCTCCCTGCACAGGCTCTTTGCCTCCTGCCATCCATGTAAGATGTAAACTTGCTCCTCTTCTTGCCTTCTGCCATGATTGTGAGGCATCCCCCAGCCATGTGGAACTGTAAGTCCAATTAAAACTTTCTTTTGTAAATTGACCAGTCTCAGGTACGTCTATCTGCAGCATGAAAATGGACTAATATAGGGTCTATTATCATTTATGGCAAAGTGAATGTTTAACCTTCTTGAGAGTTATCTAGCTTTTAAGATTATCGAATGGATCAGGCATTCACTTCACTCTAGCTTTACTACTTCACATTTGTATTAATTTTAGACGTTTGAAGAGATTTTTGGACATTCAAAATGCAACTGCCACATATTTCCAAGTGATTTAATAGACTTTCAATGGTGCTACAGATCCCTGCATGATTTACCTGGAGAAGACAGTTGGAGAACTTCCAGTTCCTTCAGATTCACACCTTCAGACAAGAGGGTAATGGTTACCGTGGCAAGTCTCTCTCATACCAAAGTCACTAGTCCTGCCTCTTCCTAAGGCTACATTGTTCTTTCAACATCCATTTCTACCTTCTCAGAGTGGCCTCAAGTTCTATTAACAGAAAAAGTTATCCAGACTAACCTAGGAAGTCCTGGTTTTGTGGGAGTCATAACTATTGCCTGTCTCACTCTGGGGATGAAATTCAATGGGCCTGTATTCAAGGGGGGCAAGGTAAGAGATACCTTAAGTCGACTTCCTGACTGTTCTAGAGGTCTGAGCTCTACCTGAGCCCCATTCAACACAGCTTCCCCTGTGATTTCTGCTTTTAGGTCTCTTGTCTAAATGTTGGCCTGGTACTTTTGTGCTCCAGATATTGGAGTGTTTTTGTACTCTAAATTTGGACTTAGTTTAACTCATTACCCTAGATTCCTCTCATCTTCCAAATCACTAAGTCATTTACCTGTACCCACAATAGTTGTACCACAACTCGTTTTATGAAGTTCTTACCTACTATTTCTACTTTGTATATTTGCTGCTTTATGGTCTCTTCCCATGTTGCCATGAATATACAGATCTTCCCTGTGGCAAAGTCTTATTTGTTCGATGTCTAGAGGCATTTAGATCCCTGGTCCTGCCAGAAGTTTCCTGAAAGAATATGCAAGCTGAGCATATCTGCTTTGGGTGATGCACCCCTGTGCTTTGAGATTAGGGTTAGCTTTCTCACACCTCTGAATTCTAGCAATTGTATTCCCATACTAGAACAGGCAATATTAGCAACCCCAATAATAGTTCCCACCAACTACGGATTTAAGAAATATGAGGCTCAGGAGAATGTCATCCCTTTGAAGTCATGGTGACAAGGTAGTGGCTAGCAATAAAAATATGAACATTAACTTGAGATTACCTTCAGAAATAACTTAAGCCTGTTGGAGTACACAAGTGTTCTCAGACTTTAGAATATGCAGCAGTCCAGGACAATGATGGTATGGGTTCTCTTGTGTAAAGCTTCTCAGCTTACAGGACAGTCTACAAGAACTTCTATAAGATCCCCAGAGGACTCTAGGATTATAATCCAGGTTTCCCTACTATATACAAATCCTTAGCTAATTGGCTGAGCTGCTTTAAGCTAGAGTCAAAGATTATACACATTCAAAAAAAAATTACTCCAAAGTTATCCCTAAAACTATTTGTCTATTTCTCCTATCCAATAGGGTACAGTCTATTGGATGATAGCAATTGCTCTGTAATACTGATGTCTCAGTGGGAGACCTGCATAGAGATCAGGAATGTTGGAAGTAAGGCCAGCAGTCAGTTTTGTCTTCTACTTACTCATCTGAATTGCCAGGCAATTACACATATTCAAGATCATTCTATAGGAGACTAGTCTACATTTTGTATCAGAAGCTATCTAGTTTCTCCTGAAGCAGTTTCATGGGAACCCTTCTCAAGACATGGAAGATGACAAATCCTGGAGGTTCCTCTTAATTCTGGGAATCTTACAAGTCAGGCTCCCTATGTGCCACTAGATGCCACATTCAGCCTGTTCTTGTAAGGGTAAAGTGACACTTAAATCTTGACTATATAGTATTTCCAAAGTCAAACCCCTAAATTCAATATCTCTAACTGCCCCACATCCCAAGAACTGGCCACCTACTAGATGTTTTGCATGTATTTATCCCGAGACAAACACTCCTAGTTCTGCAAGTGGAGATTCAGCTCAGGGCCCCAGAGTCCCTTGCTACTCGGAGCTTTTGTCACGTCTTTGTTACTGGCATAAGCCCAGTTCCTCACCCCTTAACACCCTGTTTATGGATAACCTTTAGACTGTCAGACCTACAGGATTTCTTCAGGTATAACAACTTTCTTACCCTACCCTAAACTCACAAGAGGATTCCTGACCCTCACCCTCATTCTACACTCTGCAAGTGTGCTGTGCCTTTGGGCTGTCAGTCTTGTCTCTAGCTTCACATATTTAGCAGCATTTAGACTTCCGTCTGCTCCACTAGCAATCGTAAGTAGTTGAGGATTTTGGTGTAGATCCAATCCAATTGCTTGGGCTCCAGAAGTTATCTTTTGGCCTGGCTATGCCACTGTCCTCACAGGCAGGCTAAAATGTTGTTAGCCAGTATCCAAAGATCATCCTACTCTTGAAGATTAACTCAATGGATGAGATCAAAGCAGAAGAGGTATCTTAGGAGATGAAATTGGTGATGTAAAAGTAAAAAGCAAGTGAAAAGATACAGAAACAGCATGGTATGGGCATGCAAAGAGGCCTGATGTGTGGTTTCAGAAGGAAGTTAGGGGAGAAGCATACTCAAGATAACAATAGCACTTTCTCTAAAAGATAGGATGCTTACTAACTGCTACCTTCAACAAGAGTATTTCCATTTCAGTTTAACAAGAGACTAGAACACAAGCCTTACTCGAGCAGGTTCATCATACCCCACCTATTCAACCCAAATCAGTTAGATCCTAAAGAGTATACCTGGACATATCAGAAGCTAGGACTCTCATCTTCATATTAGAAGAATTTAGCTCCTTCCAGTTCAACTGGGATGCAGCCAGGGGAGTTTCAGGGCTCTACCTCACTGATTCTGGCACTAGGATAGCATAAAACTACACAGCTGGAGAACACCAATTCATGTTCATGCCATGAGCACCTGCTCAAAACAGGAACAAGCTCCAGGGTAGCTAAGCATCCTGGCATTCAATTTCAGCAATGTTTCCAGGGATTTGAATACTTCCTGCCTTTTAAGGAGAGGAAATGGCTTTAAGAATTGCACAAACATTGGTCACCCCAAATCTACTTTTTAGGATCATCTGAAAACTAAGCCACTTATAAAATTGAAGATCAATTTTGAGGTTCAATTCCGGGCACATGGTGCTCAGGAGTTTCCTCAGAGGAACGTCAAGTACCACTAAAAACTAGGAACTTCAGGAAGAATTGTTAGAATTTGGGATTCTGAGACAGGAGAGATGCTTGCAGGACAGATTATCCCTCTCAAGGAGGCACATCCTGCCACCACCCAGGTGGTGGAGAAATAAACAGGGTAGGAGAAATAGACAAAGCTTTAGGGATAACTTTGGAATTTTTTTTTAGAATGTGTATGATCTGACTCTAGCTTAAAGCAGAGCTCAGCCAATTAGCTAAGGATTTGTGTATAGTAGGGAAACCTTGATTGTAATTCGAGTTCTTCTCTGCATTCCTTCCATCCGTAGGTGGCAAACTCTATATTGAGTAGGAGCACATAAGCTCCCAACTCAGAGCTTGAGATCTAGACTTCTGCAGTACTTCCCAATTGCAGCATCCTGGTAAGATGGCCTTACTAACCTCATCCATCTGTTCCTCATTCTCCTTTTATCTTTTGCATCTCATTGTCTCCTACTCTGCATCAAGGATGGTGGCAGGAAGAACAGTCAACATTCCATTAAGAGTGGGAAAGTGCTACCATACCATAGAAATGCAAGTCACTTCCACACTGGCTGCTGCTCCTTTGTGCTATTTTTCTGAGAACAGATGCTGTAGGATGACCATGTGCACATAAACAGGAATCCCAAGGCAGGGCTTTGGAGTAAGACACCACTAGAACAGGAGGTGTTATGGTAGCCACTGGCATGAGGGAGCCAATTTGGGAGGATGGGGCTGATGAAACATACAAGACTACAATGTGCACCAAAGAGATGAAAAACCTCCAAGTTTAGGAGAAGCACCTAGAAGGGCCAAGAAAAGGAGTGGTAAGGCACTCATTCTTCCTGCATGTGTCTTATCTTGATTTATCATGAGACTGTCTTGATGGTTCTGTGCCCCAGGCCTTGAACAGTGCCTGCGTCTCCTAGGCACTAGAGTTAGCAGAGGGAAGAACTCGCAATGCAGTGTCCAGGAAACAGGTGGCTGGACTGCGAGGCCCTGTGTCAGAGGCCAAGCTATACATTTCCCACATGGGTCTGACTCATTTCAGGATGCAAGAACAGGGCTTACAAGCCTTTAACTCTACATTCTAGCCAGTAGTACCCCGCCCCCGCCGACCATAAGATACCAGCTTTTGGATTAGGAGAAGGGGAGACAAAAGCAGGCCCTGTGGCAATGCATGTCCCAGGAGGGGCCACTGGGGTGTGCAGCTATAACATTGAGTAGGATGGGGAGGGCTCAGTCTGAGGACATGCAGGCCTCCACGGTAGTGTAGCTGCAGAAACCTGGATGCTGGCCATGGAAGCCCAGAAGAGCCTCAGAACTGTTTCTAGGACCTTAATGTCTGTGTGAGCTGGTAGCTTTTCTCTGTGGAGCAGGCTGAAAGGATAAGACAGGCCACTTAGGCCGCGTTCCCCAAAAGCAATTTACCATGAGAACATGTCTTAGTACACTCACTCACACCGTCTCGGAGGAGCCTCCAGTCAGCGCTGCCTTGCTGGGTTTACAGGACAATTAGGAGCCTGAGCTAAGGATGAAGGTTAAATGGAAGCAGGAAATAAGACTTTGTTTACAGGTAGGCAATCACCAGAGGCACTAGACTGGATCAGAAATAAAGGGTTGAATCCTCCACGCCAAAAACTACTTTGGTTGTTTGAGTAAAATCCAACCAGAAAATCCAGTCACCTTTTTTCTAAGACAGAAATACTGTGCTTAACACAGAAGGTGAAAGTGTATGGTAGCATTTCATTAGCAGACTCCTCGCAAGTACTGGGATTATGGCCACCTGCCTGATGGAGATTCACTACAGAATATTGGAAGCAAGAAGATTACTTTTGCTAGGTCAAGATTCTAGTTGTCCAGAATGCAGTTTCTGCCGTACAGTTTTATAGGTAATGAGCATTACTGAAAGACGCAGTAAGCCTTGCAATACTGCACCATACGGGAAGGCTTGCCAAATCCAACATCAGTATAGGTTTAGGCAAGAGGACCAGAGCACTTTGGGGCCCAGGGACAGAAGGCATGTGCCATTCTATTTAATGAATTAGAGGATTTCAGCTGCAAGAGTTTGAAGGGATAGCAAAGTTCACTACTACCTTCACACGCTTACAGGTCTCCCTTGTAATCTTCATGTCCCATCCAGTTAGTGTGGTCTAACTTGTAAGGAGATGCTTGCAAGAACCACAACCTTGCTTTAAAGACCAAAAGTTCTCTAAGTGGCCTGCACCTCTCAGTTCTAGGGGCACTTGCCACGTTAAAGGTCATTTGGCTTCCACAGCTGACGGGCTACCACTTTTCCAGCTTAACAAGCTCATTTTACCTTTTGTATAAAATCCATGCAGAGGTTTAGTTTGAACAGGCCCCAGGCTCCAGTCATTTTGAACTATAACAGGTGTCAAGATACCCGGTACTGATTGGGCACAGGGATGTCAGCTGCCATCCATTATGCAGGAGAAGATGTCATAAAATTCAATTTCCTTGATTTTTTTCCAGTTGAGTCATTACTTTCTGTTTAACCCAACACTTGGAGCAGTCTATTCTTGTTTACTAAACAAAGGAAAAGCTAGAAAGATCTTTCCTGTGGGGACCCTTCAGTTTTGCACAAACTGTCCTTCCTTACTTCCCCAAATCCAGTTTCACAAGCTCCCTGCAGCAGCCTCAGGGACCCAACTCCCCAGCCTTTTCATGGTGAGTTGAAGCTTCAAGATTTTGGTTTATTTCTAAACTGCTAGAAGAGACTAGGTCTTCACTGCCTCTTAAGAGGTAGCCTGAACTTCCTATATACAGTTCTCAGGGTCCTTTTCTTAAAGGGAAAAAGGGGCTTCCAAGGAAAGGAGGTACTCTGATGATTCCAGAGGTATATCTCCTGTGGAGCTAGCGCACTTCTGAGAGACCAGAGGTTTTCATATCTGCCCCCTTCAGGGTCATGGTGACACAGGGGAACAGGTGGAAACAACTAGAGAAGGCCTGAGGAGGAAATGGTTTGAGGGAGACCATTAGGAAGAGGCAACTTTGCCTTAATAATCATGAAAGCTCACCATTTCTGATCTTTCTGGAAGTCCACTCAACCCCTGCAGAGCCAGGCATGCTCCAGAGCTCCCAAGACCCTGGTGAGAAAAGGGGCCACCCACCCAGGCTGCCTTGTAAACCACGACCCACCCACATGAGAAGGGCTGCCTCAGGCTTCTTATCGACCCACTTGCTCCTCCCCCATACTTAACAGGAACAGTGCCCACCTAGCCTCGAATGCATTCTTGAGCTCCCTCTGCTGGAGCAGCTGGTGCCTTTTGGGTCATCAACAAGGATATTGACAACCACCTTAGAAACGAAAGACGAGGGAACAGGTCAACAGCTCACATCTTATTGCAATAAGCAGAGCGGCTCCTTCCTGGGTGTAGTCCTGACATTCCTGCGAGCCCTCAGGGGCCGATCCTGAAGACACGCTGGCACCTCTACACTCCTTTAAGAGGTAGTACTTCTGGTCCTCCATGGACAGAGCATGCATCTCCTGGGGTGCCACCAGGACATAGCAGATGTTTGCCTGGGCCACCCCCCTTGCTCCAAATACAGTGCAGGATGTTGCAATTTCATCACCTGAGCTACACACCTGTGCTGAAGCTGCAACTTGAGATCCTACACTACCCACCCAGGCTCCAGCAACAGGCCCTTAAGTTCTAAGATTGAATCCCTAAAGCCCTGAGAGGCTCTAGGTGAGCCAAGGCATCTATGCACTCAAGAGGACGCACTGCAGTTTGGCATCAGTAGCCAGCAGCATATCCTTATGAGTTCTGACACCTTTGAGGTGTAGAGGAAGGAAGAGGAACCAGGGCTGGGAAGTGGAAGAGGCAAGGTCTGACAGCCGGCAGAGGGAGAGTGCACCACCTTTGCTTTCAGGTGAGCAAAGAGACTAGGTTTTCACTGCCTCTTAAGAGGTAGCCTGAACTTCCTATATACAGTTCTCAGGGTCCTTTTCTTAAAGGGAAAAAGGGGCTTCCAAAGAAAGGAGGTACTCTGATGATTCCAGAGGTATATCCCGTGGAGCCAGCGCACTTCTGAGAGACCGGAGGTCTCTCAGACCTTGCCCCTGATGCCCAGTGAGTGCACAGGGAAAGCCCCTGCCTCCCCAAGGCCTCCCTCCTCTCCATGCCCCGTCTCTGATTATACTTTCTCAGAAAACATCTGTGTTTAACTTTCTACAGGCCAAATCCAATAAAGGAGAGCCTCTCAGGGCTTTAGGGATTCATTCTCAAAACTGTGTGAAGGAAGAACAATTTTGGACTTTGATGAGCAGACGTATACACATTTTAATTAGAAACATTTCATAAGAGAACATATTAGTGAGTAACTAAATGGGCAGCTCAAAGTTTTAAGTTTCACTGCGCACTAAGGAGTATTTATGATGCACCAGCATAAGTCCCTCACTGGTTTGGGAATCCCTGTTTGGCTTAAGAAGTGTTCCAAGACCATGGAATACTGTGGAGCTATAATGAAGAATGGAGTCATGTCTTTCCCAGTGGAACTGGGAACTTATCCTAAGTGATAGTTCCAACATGGAATTGAAGACTTATCCTAAGTGAAATTTATCTTATGTTTGATTTAGAAACAAATGCCTCATTCTAGTGGGAGCTAAACAGTAGGTACACATGAACAGGGAAATAGACAATGGGGATTTTGAGAGGGGGTGTGGATTGAAAAGTTACCAATGGGGTACACTGTTCACTATTTGGGTGATAGGCATGCCAGAAGCCTAGATCTCACCATTACATGATGTGTCCACATGACCGGTCTGTTGCTATGCCCCCCAAGTCTATAAAAATGTGATCTAGAAGCGCTGGTGTCCTAGACAGGACAATGAGGAGCAGGCAAGCTCACGTAGACAAGAATGCTGAAGTCAGAAGTGATTGGGAGGCTTCCAATTTAGCACAAGGGAAAGGAATTGGAGTGGACTAGGTCCCTGAGCATGACATGACATCAGACGATAGACGTAGTTACAGTGGGATCTTCTCTACATAAGATGCAGGCTTGGGAGAGCCTAGAAAACCTTCCACAACAGTTCTCTAAAACATACCCCAAGGGCCACTTTGAGCTTCTCTGCCTTTGTGGTTTACCATCATGACCAATGGTCAGATATGATCTGTGGAAGCTGTTGGCTGTTCTTAGGGCAGCATTTCACCTGGTTTCACTTACAATGCCTTTCCCAAAAGGAGAGGAAGCAGCAGTTACCTGGAATGTCTTAACACATGGCTCACTCGAGTTGTCTCAGAGGCCTCCACATTCAGCCTGCTGGATTATTTGCAGGTGAGCAATTAGAAACCTGAGCTATGAATAAGATTGATGGTGATGCTGGGAGTTAAGAATTGCTGTTTACAAGCAGGTAATTAAAGGAATCAGATTCAGTCAGAAACACCAGGGAAGAATCGCTCTGCCCACAAAGTTTCTTTTGTTGCTTTGAGTAAATTCCAACTGGCAAACCCAGATTCCACCTTTCTTAAACAGCATACTGTGCTTAACAAGTAAGGAGAAACAGAAGTATAGTAGCATTTTGTTAATAAACTCCTCGGTTACAGGGGTCACAGCACCTGCCTAGTGGAGACTATGCTATAGGATATTGGAAGTAATGAGAAATGGAGACTTGTTTCCCCCTACCCCCTATTGCTGCATCAAGATTCTGGATGTCCAAAATGTCGTTCATGGCATACTGTCTCACAGGGCTAGTGAACGTTATTAGAGTCATGTGAAGTAAATATTTGCTAGATCTGCTGTTAGTGTAGAACTAGGCAACGTGACCAAAGCACTTTGGCTCCTAGGCTGATGTTGAATGGGATAGCAAATGCCTTCTGTTAAGGAATCCTAAGGTTTTAGTTGCAAGCGTGAGGGACCAGCAGAGTCCTTAGCAGCCCCCTGCACACCCACAGGTGGCCCTTGTAAGCTTAATATAAATCCATAGTTAAATGCCTCCTTACAGTGGAGGCCACACAGAGTAACGCATGTCTTAAGGACTGAAATACTCCAGGGGGCCTGCTGTTCAGTTCTATGGGCATCTGCCATGGGAGAAGGCATTTAGCTTTTATGGTCAATTGCTGCCACGTTGGTGGCTGAACTTAAAGCTCATTTGACTTCCTTAGCACAAGTTTATGTAAAGGTTTAGCTTCAGAAGGCTCCAATACCTAATCATTTAGTCCTCAATGACAACAGGTGTCATACAAAATAAGAATCAGAAGATAACACCTGGTGCCTATTGGGCACGGGGATGGCAGTTACCATCCCATCTTGCAGAAGACAGCATGAAATTCAGTATTGTCCTGTGTTCCAGATGAAGACAGAATCATTTTGACTCATTTTCATTTAACTCAGTAGTTCTTTCAGAGACAACCCAACCCTGCATGCTTCTAAGCTAAACATAGAACTTTAGAGAAGATCTTCCCTATTAGGAACTTCCAGCTCTGCAAAAAACTGCCTTCCATTCTGCTTCCCAAATCCTGTTCCTCCAGCAACCATGGGGGCCCCCACACTATACTGCTTAGGAATTGAGGCTTCCTGAGACCTCTGTCCACTTCTCTTAAAGTGTGATTAGAGACTAGATCTTCATTGCCTTTTTAAGGTGACCCAAACTTCCCACAGGCAGTTCTCAAGGTCTTTTTCCCAAAGGGAAAGGGGGGCTTCTGAGGAAAAAAGAATATCTTTGAAGATTCCAGAAGTAGGTCATATGGAGCCAGTGCACTTCTGAGAGGCTGGCAAGAGGCTTCCATGTCTGTCCCTTGAGGGTCACAGTGAGACATGGGAGCAGGTGAGAACAGCCAGAGAGAGAAGACCCCGAGGAGGGGTTGGGCAGAGAGCGAGCATTAGGAAGAAGGAAGCAACTTTGCCTTAATAGAAAGGGAATCATGAAAGCCCACAATTCCTGATCTCCCCAGAAGTCCACCCACCTCCCGCAGAGCCATTCATGCTCCAGAGCGCCCAAACCCTGGCAGGTAAAGGGGAACCACCCACGCAGGCTCCCTTGTAAGCCGTGACCCACCCGGATAAGAAGGGCTGCCTCAGGCTTCTTATAGACCCTCTTGCTCCTCCCCCACACTTAACAGGAACAGTGCCCACCTGGCCTAGAGTGTATTCTTGATCTCCCTCTGCTGGGGCAGCTGGGGCATTTTGGGTCCTCAGAAGGATATTGACTTTGGTTCACGTGGAGAGTAAAGGGAACCAGTTAACAGCTTAGCAGCTTTTTTCAATGACCAAAGCATTCATTAGGGAAACGTGTTCCCTTATAGAACAGATTTAAAAAGTGGTTCATTCTTTTCATGTTGGATGGGGGTTGACAGAACAAACAACATCACCTTATTTCAAGGGAAAACCCTTCATATGTGGGATTGGTATATGAACTTGGGCTAAGACGACTGCATTTGATGGTGTTATATGACCACACTCCAGTAAGTTCTCAGGAACTTTGCTAAGATATCTATTGCTATTTGGAAATTACCTTTAAATATGCAATGCCTCTTCAAAAGTATTGACAATTCCCACACCTTTCAATTCAAGCTGTCTTTACCTTGTTAGTCAAGGTAATGTACCCATGAAATTTTTATGTTATAAATTCTCTTGGAGTAGACAGCTGGATATATTAGTGGCACTTCTTATTCAACAGTTTAACATGGATTTTATTTTTAAATTATCATTGAGGTGTTAAAATTAATCCACTTTTTCATTTCTAATAGATATAACCATCATGTAATATCAACCAGGTGACAAATGTACATTCCAAATAGTTTTGTATAGCCATATGCTTCTGCTAATCCATAGGAGTTAATTAACCAGGGAATAGGTCATCTGGAAAACCACTATGATCACTGAGCTCCACATAAACATAAATTTAATTACCTTGGAATTTTTTCCTCTATCTGAGATCCTAAGGATGGGCTCCCACTGACAACCCAGAACTTGAAGGGATTCATATGATTGTTAAGTAGAAGACAGATAAATTATCTCGCCAATTTTGCTCATTTCTGGCCTCTAGATTACTTCCATCTTTCTTTACCTTAATATCACATCTCACAGGACAGGTTCTGACAGTACCTTTCTAGGCAACAAGCATGGTATTGTCAGTCATTGGGAGACTTGCAAGAGACAGCTAAGGACTCAGATTATATACCTGCTGGGAAAGCCATCTGCATCACCTTCCCTGTGCTGCCCACCAGTGATGGCTGGCAGGCAGGCGCTTGAAAGTCTGTTGGGGTCAGCTCAGTTGTTGTATCTGTTATCTAATAGATGGTTGCTAGTCCTTATTAGCCCATCATTAAACTTAGGACACCAGATCTACAGTATTCTAAGACTGAGAATGGCAAAGGCCCTGGCATTACTAGGGCATGTCCAATATATGTTTAAGAATGTACAGTGCAGGGAAGAGGATTATAATAAACCTCCAAGAAATGTTGCTTCCTGCTCTTACAAGCCATATCCAACAGGAGAGGATGAGCACTTTCCATGTAGTAGCCTCTGTTTGTCCACAGTAAAGGACTCTTAAAATTGTAAGGACATTTCCTCAATATGCATCTTTAATTCTGGTCATAATACAACAAAACACTGATGAACAAAATTGAAAAAGACACAAACAAATGAAAAGACATCCATGGTTATGGATCACACAAACTCATATCATTAAAATGAATATCCTACCCAAAGCAACCTATAGATTCAATGCAATCCCTATCAAAATACTGATGTTGGTTTTCACAGAAATAGAAAAAAACTAGTAAAATTTATATGAAACAAAAAAGAGCCTAAATAGCCAAGGCAATTCTCAGCAAACAACAACAACAAACAAAACAAAACAACAAAACAAAACAAAGCCAGAGGCATCACACTACCTGACTTCAAAATATATTACAAGGCTAAGGTAACTAAAACAGCATGGTATTGGTGTAAAAACAAAGACTCATAGAACAGAATAGAAAACCCAGAAATAAATCTATGTATTTAGAGCCAACTAATTTTTGACGAAGGTGCCAAGAACATACACTGGGGAAAGACACTCTATTCAACAAATGGTGCTGGGAAAATTAGATGTTCATATGTAGAAGAATGAAACTGGACCCCTATCTCTCACTATATAAAAAAATCTACTTAGGATAGTTTAAAGACTGAATGTCAAGACCCAAACCTATAAAACCACTAGAAGAAACATAGGGGAAACACTTCAGGACATTGGTCAGGGCAAAGAATTTATGGCTAACACCTCAAAAACATAGGCAACCAAAACAAAAGTAGATAAATGGGACGGTATTAAACTAAAAAGCTCCTGCACAGCAAAATAAAAAATCAACAGGGTGAAAAGACAATCTTGTGAATAGGAGAAAATATTTTTAAACTATTCATCTAACAAAGAACCAATATCCAGAATATACAAGGAACTCAACAGCAAAAAAAACAAATAATCCCACTAAAAAGTGGGCAAAGGACATGAATAGATATTTCTCAGTATACACACATATGGCCACAGTTCTATGAAAAAATGTCCAGCATCATTAGTAATCAGGAAAATGCAAATCAAAGCAACAATGAGATATCATCTTACCCCAGTTAGAATGGTTATTATTAAAGGCAGACTACAGTGGTGTATACCTGTAGTCCCAGCTACTTGGGAAGCCAAGACTGGAGGGTTAGTGCTTTTGCCCAGAAGTTCAAGGCCAACATGACCAACACAGTGAGACCCAGTCTCCAAAGAAAAAATAGACCAAAGAAAAAAACAACAACAGCAGCAACAACAACATGGCCAGCACAGTGGCTCATGCCTGTAATCCCAGCACTTTGGGAGGCCAAGGCAGGTGGATCATTTGAAGTCAGGACTTCTTGACCAGCTTGGCCAACATGGTAAAACCCCATCTCTACTAAAAATACAAAAATTATCTGGGCATGGTGGTGCATGCCTGTAATCCCAGCTACTCAGGAGGCTGAGGCACGAGAATCACTTGAACCTGGGAGGCGGAGGTTGCGGTGAAATGAGATTGCACCACTGCACTCCAGCATAGGTGACAGAGTGAGAGTCTCAAAACAAAACAACAGATGCTGGTGAGACATGGAAAAGGGAGCTCTTAATACACTATTGATGGGAATGCAAATTAGTACAGTCTGTATAGAAAACAGTATAGAGATTTCTCAAAAAATTAAAAATAGAAATACCATGCAATCTAGTAATCCTACTACTGGGTATTTATCCAAAAGAAAAAGAAATCCGTATATTAAAGGGATACCTGCACCCTCATGTTTATGGCAGCACTATTCACAATAGCAAAGATATGGAATAAGACTAAGTGTCCATCAATGGATGAATGAAGAAAAATCCGGTATGTGTATTCAATGGAATACTATTTGGCTATTTTAATTTTATAATATATTTATTATAGAAATAATAAAATCGTGTCATTTTCAGCACTATGGATGAAACTGGAGGTCATTATGTTAAATAAGACAGGCACAGAAAGACAAATATCATATGTTCTCACTCAGATGTGAGAGCTAAAAAGTTGATTTTATGGAGGTAGACAGTAGAATGATAGATAGCAGAGGCTGAGAAGGGTGTGTGTGTTAGGTGTGGAGATAAGAGGAGTTTGGCCAAAGGGTAAAATGTTACCATTAGATAGAAGGAAAAAGTTCTTTTGTCCAATAGCAGAGTAGAGTAAGTATAGTTAACAACAAATGTCTTGTACATTTCAAAATAGGCGGAAGTGAGGACTTAAAATGTTATACGTACATAGAAATGATAAATACCGGAGGTGATGAATACCCTAAATGCTCTGACTTGGTCATTACACATTCTAGACATGTAACAAAATGTCACGTGTACACACTTGTATAAGTACAAATATTATGTATCAATAAAAAATTAAGTACAAATATTATGTATCAGTACAAAACTTTTTATTAAAAAACAGTAACCATAAAAAATAGGATGTGGCCGTGGAGATTAATCTATTACAACCTTCAGGCAGCTTTAGGAAGGGCTGATGTAAAACTGTGAAGCACATCAGCCCATTCAGGTGACAAGTGAGGAGTAATTCAGGGAATGCCCCCAGTGTACTCCCCAACTTCCCTTCCCTTCCCTTCCCTCTTTCTTTGTTTCTTTCTCCTTCTAGAATTTTGAGGGAACAGGAATGAGAAGCGCGATGCAGTTTTCCATGATTACTTCCAGAGTTTTTGGTGGTTTCTTTGTTACTTGGTATCTTGCATTCTTCTGGTCCTTTTGGATGTTTTATATTTGTTCCAACTTAAAAATATATTCTTATTAATATTAATTGTCAAGGATCACTTTGAGTTTTGTGACTACCTGTCTATGGAGGTTGATAAAATACAATACAAAGTTGCGGGTCTTCATAGTATGAACTTTTGATTAAGCTTACCTGTCTAGTGTCCCCTGAACTTGAAAATGACTCATTCAGAATTTTTAAAGGTCACTCTACACTTGGCAAAAATTATTGAGTAATGAAACCTTAGGGACAATTTAGGTTGAATGTGATGTAGTACATTTTGACTAAAATTGGTCATTTAGGAATGGATCAATCCTACCACCCTTCTCTTTTGCTCAATACTTTCTTCACACCAAAGTAGCTACATTTTCACAAAAGTCTTTTTCTTGTGAGTATTTGATCGAGACTGCTTATTCTGAGTGGGATATTCTTTCTTTCTAAATCTATTTTTTTGTCTTGCTTGCTTTTAATTTTATATAAATATTTAAACATTGGCTTTTTGACTCACAAGATATTTAAGGCCCATAAGTAAACAATTCATTATTGATAAAATTAAAGGGCATATAGGTTTGCTCATATAAACATTCTTATTATTCTAGTAAAAATTGTTTAGGTTCTTGTTAGTTTATGTATATAGTAATAATTATATATGTATAGGAATGTATATGCACACACACACACCATATATATAGTAAAAAGAATATATACTCTATATATAGTATGTGTGTGTATATGTACATAGTATGTGTGTTTGTGTATATATATAGAAACAAGAACCCAAACAATTTTACATTTTCTTTTTGATTCAACTGTTGCAGATTTTCTTTTTTTTATTTTATTATTATTATACTTTAAGTTTTAGGGTACATGTGCACAATGTGCAGGTTAGTTACATATGTATACATGTGCCATGCTGGTGTGCTGCACCCATTAACTCATCATTTAGCATTAGGTATATCTCCTAATGCTATCCCTCCCCCCTCCCCCCACCCCACAACAGTCCCCAGAGTGTGATGTTCCCCTTTCTGTGTCCATGTGTTCTCATTGTTCAATTCCCACCTATGAGTGAGAACATGCGGTGTTTGTCCTTGTGATAGTTTACTGAGAATGATGATTTCCAATTTCACCCGTATCCCTACAAAGGACATGAACTCATCATTTTTTGTGGCTGCATAGTATTCCATGGTGTATATGCGCCACATTTTCTTAATCCAGTCTATCATTGTTGGACATTTGGGTTGGTTCCAAGTCTTCGCTATTGTGAATAGTGCAGCAATAAACATACGTGTGCATGTGTCTTTATAGCAGCATGATTTATAGTCCTTTGGGTATATACCCAGTAATGGGATGGCTGGGTCAAATGGTATTTCTAGTTCTAGATCCCTGAGGAATCGCCGCACTGATTTCCACAATGATTGAACTAGTTTACAGTCCCACCAACAGTGTAAAAGTGTTCCTATTTCTCCACATCCTCTCCAGCACCTGTTGTTTCCTGACTTTTTAATGTTTGCCATTCTAACTGGTGTGAGATGGTATCTCATTGTGGTTTTGATTTGCATTTCTCTGATGGCCAGTGATGGTGAGCATTTTTTCATGTGTCTTTTGGCTGCATAAATGTCTTCTTTTGAGAAGTGTCTGTTCATGTCCTTTGCCCACTTTTTGATGGGGTTGTTTGTTTTTTTCTTGTAAATTTGTTTGAGTTCATTGTAAATTCTGGATATTAGCCCTTTGTCAGATGAGTAGGTTGCGAAAATTTTCTCCCATTTTGTAGGTTGCCCGTTCACTCTGATGGTAGTTTCTTTTGCTGTGCAGAAGCTCTTTGGTTTAATTAGATCCCATTTGTCAATTTTGTCTTTTGTTGCCATTGCTTTTGGTGTTTTAGATATGAAGTCCTTGCCCATGCCTATGTCCTGAATGGTAATGCCTAGGTTTTCTTCTAGGGTTTTTATGGTTTTAGGTCTAACGTTTAAGTCTTTAATCCATCTTGAATTGATTTTCGTATAAGGTGTAAGGAAGGGATCCAGTTTCAGCTTTCTACATATGGCTAGCCAGTTTTCCCAGCACCATTTATTAAATAGGGAATCCTTTCCCCATTGCTTGTTTTTCTCAGGTTTGTCAAAGATCAGATAGTTGTAGATATGTGGCATTATTTCTGAGGGCTCTGTTCTGTTCCATTGATCTATATCTCTGTTTTGGTACCAGTACCATGCTGTTTTGGTTACTGTAGCCTTGCAGGATAGTTTGAAGTCAGGTAGCGTGATGCCTCCAGCTTTGTTCTTTTGGCTTAGGATTGACTTGGTGATGTGGGCTCCTTTTTGGTTCCATATGAACTTTAAAGTAGTTTTTTCCAATTCTGTGAAGAAAGTCATTGGTAGCTTGATGGGGATGGCATTGAATCTATAAATTACCTTGGGCAGTATGGCCATTTTCATGATATTGATTCTTCCTACCCATAAGCATGGAATGTTCTTCCATTTCTTTGTATTCTCTTTTATTTCATTGAGCAGTGGTTTGTGGTTCTCCTTGAAGAGGTCCTTCATGTCCCTTGTAAGTTGGATTCCTAGGTATTTTATTCTCTTTGGAGCAATTGTGAATGGGAGTTCACTCATGATTTGGCTCTCTGTTTGTCTGTTATTGGTATATAAGAATGCTTGTGATTTTTGTACATTGATTTTGTATCCTGAGACTTTGCTGAAGTTGCTTATCAGCTTAAGGAGGTTTTGGGCTGAGACAATGGGGTTTCCTAGATATACAATCATGTAATCTGCAAACAGGGACAATTTGACTTCCTCTTTTCCTAATTGAATACCCTTTATTTCCTTCTCCTACCTAATTGCCCTGGCCAGAAGTTCCAACACTATGTTGAATAGGAGTGGTGAGAGAGGGCATCCCTGTCTTGTGCCAGTTTTCAAAGGGAATGCTTCCAGTTTTTGCCCATTCAGTATGATATTGGCTGTGGATTTAGAGCCTTTACTTCCTTTGACAGCCTTCCCATGCTTCCAGCATCCAGGCTGGAATCTCAGGATGACCTATGGTAAGTCCTGTGTTAAGAAGTGACTTAGAATGCCAGGTAGAAACTAAAATGTTACAGCCTCCTCTGGTTGCCACACGAATCCAAAGCAATGTACGATAAGCTAGGAAGTCTGTGGCCCGAGAGTCAGGGGTCACAGATTCTCCTCTTGGCTCCCCAAGTCAGCAGCATTGCATTTTTGATAAATTGTGTAAACTCTGATCCTCAGATTCCTTATGTGTAATGGGAGTATCTGGGCTGTATGATTTCTAAGGTTTTCTAATCCCAGCTGTGGGAGTCCATGAGTACTTGAAATTGCATAACCATACATGATTAGGCTCCTTTCTAAAAACAAATTTAAAAAATAGAAAGTGATGATGAATATTTCATGCTTATTATTTGGAAAATGAGTAGTTAGGAGGAAAGAGGGATTACCTGGATGAACAATAGCCTTGGATGCTGGGTTTGTAGGCAATATGCTTCATAAAATTCTATATTTATTTTTGAAAGGAGAAAGTTAGAAACACAGATGAATAACTTGCTTGAAGCATGAACATTATTTACAGCCACACCTGGGCAAGAGTCCCAAACGTGACTGAGTGTCAGGTCCATCCTAACTCCACCCTTCCCCCAACTCTTGCTGTGATACCCGTTTGTTACTCCTTTGACACTCCTTGATACTTTGGTACTTCTTGATACTTAATCCTTTGATACTTCTGGCATCTGGATCAACCTGTGCTCTGCGCTTCTTACTCTTCCTGCCTCAGTTATACCCTTTGTCCTATTGGTTGCAACTTTTTTTGCGGAGAGGGTCTCGCCAAAACCACAGAATTAATGGCACAGGGAGTAGGTAAAGCTCCATTTGAGCCAATGGGAACCTAGAAACCAAGTTAGAACCCACCACTATTATCTAGTGCCTGCTGGGTTTTAGCCCTTAGATACAGCTTTAAATATATCAGCTCACACAACCCTGGGGTATAGTCATGCATTGCAATCTGATAATTGAGAGTGATATTTGGATAGTTAACTATAGTGGTTTTCCAACTTACTTTTTAAAATATAACTTTGTTCCTCCAAATGGAACCTTATGTGGATATGTGTGCATGCACCTCAGTAACTCACACACTTACAATTCATTTGTAGGAAACCTACCCAGCAATTGCTCACTCTGTGCAGGTTGGGTATCCCTTATTAGAAATGCTTGTAATGAGACAAAGTTTTGGATTTTGGAGGTTTTCAGATTTTTGGAATATGTGCAATATACTTAACAGTTGATAATTCCGAATCTGAAAACCCAAAATCCAAAGTGCCTAGACTAATCAGCCTTTCCTTTGAGCATCATGACAGCACTCAAGAAGGAGGTAAAATCAGTTCACTAACAAAAAATCATAATATAATTGTGATTTCAGACAGATAAAGAGGAAGGGAGACACAGGGTGTTAGAAGAACATAGGAAAGGGAATCTATTGCTGCCTTACTGCTAGGGAGAAATAAGAGGAGCTGTGGTGGCTTCAGGGAGGAGGTAACAGTGAGCTGAATGAACCTTAAAGCAGGAGGAGGAAGAGATTCATGGCAATAGCCCTGTGGGGAATGAGGGAATAAGGAAGAGAAATCAGACTTCAGAGTAGAGCACAGTACTTCTGCTTACTTCCTTTAGAAACATATTTTAATTTCACGTATGAAAATTGTCAACGTTAAAAAAAGGAAGAGTCATTAAGAAAATTAAAAAACAAGTCACAGGTTGAAATAAAGTATTTGCAAAACTTACACTTGATAAAGACTTTTATCCGAAATATGCAGAGAACTCTTAAAACTAAAGAAATAAGCAAACAGACACCCAATTTTAAAAAACTGGCAAAAGACCTGAACAGACACCTTTCCAAAGATAATATACAGGTGGCAAATAAGCATATGAAAAAGATGTCAAATATTATTTGTAATCAGAGAATTGCAAAGTGAGACAATAATGAGATATCACTACATACATATTTTAATGGCTAAAATCCAAAAAATGACAATATCAAATATTGACAAGGACTCAGAACAGAAAGACCTCTTACTCATGGTTGCTAGAAATGCAAAATGGTGCAGCCATTTTGGAAGACATTTGGCAGCGAAATATAATGTTACCATATAATCCAGCAATTGTGCTCCTAGTTATTTTCTGAAATGAGTTGAACACTTACATCCACACAAAAACTTATACACAGAGGTTTATGGCAGATTTATTCATAAATCTTCCAAAAACTGGAAACAATTAAGATATCTTTTCATAGGCAAATAGATAGGCAAACTGTGGTACATCCCTGCAATGGAGTATTATATGGAAACAATAGGAATGAGCTATCAGGCCTCAAGACAACATGAGGAACCTTAAATGCTTATGGCTAAGGGAAAGGAGCCAGCTTGAAAAGACCCCCATTCTGTATGACTCCAAATGCCCTACTCTCATACCTTTTAGTATTTTTAATGTTGCATTTTGTTTTTGCATTGTAGTATAGTTATTTATGTTCATAGGTGTTTTAGTCTGCTTTTATAACATTTTGTTGAGTGAAGTATATTACAGAAACAGCCATGATACTTTTCAGCTATTCCCATCAAGGACTGAAGCTCAGAACTGTCACCAGTGCCCAAAGATTGGACACTGGGCATGAAGATATTGAGACAATCATTTCCAGCCATGAAGAAAATCAGCTGGTTATAATGATTAGCCCACATTGGAGAATGTAATGAATGAAGAAATGTAATGAAAATAGACATTTATGTGAGTGTTCTGCATCCAATAGTTAACCAAGCTGGAGGGTTCCTGGGGCTGTGATCTCAGCCCTTTGTAAAGTGACATATCTTGCTGCACACTGGACATGTGGTGCTGGCCAGAAATCAGCATTCCCAGTTTTAAATGGTAAAAAAATACACACAAACTAGCGAATACATAAAGTATGCAACATTGTACCATAAGGTCAAATTACACAGATTTTAAAACTAAAGACACACTGACTTCACCTCTTTGCTGCCGTCTCCACGGATTAGAGAAGTGTGTGTGTTCTCCCTAAATATGGCCAAATACCTGTGCCCATGCTGCCATGTTCTTTCTGTTCTGACTCACCAGGGGGACTAAGGCAAGCACCCCATCAGTCAGCAGGCAGTGGTGCAGAGGGCTGTTGGAGGTCTGCTAGCAGTAGACAGACTGGGTGGGAAGAGGCCTTCTGGGTGAGCAAACATAGCTCATTAACAAATCCAAGAGGATTGCTATTCAGAGTGTGTACCATGGACACTATGCATGAGAATCACTGATACAATTTCACCCAAATTTCAACTTGAATTGTAATAATCCCCACGTGTCAAGGGTGGGGCCAGGTGGAGGTAATTGAATCATGGGGGTGGTTTCCTCCATACTGTTCTCATGGTAGTGAATAAGTGTCATGAGATTTGATGGTTTTATAAATGGGAGTTATTCTGCATAAGCTCTCTTGCCTGCTGCCATGTAAGATGTGACTTTGCTCCTCATTTGCCTTCAGCCATGATTGTGAGGCCTCCCCAGCCACGTGGAACTGTGAGTCTATTAAACTTCTTTCCTTTATAAATTACATAGTCTCAGGTATCTCCTTATAGCAGCGTGAGGATGGACTAATACAATCCCTCTGCAGAGTTCAGCAGCAGTAGGAGGTTTATCCCCAAATGCTGGAATCAGAAAGTCTGAGATGAGGCCTGGGAATCAGCATGCCTATCAAGCACTCAGTTACCATACACACATGATGTTTGAGACCAACCACTCTGTCAGAGGTTGTACGGGGAGGCTGTTCTGACCCAGCATATCATAGGCTCACTTGCCATGGTAGGAAATCCCTTTCTCCACCTTTCCCCCACACTAACCCAGCTCCTAGCACAGGAAGGGCTCTTTTGTGGCGTTGGGGGGAAGGTGTATTGAGAATGTGAGTATAAATGAAGTAGCTCAGTAGCTCTGTGATGCAGTGCTGTGCCCTGTCTAACACTGGAGAGAGTGAGATTATCTTCACCAGTCCTCCTTCTGTGCTGGATCAGAGCAGTAAGGCATCTGAGGCTCCCTTAACAAAGTTCCACAAACTGGATGGCTTAAAATCACAGAAACTTATTGACCCACAGTTCTGGAAACCAGAGTCTGAAATCAAGGCATTCGCAGGGCATGCTTCCTCTGAAGGCTGTAAGGGAGACTCTGTTCCATGTTTTGTCTTAGCTCAATCACTGGGGCTCCCTGGTTTGCACATGAAGATGTAGTTCCAGTTTCTGCCTCTGTCATCACATGATGCTTTCCTTTCTGTGTCTCTGTGTCTTTTTTCTTCTTCTCCTAAGGACACCCATCATATTGGATGAAGGCTCACCCTAATTCAATATGACCTCATCTCAACTTGATCATGTGTACTAAGACCTCTTTCTCAAATAAGGTCACACTCACAGATACGGGGTTGAAGACTTCAACTTACCTTCCTGAAGGACAAATGCAACCCAAAACAGCATCTAAAACGTGATGATAAAAACACATTGTCACAGGTCATCCTGTTGGTCAGCAACAAAAATGATGAAGCTGGAAGATGAAATTTCCCTGTGGGGTGCCTGGATTACTCCTAGTTCTCTTCATGTGGTATTTAGAAGTAAGCCCTCTACAGTTAGATTGGCAATGCCTTTGAGGTTCATGGTTAAGCATGACATATGGAATTTCTCTGGGATCTGGGTATGTCTAGGCTAGAAAAAGAGTGACTTTTTATACCCCAAGCTGTTGAAAGGGGTCCCACTGCTTGCACCATTTGCTTAATTTAATTGCATTACAATCCTAAAAGATTTTATTTCAAACATTTTTCAGAATCCAAGCCTAGATGGACCCTTTACAGGGCACAATACACTTCTGCATTTTGTAGTAATAAATGGGTTAAAAACTAATTACTGAAGCACTCCATGGGAAGAATATGGCATGCATTAAACAAGAGACATTTTTGGAATCCTGACTATCCTTGGAACACAGGAGCAGATGGACACCTGAAAAACTCTGCCACCTGGTCAGTTCCACATAACTTTGTAAAAGGTCTTCTAGGTCATTTCTGAAGATGATTTTCTCACTTTGGGGGCAGAATTCATCCAGCAAATTAGCTGGCTGCAGATGCACCCTGAGGCCTGTAGTTGGCTGGGGTCCTGCTGAGGAGACGTTGGCACAGGCACCTGGTTTATGCCACTGGCAGCAAGAGTTGGCTTTGCATGCTGATGATGCTGCTGCCAAACACTTAATAGGTTTCAAATAATTTCTCCATCAATAATCCCATCTGTAATAAACATTTCACTTATTTTTCTTTATCGTGGGGCCGTCTGTCTTCCTTGTATCTTTACTGGACAAATTAGAGATTTCAATCCTGGTCTCAGTATAGGAGTTCCTGGTATAAAATCTATATCTCTATTGACAAGTTGTATAACCTTGGGCATGTTAATTAATCTTTCTCTGAATCAGGCTTCTTTGGTGTGAAATGGGGCTGATAAATTTGATAAGATAATTAAGATAATTTATGAAAAGCACCAACCCAAGACCTGCCCCACAGTGAGTGCATAATGAATGAACACTTTCGTTGATATGGTAGAACCCCATGATACACAAAATACAGTGAAGTCAGCAATAGGCCTCTATCTTCCATAGCAGGCTCATCCTTGTCATTTCACTAACTCTCGAATAACGCTATCTTATTTTTTTGTGTGTAATTATATTTGCTGATCTCACAGGGGCTTCACTGTAATGTAGTACTGGTGCAATATTTGAATGGGATAATATGCTTGGATATAGATTCAGAAATTGACAAGCCAAATACATAAAATTTGGCTTTATCATTGGTAATGCTTTTGTTTTTTAACATCAACACCCTGATATCTATACAGCAGTCATTATTCCAATATCAGTATATTTTAATGATATTATCTAACAATGCAATTCTCCAGTATTCTCCTTGTAGTGGATAAAGTGATACTTCATCCAGAATCTTTCCCCAAGGCTAATGCACCCATCACACAGCTGCTAGCAATATTGTTTGTGACGACTCATTGACATGCCCCTCACTGGGCCTGCTGCTTAACAGCAGAGAGCTGCCCCACCCTAAGGTGACACCCCCATCCAGGAGGTGGCTGAGACCCATGTCTGACTATACACGGATACAAACGCCTCAACTGAGGGGCCATCCCACAGCCAGAGCTCTCCATAATTGGCTGAGACCTCAGTTGCAACTACACTGCCAGTCAGCTTTCTCTGCCATATCTTACCGTCTCATTTCTTACTGTTGTACATACTGTGGATAATTCCTAATAAGCATCCTGCCTGTGATTTTCTATCTTAGATTTGCTTCAGACGACTTTCTTTTAAGACTTTCGTTTTGGAGATATACCTAATGCTAAATGACGAGTTAATGGGTGCAGCACACCAGCATGACACATGTATACATATGTAACTAACTTGCACATTGTGCACATGTACCCTAAAACTTAAAATACAATAATAATAAAATAAAATAAAGAAAAAAAAGACTTTCGTTTTGATATTCTGAAGAAGATCACACTGGTCCTTTCAGTCAGTGATGTTATTCTAAACACCCCTGCTGAACAGGTTGTAACCAGCAACCTAGAGGATATAGTGAGACATGTTTGTGTCAAAGGATTGCTAATAAAACCCACAGAAATCCAATTGTCTGCCACATGGGCAAAGTTCTAACAGCCCAGTGTTCTGGGTGCATATAAGGATATTCCTTTACAGAGAGATACAGCTTGCTGCAGTTTGTACCTTACAACCAAGAAAGAGACACAATGCTTGATAAATCTCTGGATTTTGATGGTAATATATACCACATTTGATGTTGTAATACACTTACTTATACGTAAATATAGGTAACTCATAAGATTGTAAGTTTTATCCAGGGCCTGTAGCTAGAAAGTGCTCTCAGCAGATTCATGCACGGTACAAACTTTGCTGCTGCTTCAGCCTTACGTGCCAGTAAATCTAACAGTACTGGAAGCGTCTAGGGCACAGCAACGTGTCTAGGAAGACCCCATTCATGAATCTCCGGAGAGACTTTCAGGGTTTTGGAGTAAAGCCATAATTTCTTTTGGACAATGATTCTCCTTTTGACAAGCACCTTCTGGTTGACGGGGTCCTAATCCATGTTGAATGCCCGATCTAGGACAAGTGACTCTGCAACCTCAATCTACTATCACCAGCTGAGTGTTACCTGAAAAAAAGGCTTTTGGTTAAACAACAATGATCTGTGAGACCAGGCCAAAGCCAATCCGTGAGGCATGGGTAACCTGCATGAGAAGGTGGTTCACATTCCAGTTAACTCCCCTGTGCTTCACCGTTTTCCCGACAACTCACATCTGTAGTCTCAAGTGCGGCTCCGTGATGCCAGTGAACACAACTGAAAAGAATCAATCAAGGTTCTGCTTCAAAGATGGGTGGGAAAAAAAGAAATCCTTCCTGTTTATAACATTTAGGTGAAGTCTTGGGACCTTGGCAGGTTATCTTGGCCTTATTTCGTCTTTCTCTCCTCTGTACTCCTATAACATTTTGAATCTGCAGCACCTCCACCCCCATTAAATTCTTTCTCCTAGAAGTGTGTTGCTGTCACTAGAAGAGAAGGGCTACTGCAAGACGGTCCCATGCAGGGGTAGCCCTGTAGGACTACTTCATAAGGTGGAGTGATCTGAAGTGGGAAGAATTGGGGTAGTGTTTTCATATGTCCATTTTGCAGTGGAAAAGACATTGCCTGTAGTGATTACAAATGGATTGGCTTCTTGGGGACTATGGAAAAAAAAAAACAACTCCTGGAAGTTAGGTGGCATATTTTAAAAAGATATGTGGATAAGCATCTTCAAAAGGGCATAGTGAATGAAGACATTTATGAAAAAACTAAATGACCATAAAAGGGAATAACACATGGGGTAAACTCAATAATTAGGTGGACAAGATGAGCATATGGATTTCGGTCAGCATATTTCCTTGGCAAGGCTGGCTCTTGCCTCATGCGTCTGTGCACATAGGATCTATAGCATCAATAATGGAGATTGTGCATGGACTCTACAACTTGGAGATGCTTCACCAAGCTAAACAGGACGCTGCTACCATCAAATACTAATAATGCCTTTATTAGAGTCTAATGCTAAGCACTCACTTTATAGGGTAACCAGACATTCAAATTTTCCCCAAGATTGGTGGTTTATGCTTCTTGCCCTTTTGACCCATTAGACACTTCCTTTCTTCTCAAACAATGCCCTACTTGAGATTATAAATCATGATCACTCTATAGATATTGCACCACTTCCATGTGTCACCAGATAGTAGGTATAGTATATCTTTTCTTTCTACAATGGAGTGGGCAACAATTTATTTTCATGGAAATGGATATGTATTCTAGATACAGATTTGTTTACCCTGCAGAAAATATTTTGAATAGAACCATCATTAAGTGACTTAAGAAATTCCTCGGTCTTTCACCATGGTATCCCAGTTTGCAATGACATCAGCCAAGGACATCATTTTTCTGTGGAGGATAACTTGTAATGAACTAAAATGTACAGATTAATTTATTTTTTCCATGTGCCTCAAAACAAAATCACTGGCTTGATGAAAAGAGGGAATGGGGTTCTGAGATTCAGGGCACAGTTTTGAGGTAGCATCCTGTGAGGCTGGGGTGCTGTACCACAAAATAAAGTATATGCCTTAAACCAATGGCAGTTTTTATCAGTTAGGGCCCAAACAGGAGAGAGAAACCACACAATATCTTGAAAGTGCAAAGTTTAATGTAAATAATTATAAACTATAATAGGGGATTACTCACAGGGGGCAAAAACAAATAGAAAAAAGAATACAACGATGGCAGATATGTAAAGCAGACAGCAGCACTAAGGCTGAGGCAGAGCACCCAGGGGAGGAACAAATCTGTAAGAACCCCATTCCCTGACTGGGGCTTAAATCTTGATCTCATTGGGAAGGATGCAGCCAAAGTCCACCAAATGACACAAAAGTTCACGGAGCTGTCACGCTGGTGGGGCTCACTGGAAATCTTCTGGGATACTGGGAAGGACTGTCCACAGTGGGTAACCATACCACAGAAATCACGAGAAGCCATTTTTCAGGGGTTTGGGGAAGCTGCCCATGGGAAGATGCTGCACTCGTGAACTTGCAGAGAAGCTTTCCTTTTCGGTGCCAGAGAAGCCCAAGGCTTGCAATTCGCAGGGCAGATGCTCCCGGGTGTTGCACTGGGGAGACACCCTAGAGCAGGTTGGGCAAAACTCCCTATGAGATGGTATAGCAGGCTGTTGGCTACCATGTGCTGCCAGGGTCTAGGAAGAGGGGCATTCTGCAACCAGGAATCTAAGCCCCATCCAACGGCAGTGTCCCTTTAGGACTGCATACAGATAAAGCTTTGCATTGTGCCTACTGACAAACTCAATCTATCTATAGGGTGTATTTCCATTATCAAAGAATAGGCAATGAAATATGGGTTTGGAGCAGAAAGGCGATAAGTTGATAACCAGCATTGTCCTCTCATATGACTACTTAGCTTCCATTGTCACCCCTATTCACACATTTTTACTTCTATCCAAGAATGAAACAACTTTATTTTTTTTATTTTTTTTTTATTTTTGAGATGGAGTCTTGCTCTGTTGCCAGGCTGGAGTGCAGTGGCACAATATCAGTTCACTGCAACCTCCACTTCCTGGGTTCAAGTGATTCTCCTGCCTCAGCCTCTGAGTAGTTGGGACTACAGGTGCCCGCCACCACGCCTGGCTAATTTTTGTACTTTTAGTAGAGACAGGGTTTCACTATGTTGGCCAGGATGGTCTCAATCTCTTGACATCGTGATCCACCCACCTCGACCTCCCAAAGTGCTGGGATTACAGGCATGAGCCACTGTGCCTGGCCCTGAACCAACTTTATATTTCCACCAGGCAAGATACAGCTATCCTTCTTGCAAGTACGGACATTTTCACATACTTTCTAAGTGTCAGGATGCACACTGCCAATAGTTATTACCCCCATAACTGGCCAAATTAATTACTCCTCAAAGACACACAGTGCCCCATATATGTTCTGTTACCAGTTGATTCCACAGTCACGAGCCCATTGGTGCACTTCTTTGGTATGAAGTGGGTTTCTTTCTTCAACATACACAATGTTGTCTGGAATGTCATGATGCTGAATAAGGCATTCTGTGAATTCACAGACGCTGCTGCTAGCAGAAGCAGTACAGGCAGAGAAGGAAAATCTACATCTAAAATCATATCCATTTTGGTGAAAGGAAATCTCACATGCTTCTATTAAGGAAGAGGACCAATGTAATCAACCTGTTACCAGGTGTCTAGGTGGTCCCCCACTAAGAAATAGTGTCATATTAGGGTCTCATTTATGGTCTTTTCTTTTGGCAGATCAGGGACTCAGCATTGCATTGGCCAAGTCACCCTAGATTTGGAAAGTCCAGGGTTGCACTAGCTGAACTCACTGGGAAACTGCCTTTTGAGATACCAGAGAAAGCCATGCATGGGGAGATACCAGGCCATGGAGCACCCCAGGAAGCTGCTTTCTGGGGTGTCATGGTAATTTGCCCACTGGTGGAATTCACTGGAAATCTGCCTCCTAGGGTTCCAGGGGAAGCCATGCAAAGGGAAGTGCTCCACCAAAGAACCCATATAGAAGCTGCTTCCAGGGGGTGGTGTGCTGGGGGAAGTCACCTCTGGGAAAGTGTGGCATGCTGTGCTGACTGCTGCATTCTGCAGGTGTCTGAGGCCTACTCTACTGACCTTCCTCCTGCACTGTCCCTTCAGCCCCCTGTGGTGACAAAGCTTAACATTGTGTCAGTTGTGAAGGAGAATGCTTACAGAGTCTAGCTCCATTATCACAGAGCAGGCAATACAGGGTGAGGCTGGAGATGAGACACAGTAAACCATGGAGGTCACATCATTCTACAGCGTGCTCTTCCCCATAAGCACATGCACGTGTCAAAGTCAAAGGAGGGAAAAAGAGAGTAGTCTATCTCTATTATTCCCAAGAGTTTTGTTTCCCATACATGCAACCTTATGCTTGATTGGTTTAGATGTCCAAGGGATGACTGCTGTAATCGGAATTTGCAGTAAAACTTTCATTAAATAAGAATCTGAAACTCCTTCCTAAGCATTTATTCCCCCTATGATATTACATCACCATGAGGAAAGGAGGGGCGCTGTGCTTGCTGGGGTGATTGGCTGTGATTATCAAGGGGAAATTCTGTTAATAAAACGCCATTGTCAAGAGACATACATGTCAAGAAAGACAATGTGTGAAATCCAAGGAATGCACTTTGCTGTCTCTTAGAAATCTCATTCCCCAAAATATCAGTCAACAGAAAATTGTGGCAATCCAATAAAGAAAGATCCACTAAGGATATGAGTCTCATGTCAATCAAGCCCTCAGCCACAGCACCAGGAAGAAATTCCAACTGACTGAGAGGCTGTCCGAGGGGCTGGGGAAGATGAAATGAGTGATCATAGAAGAAGGCTATGGTTTGTTAAATCATTCCTCCCAATAGCTACATAAGCAGTAATCAGAATGCATGTTTTGTCAATTCATTTAACCCCCTTTCTTCTCCCCATTACTTCATATAAAAATCACTGGTGATGCCAATATTTTAAGCTCCAGGTAGGAACTGAACTGTATCAATATTCTCTAAATCTCTCACTGTATTAGTCCATTCTCATGCTGCTATAAAGAAATACCCAAGAATGAGTAATTTATAAAGGAAATATGTTTAATTGACTCACAGTTCCGCATGGCTGGGGCGGCCTCAGGAAAGTTACAATCATGGTCAAAGGGGAAGCAGGCACATCTTACATGGTGGCAGGCAAGAGAGAGAGAGACAGAAGGAGAAAGAGAAGGAGAGAGGGGGGAGAGAGAGAGAAGGAGAGAGAGAGGGAGAGAGTGTCAAACACTTATAAAACAATCAAATTGCATGAGAACTCACTATCATGAGAACAGCATGGGGGAACCTGCCCCCATGATCCAATCACCTCTCACCAGGTCCCTCCTCCTGATATGTGGGGATTATGGGGACTACAATTTGAGATAAGATTTGGATGGGGACACAGAGCCAAACCATATCACTTACCTTCAAAAACATTGTAGTTATCTGTGAAATAAATGGAGTTTGAAATTACCTGGATATAATATGTTAGCATGAAGATCATTATGTGAACCTGAAGCAACTGTAAGAGGTTCTATGGGCAGTGCCTGGTTTATGGGCCATACCTGTTGCCCACAGGACATTTAGTCACCCTGCTACTTACTACTCCATGGCCTAGAAAAAATCAGCTTCTCTGAACCTTAGTTTTTCCATCTGTGAAACAAGTAAAGATGATAACTGAATTCTTGGAATTATTATAAGGCACACATAATATAAAGTCTACAAAGAAATTGGAAAATATTCAAATAGTATAAAATTGTGAGTAGTTATTAATTTTTATTGTCTTAAAAATTCTTGTGCTCTAGATGGCTAACAGAAAGGTCTTATAAAACTCTCACCTTGGTGTGTGTATAAAACAGGGTTCTAATAAGAAAAAAAAACAAAGAAAAAAACTAAACAAAACTGATGAACAGTATTTGTCAACAGAAGAGATCATGCTCTTAGTGTAAATATCTAGAAATATGCCCTGATACCTGCCATCAGAGCTTATCAGAGGCTTCTTAAAGCATTTTGGCCAGCCAGAGACCCTTTTTTATGTTTAGCTGTTTCAAAAGATCCAGGTGGCAGTTTAAAGTACATTCTAGAGCTAAAGCAGAGTTTCCTTTTCTGCATGACCTCCTGAAAACTTGTAGCCTAACGAGATACCCAGGAAACTGACCTGAACAGCATTTTTAACTATGGTACATGGTTATCTCCAAAGTCCAAAAAGACCCAAGGAACATTGTGTCCTCTTTTGCACAGTGGTACGGGGTGAAGGTGAAGCAAGTTCTCTCTGTATTTAGGAGGCTTATTCCAGTTTGTATTATACTCTGGATTCCCAGAAATGTCATTAATGTAGTAAAGTACTTATCCTGCTGAGAGTCAGTTGTAAGCCAAAATCTGACTGCTCTAATCCCAACTGACCAATGATATCCAGTGATATTTTGGTGCCCAGCGTTAGTGATGGTTCAGAGCCTGTGCCTGAGATAGTATTGGAATTTCCCTCTTACTGGTGCAGTTACCCTGGTCAATAGCCACAGGGTTTTCTGTGGCAATTGGATGTTTTAAATAATATATAATTTTTTTTAGCTATCTTTATTAACAAGTTTGAAAATATATTTCCCCATAATTTTATAATCTTGTACATCTAAATCTCCGAATCTACTATTGTACACACACTTTAAATTACTAATTTTAAAAATTGTGGGGTTTTTTGTTTATAGACATGGTCTCTGTCACCCATGCTGGAGTGCAGTGGCATGATCATTGCTCACTGGAGCCTCGACCTCTGGGGTTCAAGCAATCCTTCTGCCTCACTCTCCCAAGCATCTGAGATTGCAGGCATGCACCACCATGCCCAGCTAATTTTTTAAAAATTTATATGTTTAGGTACAGGATCTCACTATGCTGCTTAGGCTGGTTTAGAATTCGTGGGCTCAAGTGATCCTCCTGCCTCAGACTCCCAAAGGTCTGGGATTATAGGCGTGAGTTAGCGCACCTGAACCTAAGTTACTAATTTGATTTAATGTTTTTAATTTCAGTCTTTTCCTTTGAAAACTGGAAGTATTTTGCATGTTTGTTGTCCATGTTATTCATTTGAGTATTTGAGTCTACACAATTTTATGACTCTCTCGGTTTGTTTGTTTTTTCTTTCTTTCTTTCTTTTTTTTTTTGTTCCCAGGGTGACTCTTCTCTTTTCATGTAGCTTACTTTTCTATATCATCCTGTTGACTTTTTGTCCTAGATTTTTCTTATGTCATGGTTTTCTGCTCCAGTTTAGAGAGGCTGTGCCTCCTTGTATGTTTTGAAAAGTCAAATTGTTTAATTCTCATTGAAATGCAATTATATTTCATAGATGAAATAATGTTCTTTTCAGTCATCATTGAATGATGTGGTTTCTTTTCCAGATTGTATTTTTTCCAGTAGGTAGTAAGAGTGCTTCTCCTGGCATAATAAAGTGGTAGTCAGAAACTCTTCTCAGAGCTGCATGGGGATGTCACCTTGATGTGTTTCTAGCTAGTATGACCACAGGGAACTGTCCAGGGTACTGAATGTGTTTTTTCTTTTTTAAATCTCTGGCCTCCTTGTATAGAGCATTGCATCTTCATGGAATTTATAAATCCAGATCTAAATGATGCTATATGAGCTTATTGCTACTGTAGATGCATTGTCTCTAGCCTCCCTCAGTGGAAACATATGTATATGCATGCATGTGAGCATGAACACACACATGCCCCTTTAAATCTAATTGCTTTTATTATCTCTGTCTCTCTCTCTCTCTCTATCTATCTATCATCTATCTGTCTATCTATCTAATAAAACAGGATATGAACAGCATATAGTCTCTTTACATAGTTCTACCTTCTGTCTTGTCAGTAAAAAGCTAGCTCTCCTTCCCAATATATTGACTTATATGTTCAAACTCCTGTATGACCATCTACACCCACTTTATCCTGCCCCAGTACTGGATCTTGCAGACTGCTATTTCTGGTCATCACTGGGCAAGGCTTGAATCCCAGTTTGGATTCCATCCTATTGGCTATTTACTTTGGTCCGACCAATTGCTTTTGATCTAAATGAACTGAGCAAGGAAGGAAGGAAAGGAGGGAGGAAGGAAGGCAAGGAGGGATGGAGCAAGAGAAGGAAAGTTGGTCTATTGAGATGTTAACTAACCTTCAAAACTCAGCTCAGGGAAATCTTCCCTAGTCATTGTTGCTTTTGCTAATATCAGCAAGATCTTCCTCTAATGAGATCCCCAAATACTCACTGTCTACTGTATGAAATTTAGTACTTCTTGATGCCTCTTAAATCACTGCTGTAGAAAATTAACTTTTATAGAACACCTACCTGTGTCAGGCTCTGTATTGGTGTTTTGAAATGTATTTTTTTAATTCTACATCTCTAATCTTCAAAAATACCCATAAATTGTAAACATTCATAATTTTTAAAGCAGAACCTGCATCCTCATTTCACAGATGAAGAAACTTGAATGACTTGCCCAAATATACACAGTTTTAACAGGTGGGATAGAACAGATTACGCAACAACAACTTGAAAACTTGCTTATATCTACAAAGGTATTCATACAATTCTCACTCATACCACTTATTCTTTGCAAGTCAGATGGAACTATTCCTCATGTCATTTTCATCAGGACCTGGTTAGATGGAGCAACATCTGGAACATTGTGGCAGAGGAGGAGGACAATGCAGGCAAATGGTTGCTGGCTCCTAAAGCGTTTGCCCAGGATTTACACAGTTTCCTTACATATAGTCAAAGAAAGGGGTGTGGTCAAGTCTGATGTCCACAGGGTTGGGAAGTACAATTATTCTTCCAAGGGAAACAATATGTAATTTTGAACAATATGACAATGAATCAAAATGGTAAATAAAATCTGGCATTTGAAATCAAGTATTTTTTTCTTTCTCTGCTTCTAATCAATGTGTATTTCACTATTTGATATTTATTTTTGTTATGTTTTAAATGTATACATGCTAACTATGAATGCTAAACAGACTGAAACAGTTTAAGTGCAGGTTCTATGCTATTCTACTCTACAAATCTTTCCTAAACACTATTGTCAATATCAGTTATTTCCTTCTCTAACCTCTTATTCTTTAAGGTCTATGATCCTTGCCTCTGTTGCCCTGAGCTCTGCAGTGAAACTCGAACATTATTCAATAGAACAAATCCCCATCATCCTGGATCCATTGTCATTCTCCGTATGCTATTTTTTTGTAGTCTAGCTCTACATACATACAAATATACACACAAGGTATAAACAGTTTAATTACTTTCCCCTTTTTCTTTGAATGAAGACTAAAATCCTTGCCATAGCCTACCAGGTCCTGAGTGATCCGGTGCTCTCCGTTTCTCCAGCCTCATCCAATGCCTCCCCTGCTCAGCACCAGGGTCCCTGGACCTCAGTTCCGTACTCTTGCTAGGCTCTCCTCATCACAGGGCCTCTGATCCCCAAAGCCTGTAATGGCTTCTTCCCTTATTCACCACCATCCATTCTCATCGCCTCCTATATTCTGCTTTCTAACACTTAGAATAGGTGAAATTTTATGCTGATTTTGTGACCTTCTGTTTACTGCCACCCCAACTACATTGTCAGTTCAGTGTGGGCAGACATCATGCCTATTTTTTCTCACCTTCTCATCCAGCACAGTGCCAAAGTCCAGTGCCAAAGTCCAGCACAGTGTCTGTCATGGTGTAGGCTGAAGTTAACACTTACTGAATTAGTTAATAAAGCCTTTGTTGACTGCTGCTGTGAAGATACATTCTACCATTTCTGAGACCCTACTGATATCAGAACTGTTTATTTCAGACTACTGTGGTACGCAGAGAAGTGGCCTCCCAAAGATGTCCAAGTCATAATGCACAGAATATGTGGCTATGTCACCTTACATGCAAAAGAGTCTTGGGAGACGAGATTAAATTAAGGAACTTGAGATGAGGAGATTACCCTGACATCAACATGAGTCTAATGTAATCACAAGGCTCATTCTAAGAGAAAGAGAGGGGCAAGTGAGTGGGAGAGATTTGAGTATGACACATTGACGGCTTTGAAAATGGAGGAAGGGACCATGAACCAAGGGACTCAGGTAGCCTTTAGACAGAAAAAAAGCAAGGAAACAAATTATTTCTTAAAACTTTCAGAAGGAACACAGCACTGACAACACCTTGATTTTAACCCAGTGAAACCCACTTCTGATTTCTGACCTCCAAAAACAGTAAGAAAATACATTTGTGTTATAAGTCCCTAATTCTGCAGTAATTACCCACAGCAACAACAGATATTTAATACCTCTATTTTGGATTTTTTTTTTCTGATGACCCGCACTAGGGTTCAAACTCTACAAAGATAGGGTCCATATCTTTAGTACCCATCTTTATAGCCAGCACTTGGTTGCATCCCAGTCAAACTGACCTCTCCAATGGTTTGTTCACATTTGGAGGTTTTACTCCTATTTATCTTACAGGAGGGCTTTAGGCTTTGTGGTAGAAAGAGAAGAAAGAGAAGTGATCTTGAGAGATCCTCTTTGTTTTACTTTATTTCATATTAATCTGCGAAAACAATCAAGGAAAAACCAGTTCAGCTTACACATAATCTTCTAGACATGCCATTGTTTCTTGTTTCTTTCTTTCTGTTTTCTTCTCTTTTTTTTTTTTTTTTTTTTTTGGTTGAGACAGAGTCTCACTCTGCTGCCCAGGCTGGAGTGCAGTGGTCTGATCTTGGCTGACTGCAACTTCTGCCTTTTGGGCTCAAGCGATTCTCCTGCCTCAGCCTCCCAAGTAGCTCGGATTACAGGCATTCACCACCAAGCCCAGCTAATTTTTGTATTTTTTGTAGAGGTGGGTTTTCGCCATGTTGGCCAGGCTGGTCTCAAACTCCTGACCTCAGGTGATACATCTGCCTCCACCTCCCACAGTGCTGGGATTACAGGTGTGAGCCACCCCACCCACCCAACATGCCACTGTTTCTGTGACAGTTAATGCCTATAATGCCTGCCACCTTCCACACTTCCACACCTTCCACACTTACCACTGCTGCCAGATTTAGAAGTGCTTTTCTCTGCTCATGCATTGTAACTCATCCAAGAAAGTTTCCAGGAAATCTCAAGGCTACAATCAAGGTTGCATTTAAAGTATTTACTGAAGACTGCAGGGAGTGAGCTCACCAAGAAAGCTGGAGGACTATGAGATATTGGTGTACCTGAAGAGACTCCATAATAGTTACTCAAATTCCCTGTCATGAATAACTGTCTCCTAATAGGGTAGTAAAAATTATAATGGAAACATAAAATGCTTATAAGTGTGAGCTGAGGAAAAAAATCTTGGCTCATTTTGGGAAAAGAGAGACCCATTTTTCATCTCTGCTTTCCTACTCATTATATTATGTCTTACAAATTCAATAATCTCAAAGTCAGCTTTTCCCATCATATTAGGGACCCATCAATGAATTATGACCTTGCGTTACTCAAGGATTATGTGTAATCAAGATTTGCTTATTAAAGAAAAGGAGAAATGGTGAAGCAGCTTTGACCCTTAAACTCTTTTTGTCTTGTTTCAAATTTGAGTTTGTATTCATCTAAAAGGGAGATTTTGGCATTGAAATAAACTGAAATTTAAACAAGCCTCTTCTTCTGATTAACAGTTCACACATGTTCCTCTGCTGAATGCCTCCATGTCCTCCTTCTGCCCTAACACGGTAGACTCCATGAAGCCCTGGCTAAAGTGCCACATCCTCAAAGAGAAGCCCAATGGGGATGTGGAAAAAGCAAAATGTTCATTAAGTTGCCTTCTGCTGTAATCCTGGAACTCTGTTCATTAAACTTTCACTCAGGGACAATATTGCTCTTTATTCTTTCATAAAGAATATTATTCTGTATTATTTTGTGTTATCCTCACAGTAATCTTGCAAAGAAATCATTTTTCCATCAATTTTAAACATGAGAACTTGAAGCTTATAAAGATGAGGGAACTTATCCAAGGTAATTGCTGATTAAGGTAGCTTGAAGCCAAGCAGAAAACTGCTGATCTAATTCAAGTCTTTCATTTTCCCAATAGTAAGACTAAAGACAAAAGAAAAAAAAGTGAAATTTCTTCCAAACTGCTCCACAAGTCAGGATCAAAGGAATTATTAGAATGCAAACTTTTGGGCTTGATCATCAGTATATTTTTCAACACCTACATCAAAGAATATAGGTGTTATCTCATTCCTCTTTCACTGTGTATTTGAGAATACTGAGGTCCAAAAAGTGTAGGTAGAAACACTCTTACAAATAGATTTGGTTTCCCGTAACTAAATTATAATACCAATCATCAATTCTAATATTTGGTTAGACTGAATAATCCTGGATTCTGTCTAACGTTATTGACTTACTGAGAAATCAAAAACACCCCATTATACATCCATCCCCTTCATATTTATTCTAATGTATTTTCAGATTTTGGAAAAATAACACACATAACAAAAAGTAAATTCATCTCTTTATTACATACCCTAGCCTTAATTTTCTAGCTAGATAAAATTTCTATTAATAACTTATTGTGCATTCTTCTAGATACTGTATATTTGAATTTATAAATACACACACACACACACACACACACACACACACACACACACACAGAAGCTATTGGTGTTTTAAAATATAAGTGATACCGTAATACACATACATTCTATGAGCTGTTTCTTACTATGTTAAATCATGCCACAAAGAGAATGCATTAACGACTTACCTACCATAAGGTATACCACTGAAATAATTTAAAGCCCCTCATTAAAAGAAAGGTCTAGTGAGTTTGCTATTCTTTCCATTGATAATAATACCTTGGACTTATCTACTCAGGCTTAGTGATAAAAATAAAGATTTGTGAAATCAGAACACTAAGGTTTGAATCTTTCTGTGTCTGCCAACACTAGGCAAGTTCCTGAGATTCAACTTCCTTTTCTGTAACCCAGAAATGGTAATAGTTAGATCACTGGCACTTTTGCAAGATATAAATGAAATACTGCATAGAAAGTTCCTGGCACAAGGTGGGATACATTAAGTACTAATAACTCCTTTATTTCCCTCACATATTAGGTTTACTCCTTCCTATCAGACCATGAAACACAGGGAACGGTGTCATTCCCCTTTTACATTTCTTTAGATGACCTAGAATGAGCCTTGACATACCCAATTCCAGCATCTGTCTTTCTGAATGACTCCCAACCCCAACGATCATGCAACACATCAGAACCTACAATCCATCAGCATTACCAGCTTTGCACCATCCCTCACCCTCACGGAGTCCTCTGCCCTGTGTACCCAGTTTAGTTTCCATAGGCAATTATTATAATCACTCCCTTGCATCAACCTTCCAATTTCTTCATCCTTTCTTTCTTATTTGTTTTGAGGAAAAGCACCCAATTAGTTAAATCCAAATTTCTGTTACTCTGCTTTTGTATACATGCAGCTGAATGTGACTGGGGTGGGGAACACTGCTACACATAACTATGATGATTAGTTACAACTTGAATTCCTAACCATGGACTTCAAGCGGGCCACAGGACACCCCAAATGTCATCATTTTCCTTTTTACTCACTCTATCATTTGCATAGACATTATATCAAATCACCTTGTCTTTTCTCAAACTATATACATCCACTTCATTCATCTTTACCCTTACATCCTTTTACACCAAGAAAACAGAAGAAACCAGAAGAACAATTCAACACATTCACACTGCCTGCTACCAGAATCTGTAGCCATAGGCTGTGATATCTCTCCTGTTGCCATGTTTGTGTCAGTTCAACTTTCCATTTGTGTCCATGATCCCTTCCATTCTTTTCCACCCATGGATATTGCTCTGGCATTTCTACTCCTTTAATCTTATATGATTATTTTTGTTCTTATTCCACTAGATTACTGCTATCAGTATATGCAAACATGCTCTTATTTTTAGCCCTTAAAATACACATTCTTGATCTTACTCCTTCTCAGCGACCACCCCATTTTCTGTTCCCATACATTGAAAATATCCTCTTTAAAAGTGTCTATACACTCATTGTCACCAATTCCTCTATGCCCATTCTTTAAACTCAATTCAATAAGGTTTTAATTGTCACTTTCCACCAAACTTCTTCTGCCAGGATCATCAAGGACTGACATGTTGTGCAACCTAATGATCATGTCCTAATGCATACCTTATTGTATCTTTAAAGAATACTCGACCTGTTAATCCTCTCTACTCCTTGAACATATTCTATACTTAGCTCTGAGGTGCTACACATCCACTGTCTTCCTGCAGCACACATCATTGCCTTTCTCTTAACTATTTCTCAGCCCCCTTTTCTATATTATTCTCATTCTGCAACTTCTGAACACCAGAGTACATCAGATATCAGTCTTATGGTCTCTTCCTTTCTCTACACCCACTCCCTGTGTTATCTTAACCTGTCACAAGGCTTCACATAGTATATAACACTGGCAAATCCCAAATTTTATTTCCAAACCATTTTATTTCCAGACCAGACCTCTCTCCTTACTGTCAGCCTTCTGTATATAATGACTCACTCAAAATTTCCAGTTGCACATCTGGGTTACTCATGTGTCACAAGTCTAAATCTGAACTCCCCATCTCTACGCTAAATATTAGCTTTCCAGGTTTACCCTATCTCAGTTAACACCAACTCCAATTTTCTAGTTATTCAGACCAATAACATTGGGATCATTCTAAATTATGTTATTTTCATCATACACCATGTCCCATAAAGCAGCAAATTCTGTTAGTGCTGCCTCGAGAATACATCCAGAATCTGACCACGTCTTACTCTACTGCTGCTCACCTGCTACAGGCCCCACCATCTCCTCCCTATGTCACTACAATGGGATCCTGTCTACTCCTTTTTCTTTTGTCCTTGCATCTTATTTTTTATTCTCATGAGTTACCAGAGTGATCCTGATAAAAAATAAAAAAACAATATTATTAACATGTTCAAATTCTCCAGTGTTCTGCATGAAAACCAAACTACTTCCAATGGTTTAAGACTGTCATAAGAAAGAATGGTTTTTTAAAATTCCAATAGAAGACGTTTTTCTAACTGACAGAGAGAAAGCTTTATGTAAAAAATGAGGATTTAGGTTTTTCTCTTAGGATAGTATATATCCTTCCTCCCAACCCCTGTCAACCAGCAGTCTATTTTCTGCTTCTGTAAGTTTGACTATTTTAGATACCTCATATCTAACCTCTAACCTCATAACCAAGGCTCAAAATCGTGGTGTCATGCAGTGTTTACACACTATGAAATTCAGCTAGCATCCTTCATAGTAGAATTCACTGAATTTGAGGGCCAAAAGGTAAGGTAAGCCAAAGTGAAGGAGGAGCTGAAGATGACTTCTGGTTTCTAACATTCCAACATTTCAGTCCATCATTTTAGAAAACAACTTTCAAACACAAAATATTATCCAAGAAAAAACATGACTAGGTATGTACCTAGCATTTGTAACTTACAATATATTTTTAATATGAAACCCATGTGTCATGCAGTAGAGAATCCAAACTTTGCTCAAGTCAAGATATATTACACCTGTCACTATCTTCCCATCTTTAAACAGAATCACCCTGTCATGGAAGATTAGATTCATCAGGTAGAACATGTTCCCTTGGAAAATAATTCAGGCTCATTCCCCATTCTTTTCTGTAGTACCACAGATTTTTTCTTTTCAGTAAGCATTTTGAGGTGATGCAAGAAGAGAAATACCTGGCTCAAAAAATAGTACCATTCCTAAAAATAGTTGAAAATTAATTTAGACAATGCCTACATCAAAATATTCACCAAAATTTCAACATAATACTTGAAAAATAGGCCTTTTTTAAATACCTTAACATTCAGTTGTTATTTTTTATGAATTAATCACATTTTATTTTATTTGAATCATCTTTTTCTTTATTTTTACATCTTTATTGGGATGTAATTGATATACAAGAAAACTGTACATATTTAATGTATACAATCTGATGAGTTTGGACATAAGCATATGCCCAAGATACCATCACTACAATCAAGGTAATAAATATATCCATTATCTCCAGAATTTTCCCTGGTGTCTCTTTGCTTTCTTTGTAGTAAGAGCACTTAACATGAGATCTACCCTCTTAACAAAATTGTAAGGGCACAGCACCATGCTGTTAACTATAGGCACTAGGTTGTAAAACTGATACCTAGAATATATTCGTCTTATATAACTGTAACTTTATACACTCCCCATTTATCCTTCCCCCCAACCCCTGTCAACCACCAGTCTATTTTCTGCTTCTATAAGTTTGACTATTTTAGATACCTTATATAATAGAAATCACGCAGTATTTGTTTTTCTGTGACTGACTTATTTCACTTAGCATAATGTCTTTCAGGTCTATCCACCCTGTCACAAATGGTAAGATCTTCCTTTATCCTTAAATGGTAAGATTTCCTTCTATTTAAAGGCTAAATAATATTCACACACACACACACATACATATTAACATACACATATAACACTTTATTTATCCATTAGTGTTTGTCAATAGAGATTTGAGTTATTTTCATATCTTGGCTTTTGTGAATAATGCAATGTGCATGGGAGTTCAGGTCTCTCTTTAAGACCCTGATGTCAATTCTTTTGGTTATGTACCCAGAAATGGGATTCTGGGTAATATTGTAGTTGTATTTTTACTTTTTTGAGGAACTTCCATACTATTTTCCACAGTGGTACTACCCCACTGCTGAAGGGTTTAATGCATTTTGCAACACTAATATAATAAAGAAGAAAAATATATAAAAATTCCATTAGGGTGGAGAATCAATTGATAAAATATAACACCTACTTATAATTTTTTAAAATAGAAAATTAGTAATAGAATGAAATGTGTTTGACTTTATCAATGATATTCAAAATCATATACAACATCATACCTAACAGCAACATTTTAAAAGCTTTATGACTGAGATGGGAAATGAGATAGGAATGTTTAATATCCCCTCTTACATTCAATTTTTCATACCCAAAAGTCATGAAAAATACATAATTAAGATTAAAATAGGAATAAATAAAATAGCCATTATTTATAAACAATATGATTGTATAAATAGAACATTCAAAATTACCTACAAAGGAATGATTAAGATTAATAGGTATGAATATAAAAATCTGCTGAATTTTATATATAAGCATACTATACTAGAAAACTGAACTTTAAAAATGAGTTTCCTAAAACAGCACCAAAATATCAAATATATGGTCATGAATGAATGAATATAGTGGAACCCTCTACATAAAATCTACAAAAGATTATCAAAATAAAAAATGAACTACTAAATAGAAGGAAAATAAGTTTCCCTCCTCTTAGGATATAGAAAGCCACAACATAGCCTCGCTCCCAGCCTAATAATGAGAAAAGAAACAGATAATCTACAAAGTTATTAATTTTTAAATTTGTCAAAAAGCAGAAGTTGCAAAGCTACCAGGTAAACAATTCCATAGGATGTCTAACTCTTCTAGAGAGAGACAGGCCACACTAACTGTTTTTTCCTTAAACAGATGTGGTAGGTATATAAAGCTATTTTCAGAAAGAAAATAACTAAATTTTAATGGATTCTTGATGGCTGAGTGTGTATTAGTATGACAGTAAAAAGTGCTGGGAGTTCCAGATGTAAAGGGATTATACACCCTCTCACCAACTCCTTTCCTTGAAACTCTAATGGGTGTGCAGGGAAATTTTGAGGGTCAGAGCAAGACTTGGTTTCCTTTGCTGACACAACTTATACAGTTCTAATCAGCTGCCACTGATTACCCAAAACCCTCCCACATCCTGCAGCCCCAATTACAAAGCTTAGCAGATGCCAGGGCAGGGGTAGAGACAAGGCTGTTCGCTACAAAAAGAGGGGTAGGAGGCTCTTCTGTTCCAAAAATCAAGGCCACTTTCAGGAGAATAGAAGGGAGGAATAGAAACCTGTCCCCCACTCATCACTGATACAAGGCAAACCCCCTCTGGCACTAAGGAAGGGAAAAGAAACATGCAGTAATGGGCTGAGTAACACCCCTAGATACATCAAGTCTTTATCCCTAGAACCTTCACATGTTACCTTATTTGGAAAGAAGGTCTTTGAAGATGTGATTAAGTTAAGAACCTTAACATAATTGGGAGCTTATCCAGGATTATCCATGTAGGCCCTAAATGCAACCACATAAGATGGAGGTAGAGGGAAATTTGACTACACACACATAAGAGGAGCAGGCAGGCAATGTGACTGTGGAAGCAGAGATTGGAGGGATGTGGCCAAAAGCCAAGGATTGCACGCAGACCCCAGACTCTGGAAGAGGCATGGAATAGATTTTCCCCTGGAGCCTCTAGAGGAAGCATGGCCCTACCAACACCTTAATCTCAAAATTCTTGCCTCCAGAACTGTAAGAGAATAACTTTCTGTTGTTTTGAGCCACAAAGTTTGTGTAATTTGTTATAGCAGCCATCATAAACAAATACACCTGATCATGTCCAGGATCCTACAAGGATACAAAGCAGAGGCCTACTGGTTCTAAGAGGGAGAAAGAACACTTGCTCATCCCATATAGTACAGAAAGTCAAGCCCTGAGGCTGAGACACAGAGGCCCTGCCTAAGACTGATACTGGATCAGGAGAATCAAGAAACAACTACATCCCAGGGGGACCCTTAAGCTGGGTAACAGACAGTATCAGTGAACACATGAGGAGAGACAAGGGCAAGAGGAAACACCTCCCTCCACATGGTGTGGCATGAAGGGCCTTCTGCCAGCTGAGGGTGAGTCAGGCATACTAATAATAGTCTTCTAGGACACTTAGCCTCACCCCTAAAACAATAGAACTCGCATCATTTCACCTTGAAAGGAATTTGGAGTCTGTGACACGCTGGATATAACTATAACAACATTAAAACTCAAACCTAGCTTAACTACTAACAGAATTAATTCAACCTACTAATGTAAACACCTAACTGAAGGAGAGGTGTACCCATTTCTGAACACAAATATTATTTATTTCAGTCTTATACTGTTCTTTTACACATAACAAATGACAGACAATCTAAAATGACAAGAAATACATATATGTTGAAAGGGGTTGCTGAGAAACTTCTGTTAAGAGATAAAGTAAACAACAAAAGCAGACCCAGAGATGGCCCAGCTGTTGGAACTCTCAAACAGTAACCTTAAAATAATTACAATTATAATGTTTTAGGGACTAGTGGTAAAGATAAACAATATGCATGAACATAATGGGAAAATAAAGACATGAGAATTTAATAGTCATATGAAAGTGCTAGCAATGAAAAACATCATATCAGACATGAATGACTTTTCCAAAAAGCTTTAATAATCAAACTAGACAGAGCAGATATAATCAGTGAACTTGAAGATATAGCAATAGACATTTCCAAACAAACACAAATAGAAAAAGAGTAAGAAGATAATAATAACATAACAAAAATTTAGCTGTGAAACTATGTCAAACAATCTACCATATGTGTAATTTGTGTACCAGAGAGAGAAGAAAGAAAAATAAATAAAACAGGGCAGAATAAATATTTTAAGTGAAAATGGACATGAATCTCCTAAAAGTAATGAAAGACAGCAAACAGATCCGAATTCTCAGAGAAACACAGCAGGACACACTTAACACACCACAATCAAGCGGCTAAATAACAAAGATTAAGAGAAAGTATTGGAGGCAAAGCAGAAAGAAATATTAAGGCTGAGCATGGTGGCTCACGCCTGTAATCCCAGCACTTTGGGAGGCCAAGGCGGGTGGATCATGAGGTCAGGAGATCGAGACCAATCTGTCTAACATGGTGAAACCCCGTCTCTACTAAAAACACAAAAAACTAGACAGATGTGGTGGCAGGTGCCTGTAGTCCCAGCTACTCCGGAAGCTGAGGCAGGAGAATGGAGTGAACCCGGGAGGCGGAGCTTGCAGTGAGCCCAGATCGCACCACTGCATTCCAGCCTGGGCGACAGAGCAAGACTCCATATCAAAAAAAAAAAAAAAAAAAAAAAAAAAAAAAAAAAAGACACTGCTAATTCTTTTTTTTTTTTTTTCTTTAGAGACAGGATCTCACTCTGTTGCCCAGGCTGGAGTGCAGTGGTATGATTACAGCTCACCTAGCCCCAACCTTTTCCCACCTCAGCCTCCCAAGGAGCTGGAACTACAAGTGCACACCATCATGCCTGGCTATTTGTTATTTATTTTTTGTAGAGACAGGATCTCACTATATTGTCCAGGCTGGTCTTGAACTCCTGGATAAAGCAGTTCTACTGCCCTGGCTTCCTAAGGCACTGGGGTTACAGGTATGAGTCACCATACCTATCCTACTGCTAATAATTCTATTAAAACTCTTATTTCGTGTAAGCAGTCTAAGTACCTCAATTAAAAAGTAGAGATTGTCACATTTTGTGAAAAGTAAGACCCACCTATGTGCTGGATGTATAAAGACACAAATGATTAAAAGTAAAAAAATGGAAAATTTAACGCCAAGCAAACACAAGTCATAAGAAAGCTGGGGGGAGAGGGTGCTATATTAATATTTTTAAAGTAGGCTTCAGAACAAGAAATATTCCCAGAGTTAAAAAATAATAATTACATCAAGAATACATAACAATATTAAGTGTGTTTTATTAATTAATATAGCTTCAAAATACATACAGTAAAAACTAATAAAGCCAAAAGGATAAATAGACAGATCCACAATTGTAGTTAGACACATCAGTACTGTCTGTGAATGATCGAACAAGTAGGCAATAAAATCGGTAAGGGTATAGAAGACTCGAACTACACTGAGAACCACCTTGATCAAATGAACGTCATGACAGCAGCAAAATACAAGCTCCTCCCTGGTACATATGGGATAGTCACCAAAATCAAAAGTTATCTGGCCCCCGCTAAACACATTTTGTAAGTTTAACCAAATTTATCTTTCTGTCTTTCTTTACTTTTTTATTTAGTTTAACCAAATTTAAAACAGATTGAAATCATACAAAATGTTATCTGACCATGCATTTGTTATCTATTATGGTATAACAAATTACTACAAAACTTAGAAGCTTAAAACTACAAATGTTTAAATGACCTTCATAGTTTCTGTGGGTCAGGAACCCAAGCATGGCTTAGCTGGGTGGTTCTGACTCAGGGTCTCTCATGATGTCTCAGCCAAAACATAGGCCCGGCCTGCAGGCACCTAAGGCTCAGGCAGGGGATGACTGGATGCCTTCAGTCTGTCGGCAAGTGGGCCTCTCTATAGCCTGAGTGTGTTCACACGTGACAGCTGACTCTGCTCAGAGCAAGGGATGAGAACTACTTTGGTAAAATGAGGGAGAGGGGGTGACTACACCAGGGTGCGTATAACAGAAAATGGGGATCACAGGGGATCTTCTTGGAGGCTGCCCACCAAACACCATACCTATAAATAAATAAATACCAGAAGGCTATTTACATAAATGAAACAATACATCCTATTTACAGAATTGAAAATCTATAGTTTAAAGGTTCCAAGAACACTCAAATATGAATTTACAGGTTCATATAATTCCAATCAAAATACATAGCAAATATGTTTTGATTCTGGCATAATAATTCAAATGAAAGCATTGATTGAGAGGTGATCCCAAGAAACACAGATTGGAAGATTATTTTAAAGATGCCAACCAAGAGCACCCAAATTAATCTTTACATTAGAAATAATTCCACTCAAAATGTGTGGTGAATATATCTTGACTTAAGAATTGGGATAAGAATTCAAAGAAAAATTCTCACTTATAATTGGGAGCTAAGCTGAGTACTCAAAAGCATACAGAGTGATATAATGGACTTGAGAGACTCAGAAGGGAGAGGCTGGAAGGGGAGTGTGGGATAAAAAACCTACAGTTTGGATACAACTTATACTGCTTGGGTGATAGGTACACTAAAATCTCAGAATTCACCACTATATAATTCATCCATGTAACCAAAAACCATTTGTACCCCAAAAGCTATTGAAATAAAAAAATTTAATTAAAAAATAACGGGTGCAGCACACCAGCATGGCACATGTATACATATGTAACTAACCTGCACATTGTGCACATGTACCCTAAAACTTAAAGTATAATAATAATAAAATTAAATTTTAAAAAAATTTTCAAATAAAAATAATGTATTTGGAAGATGATTTCATGCAACCCAAGTAGAGGGATGGGGAAATGAGAAAGAAAAGAGAAAGCAGTCAATCAAGTGTGAGTTTTCCGCCAAGGCATTGCTATGGGCAACACCGAGCTTCATCCCAGTGTGCAACTTTGAGTTCCAATGTAGACCACAAACTTCACTCTTACCCTCCAAAATAGAAAAAAAGAAAAAACCTGGTGCCTTTATAGGTCAACTTCCATCAGTCATTGGTGGAGAGGGGCACTCCTGGGGATTTGGTGGCATTAATTTCTAGGCATTCCTAGCTTGTTTTTCACATCAGCAGAGTGGTGTGAAAACCCCTCAGACCTACAATGAAAACACCACCACAAACAAACAAACAGAATGCAGCTGGCCCCTAGCCCTAATGCAGCTGGACCCAATCAAACAAACAAACAGAATGCAGCTGGCCCCTAGCCCTAATGCAGCTGGACCCAATCAAACAAACAAACAAACAGAATGCAGCTTGTGGGCTTCTGTGCACAGAAATGGGAAGGTCTAAGAATTGGGCAGAGCACCACCTGCTACTACATAACACCTCTAGAGAATATCCCACGCCTTCACTGACATTTGCTCTAGGTACAGCTGCACACAGATCTGTGTGAAGATTCATCCTGAGCTTCTCACCTGAAAAGTGACCTGAACATCTATCTTCCTCAGTTCTGCCTCTGGACCATTGCTAAATCTATAGAAGTTCTCTTGGTCCACCTGAAAGCCCAGCTCAGTCCTCTGCACCAATTCATTCATGAGGAAACCCTCAAATGATAGCTGCCAAGCCTGTGGGTACATACTCCAGTCATCATTTCAGGTGAACAATTCTAGGAGCTGTTCTGCACATTTTCCAAGATGTCCAACAGGAACCAAGTCCTGACAGCTCACAGACAGGGCCACAGCAATGTGCATCTCTTGGTCTTCTTACTCTTTCACTCTTCCTTCTATGATTCCCTCTCTATTTTGGTTGATTGTCCCTAACCAGAAAAAAGAAAGGCAGTATCAGACTAAAAGGTACCAACCAAGTAACCATCATAAATATAAATGATTACAGAAGCTCTTATTCTTGTTATAATCCTGAGTGCAATTGTGATTACTGAGAAATAGTGTTACTACTGGTCATCAGCATTATCTTTATACTTATCCTGTTGAAAATAGTGGCCAGGCATGAGGGCTCATGCCTGTAATTTCAGTACTTTGGGAGGCTGAGGTAGGAGGATTGCTTAAGCCCAGGAGTTTGAGACAAGCCTGGGCAACATGGCGAGACTCCCATCTCTAAAAAATATTTAAAAATAGCCAGGTGTGGTGGTGCACACCTATAGCTCCAGCTACTCAAGAGGCTGAGGCAGGAGGATTGCTTGAGCCCAGGGGTTTGAGGCTGCAGTGAGCTGTGATAATGCCACCGTGCTCTAGCCTGGATGACCAAGTGAAACCCTGTCTCACCATAAAAAAAAAAAAAAAAAAAAAAAAAGAAAAGATACTTTGTTTCAAAGAGTCAAACATGTTGTGGATCTTTAAATAATTTGTCCTCACCTTTTGGGCTTCAGTGGAGTAAAAAATTAAGTCATTGTAAACTCTCAAGCACTATAGAATATGAAGTAAGATAAAGATAAAGACAAAGACTTTCTGAGGGGCTTTTGTTCCTCTAAATAAGCATAAATTCTTGTTATGAAAAAAGGTCAGGATCCCTCCACTCCCCAGGTAAATCATACATATGGTAAGTCATTGAGTAGAAAGATGCTTATCTACTCTAATGCTTATCTCCAGAGATGTCCAACATTAACATACTTACGTATTTCCCTTGAGACTTTTTAGCTATGTATATATACAAATGCATATAATTATTCTATAAATGTATTCTAAATATGATGATTATATATAGTATTTATTACCCTTTTCTAAGTTAAAACTGTGTTATAACCAAGAAAAAACTTATCTTTACATGTCTATATGTATATATAGTTGTGATTTTTAATGAATGTTTTAATAGTGTTATTTAGCCCACATCTTATTGTTGGAAATGTAGGGACTTTTGAGTTTGGACGGCCATGAACCACAGTCCTCCTAAAAGGAAAATCTGAAAACTTTTCTATGTAAGCTAGCTATTTAATTTCACTTAAATTTAAAGTATTTACTTGATGTACAGGTATTTATTATTTAATAAAGTATATGTATTGTTAATTTCTGCAAGCAATACTTTGGCATACTTTGGAGATATTGTGGTTTTGGTTCTAGATCAATGCAGTAGTCAGTCACATGAAATTTTGGTTTCCCAGTGCATATAAAAGTTATGTTTACACGATACTGTAGTCTATTTACTATGCAATAATATTATGTCTAAAAAATAATGTGCATATACATGTATGTTTATTGTGGCACTATTCACAGTAGCAAAGACTTGGAACCAACCCAAATGTCCATAAATGATAGACTGGATTAAGAAAATGTGGCACATATACACCATGGAATACTATGCAGCCATAGAAAAAGATGAGTTCGTGTCCTTTGTAGAGACATAGATGAAGCTGGAAACCATCATTCTGAGCAAACTATTGCAAGGACAGAAAACCAAACACCACATGTTCTCACTCATGGGGGGAATTGAACAATGAGATCACTTGGACACAGGGTGGGGAGCATTACACACCGGGGCCTGTCATGGGCTGGGGAGAGGGATACCATTAGGAGAAATACCTAATGAAAATGAGTTAATAGGTGCAGCACACCAACATGGCACATATATACATATGTAACAAACATGCATGTTGTGCACAAGTACCCTAGAACTTAAAGTGTAATAAAAATAATAATAACAATAATGTGCATATAAAAAATACTTGATTGCTAAAAATTTCTAAGGATGATCTGAACCTTCAGCAAGTTGGAGTCTTTTTGCTGGTTGAGGGCTTTGCCTGGATGCTGATGGCTGCTGACTGATGGGGTTGGTGGTTGCCGAAGGCTGGGATGGCTTTGGCAATTTTTTAAAATAAAAGAACAGTGAAGTTTTCTACATTGACTAACTCTTTCATGAAAGATTTCTTTGTAGCATATGATGCTGTTTGATGGCATTTTGCCCACAGTCGAACTTCTTTTAAAATTGAAGTTCATCTCCTCAAAATGTTGCCACTGCTTTATCAACTATGTTGATGTAATATTCTAAATTCTTTGCTGTCATCTCAACAATGTTCACACATCTTCATGATGAGTAGATTCCATCTCAAGAAACCACTTTCTTTGCTCATCCATAAGAAGCGCTCCTCATCTATTCAAGTTTGATCATGAGATTGCAGGAATTCAGTCACATCTTCAGGCTTCACTTCCAATTTTAGTTTTCCTGCTATTTCTATCATATCTGCAGTTACCTCCTCCACTGAAGTCTTGAACTCCTTATAGTCATCCTCGAGAGCTGGAATCAACTTCCTACAAATTCCTATTAATGTGGATATTTTGACTTCCTCCTATGCATCATGGATTTCCTTAATAGCATCTAGAATGGTAAATCCTTTACAAAAGGTTCCAATTTACTTCACCCAGATCCATCAGAGGAATCACCATCTATGGCAGCTACAGCTTTACAAAATGTATTTCTTAAATAATAAGACTTGCAAGTCAAAATGACTCCTTGATCCATGGACTGCAGAATGGATGCCGTGATAGCAGGCATGGAAACAACATCTATCTCCTTGTATGTCCCCATCAGAGCTCTTGGATGACCAGGTTCATTGTCCAAGAGCAGTAATATTTTGAAAGAAATCTTTTTCTTAGCAGTAGGTCTCAACAGTGGGCCTCAAATATTCAGTAAACAGCGCTGTAAACAGATATGCTTTCATCCAGGCATTGGTCTTCTATTTATAGAGCACAGGGAGAGTAGATTTAACAACATTCTTAAGGGCCCTAAGATTTTCAGAATGGGAAATGAGTGTTGGTTTCAGCAGCATTAGCCCCTAACAAGAGGGTCATCCTGTCCTTTGATTATTTGAAGCCCGGCATTGACTTCTCCCCTCTAACTATGAAAGTCCTAGATAGCATCTTCTTCCAACAGAAGGGTGTTTCATCTGCATTGAAAATGTGTTGTTTAAAGTAGCTACTTTCATCGATGATCTTAGCTAGGTCTTCTGGATAACTTGCTGCAGCCTCTCCATCAGCACTTGCTACTTCACCTTGCACTTTTGTGTTAAATAGAGTCAACTTCTTTCCTTTAAACGTCATGAACCAACCTCTATTAGATTTAGACGTTTCTTCTGAAGTTTCATTTTCTCTCTCAGCTTTCAGAGAATTTAAGAGATTTAAGGATTTGCTCTGGATTAGGCCTTGTAGCTGGTTTGATCTTCCATCCAAATCACTAAAACTTTCTCCATATCAGCAAGAAGCCTGTTTCATTTTCTTATGGTTCATATGTTCACTCGACTAGCACTTTTAATTTCCTTCAAGAATTTTATTTTGCATTCACAACTTGGCCAACTCTTTGGAACAAGAATCCCAGTTTTTGGCTGATCCTGGCTTTGGGCATGCCTTCCTCAGTAAGCTTAATCATGTCTAGCCTTTGATTGAAAGTGAGAGAGATGGAACTCTTCCTTTCACTTGAGAAGTTAGAGGTCATTGTAAGTTTCTTAATTGGCCTAATTTTAATATCGTTGTGTCTCAGAGAATAGGGAGGCCCAAGGAGATGGAGAGAGATGGGGGAAAGTACAGTTGGTGGAATAGTCAGAACACCCAACACTTACTGATTAAGTTTGCTATCTTATGTGAACATGGTTTGTGGTGCCACAAAAACCATGTTCTATTGTACTGTGATTACAATAGAAACATCAAAGATCACTGATCGCCTGTAATCCCAGCACTTTGGGAGGCCAAGGTGGGTGGATCACGAGGTCAGGAGATCGAGACCATCCTGGCTAACACGGTGAAACCCCGTCTCTACTAAAAATACAAAAAAAAAAAAAAAAAATCAGCCGGGCACGGTGGCGGGTGCCTGTAGTCCCAGCTACTCGGGAGGCTGAGGCAGGAGAATGGCATCAACCCAGGAGGCGGAGCTTGCAGTGAGCCCAGATCGTGCCACTGCACTCCAGCCTGGGTGACAGAGCGAGACTCCATCTCAAAAAAAAAAAAGAATAAATAAATAAATAAATAAATAAAGATCACTGATCACAGATCACCATAACAGATATAATAATAAAGTTTGAAATATTGCAAGAATTAAAAAAAATGTGATAGGGACATGAAGTGAGTATGTGCTTTTGGAAAAATGGTGCAAATAGATTTGCTTGCCTCAGGATTGCTACGAACCTTCCATTAGTAAAATATGTAATATCTGTGAAATGCCATAAAGAGATGCACAATAAGGCAAGCTATGCCTGCACAATACCCCTCCTAAATTATTAACATGGCCTTGGAGTTGCTCTCCTTGCCTCCGCTCCTTCCATTCCATCTTCTTCACGTCAGTCAGAATAAGCACTTAAAAAATAAAAATCACCTTCTGTCTCAAAATCCTGCAGTCTCTTCCTTGAAGGGGGCCAGCCCCTCCACACAGGTGGGTATTTCTTTTCAGGTGGAATGAGAGACTGAGAGAATAAATAAGACACAGAGAAAAAAGTATAGAGAAAGCACAGTGGGCCCAGGGGACCGGCGCTCAACATAGGGACTACCCGCACCGGCACCGGTCTCTGAATTCCCTCAGTATTTATTGATTACTACTTTTACTATCTCAGCAAGGGGAATGCGGCAGGAGAACAGGGTAATAGTGGGGAGAAGGTCAGCAAGAAAACATGTGAGCAAAGGAATCTGTCATAAATAAGTTTAAGGGAAGGTGCTATGTCTGGATGTGCACGTAGGCCAGATTTATGCTTCTCTCCACCCAAACGTCTTAGTGTAGCAAAAAGTAACAGAGCAGCATTGCCGCCAGCATATCTCACCTCCAGCCACAGGGTGGTTTTTCTCCTATCTCAGAATAGAACGAATGTATGATCGGGTTTTACAAGGAGACGTTCTGTTCCCAGGGACATGTAGGAGATGGAGGCCTTTCTCTTATCTCAACTGCAAGAGGCCTTTCTTTTTTACTAATCCTTCTCAGCACAGACCCTTTACAGGTGTCGGGCTGGGGGACGATCAGGTCTTTCCCTTCCCACGAGGCCACATCTCAGGCTGTCTCAGAGGGGAGAAACCTTGGACAATACCCAGGCTTTCTTGGGCAGAAGTCCCTGCAGCTTTCTGCAGTGCATTTTGCCCCTGGTTAATCGAGAATGGAGAATGGTGATGACTTTTACCAAGCATACTGCCTGTAAACATATTATTAACAAGGCATATCCTGCACAGCCCTAGATCCCTTAAACCTTGATTCTATACAACACATGTTTCTGTGAGTACAGGGTTGGGGCTAAAGTTACAGATTAACAGCATCTAAAGGCAAAACAGTTGTTCAGGGTAGAGATCAAAATGGAGTTTCTTATGTCTTCCTTTTCTACATAGACACAGTAACAGTCTGATCTCTCTTTCTTTTCCCCACACATCCCCCTTTTCTTTTTGACAAAACTGCCATCAACCCATAGTTGATTCCAATGGGTTGTATTCAAAAGGTGAAGAAAAGTTGAAAGCTCTAAGCTGTATTATCATTTGTAAAGAAAATTAAGCATAAATTATTGAGTCAATTATAAAATCAAATAAAATTTATAATAGAAATAGACCATAAAGCCAATAAAATTTAAACATTAATGAGATTCATAAAATTGTTTTGCTGAAACTTATTTTCCCATGTAGGGAAAAGAAAGCTCAGACCGTTATTGTGTCTATGTAGAAAAGGAAGACATAAGAAACTCCATTTTGAACTGTACTAAAAAAAATTGTTCTGCTTTGAGATGCTGTTAATCTGTAACTTAAGCCCCAACCCTGTGCTCACAGAAACATGTGCTGTATTGAATCAAGGTTTAAGGGATCTAGGGCTGTGCAAGTTATGCCTTGTTAATAATATGTTTGCAGGCAGTATGCCTGGTAAAAGTCATCACCATTCTCCATTCTCTACTAACCAGGGGCAAAACGCACTGCAGAAAGCCGCAGGGACCTCTGCCCAAGAAAGCCTGGGTATTGACCAAGGTTTCTGCCCACTGAGACAGCCTGAGATATGGCCTTGTGGGAAGGGAAAGACCTGACGGTCTCACAGCCCAACACCAGTAAAGGATCTGTGCTGAGGAGGATTAGTAAAAGAGAAAGGCTTCTTGCAGTTGAGATAAGAGGAAGGCCTCCGTCTCCTATGTGCCCCTGGGAACGGAATGTCTCATTGTAAAACCCAATCGTACATTAGTTCTATTCTGAGATAGGAGAAAACCGCCCTGTGGCTGGAGGCGAGATATACTGTGGCAATGCTACTCTGTTACTCTTTACTATACACTAAGATGTTTGGGTAGAGAGAAGCATAAATCTGGCCTATGTGCACATCCTGACATAGTACCTTCCCTTAAACTTATTTGTGTCACAGATTCCTTTGCTCATGTTTTCCTGCTGACCTTCTCCCCACTATCACCCTGTTCTCCTGCCGCATTCCCCTTGCTGAGATAGTGAAAATAGTAATCAATAAATACTGAGGGAATTCAGAGACCAGTGCTGGTGCGGGTCCTCCGTATGCTGAGCGCCGATCCCGTGGGCCCACTGTTCTTTCTCTGTACTTTTTCTCTGTGTCTTATTTCTTTTCTCAGTCTCTCGTGCCACCTGACAAGAAATACCCACAGGTGTGGAGGTGCTGGCTGCCTTCACTTCCTACTGCATGGAAAGAAAATTTCTGTTCCTTAGAAAGAAAATAGGGCTTTACGTGTACCCTGTCGCCTGCTGTTAAGTAGTTTCCTGTTGCTGTTGTAAGAAATAACCACACAGTTAGCGGCTTAAAACCAAACAATGTTTCAAATCTTGCAATTCTGGAGATTAGAAGTTTGGCATAAGCCCTACTTGACTCAAATCAAGGTATCCGCAGGGCTGCTTTCCTTCTGGAGGCTCTAGAGAAGAATTAGTGGGCTTGAAGTTTGTTCAGCTTCTAGAGGCTACCAACATCCCTTGATCCACAGTATAGTCTCTCTCTCTTTCTCTGTTTCTCTCTCTGCCTGTCTATCTCATCTACCTCCTTCTTTTACTTATAAGAATCTTTGTAGTTACTTTGGGCCCAGCCATATGCTCCTTAATTTAACCATGTTTACAAAATCTCTTGTGCCATATGTAGAAACATAATTACAGGTTCTGGAGATAAGGATGTGAGGATGTGGACATCTATTTTGGGGAAGGAGGCATTAACCTGCCTGCCACACCTGCCCACGTCTTGAGCTTCATCTCTTCCTTCTCCTCCTCTTATATCCTGTGCTCCAGCCATCCTGAACTACATGGGTCTTCCGGAAGACACTATACTCTTACACCCACCCTATGTCTCCACACTGGCTGTTCCATCTGCCTAGGACATCTCTTTCCTGAAATGAATACTTCCTACTTCTCCTTCAAGACCAAACTCGAGTACTATTCTCTCCCTGAATTCTTCCTGGTCATCCTCACATTCCACGTATGCAACACCCTCCTTTTGTTTACACAACTGTCTCTTCTATCCTCTTATTGTAATTACTACCCTATGTTATAACCATTTGTTCACTTGTCTTAGAGCACTTTGAGGTGGCAAACTCTGTCTCACTTATCTATATATCCCCCATGTCTAGGGTAGTCCTGGCGCATAAGAGACATTCAATACATTATTAATATATAGAAATGAATAAACAAATCTTATAACCAAGGTACAGTCTAGTCTGGTTGAATTAAGGTTTATTTGTTCATTCATTGACTTATATCAGGCATTTGGATTCAAATTGTGTTTATTGGACACCTAGAATTTCACTTCTCATGTTTTCCACTGAATTCTGCCTCACTTTTCAGCTTGGCAAGTATGATGCTTTCATGACCTCATGGACTCTTTACACAGCCTGTATTGTTCACATAAGCATCCTCATTTTTACACATAAAGAAATTGGAACACAAAATAGTTAAGAAACTAACCCTTGTTCACAAAGTGTTATCCTGAAGTATCTTGTGGTATAACCCATAGTTGATTCCAAAGGGTTGTATTCAAAGGGTGAAGAAAAGTTGAAAGCTCTAAGCTGTATTATCATTTGTAAAGAAAATTAAGCATAAATTATTGAGTCAATTATAAAATCAAACAAAATTTATAATAGAAATAGACCATAAAGCCAATAAAATTTAAACATTAATGAGATTCATAAAATTGTTTTGCTGAAATAAAAAATAAATGCCTGGTTGAAGCATTACATGGGCTGGGCATGGTGGCTTATGCCTGTAATCCCAGCACTTCAGGAGACCAAGGCAGGCAGATTGCTCGAACCCAGGAGTTCAAGACCAACCTGGACGACATGGCGAACCTCATCTCTACAAAAAAGAAAATAACAAAAAATTAGCTGGATGTGGTGGTGTATACCTGTACCTGTAGTTCCAGCTACCCTGGAGGCTGAGGTGGGAGGATCACCTGAGCCCAGGAGGTCAAGGCTGCAGTGAACAGTGATCACACCATGAGGCGCTCTAACCTGAGTGACAGAGGGAGACCCTGTCTCCAAAAAGAGGAAGGAAGGCAGGAAGGCAGGAAGACAGGCAGGAAGGCAGGCAGGAAGGCAGGCAGGAAGGCAGGAAGGCAGGAAGGAAGGCAGGCAGGCAGGCAGGCAGGCAGGCAGGCAGGCAGGAAGGAAGGAAGGAAGGAAGGAAGGAAGGAAGGAAGGAAAAGGAAGAAAGAAAGGAAAGAAAGAAAGGAAAGAAAAAGGAAGATTACATAAACATGGCAAAGACCTCTAATTGGGAGGTTGTTTATATTTTGACATTTTACTTCTTTTTGTCACATGGTTTTATTTCCTCACTACTTTTCTAACTCCTAATATTTAAAAAAGAATCACATACACGTTGATGTTACAACTCACCATGATATCAGTTTTGTTTTACTTGATCAGACATAAACACACCACTTACATATTGTCTTTCTTTTTTATTTTCTCTTTAACCTGAAAGAATTAAATTAATATGCTGGGTATTTTATGCCAGTAGATTCATAAACACAAACCTCTATCTTTGGTTAATAATGCATGACTATTCATGAATATAAAGTGATCCAGAATGCTTACATATTTTTTCATAATCATTCTAATAAATTTGAACATACATACACACATTTTCATATAGAATGTCAGAATGCTTACATATTTTTCATAATCATTCTAATAAATTTGCACATACACACACACATTTTCATATAGAATGTCAAGACTGTTGACAAAGTAGTCAAACCATAGTTACAAAAATGTGAAATTTGATTATATAAAATAAACATATTTTATGACTTAGATTTTCCAGGTGATAAGAACAATTAAAAAATTAATTGTGCTTTTTTAAACTTTTAGACTTAGGGGTAGGTATTTCATCATGTAACTATGTGATTCTCTTTTGATCTCTGGTTTGACTAATTGAAGATTTTTTTTTAAGATCAGCTTCTCATAATGAAACACAATGGAGAATCAAAACATGCAATTGAAATGCACATTTTATCTACCATGTGTCTATTTCCTGACCTATCAATTAAGACACCAGAAGGACCATTTTTCTATCAGTCCTTCAATATCATTCATTATCTTAATACATCATCATCCATTACTATGCATATAAAACAGAGACATTTTCTTGTTTAAAACTTTTCTGACGAATGTTCTACCTCTGCGATTATTTATTACCACTTAGGGCACACACATATTTATGAACAATATTTTATTTACTAAATCTGTCTATCTTTTTATTTGTAATTTTTAGACATCAATTTTATTCTTATACATTTTACTCAACCCTCTTTTATATAGGTCTATATTTTTTACTACTACTATACCCTTCACAGTCAAAGCTTTATTTTCTCTGCAATTAATTTTCATGCCATGTTAGATGAGTGTTTATCTCATTTTTCACTAAACTAAATTTCAAAATATGATTTAACAAATAATCATTTTAATTTGAAATGTGAACCACTCCTCGTCCATATATTAAAGTTTAAATAATTGATTGTCATTTTTCTACCACATTTTCTATCTCCTATATTGACACTACGGGATTGAAATTGTTTGAGGTTTACAGTAAATGTGCCATAAGACAGAATAAGCCTTTCACCTGTGGTCTTTTTAAAGGAAACTGTCTTGGATATTTTCCTATGTTTATTTTTTTTGGATATCCTTTACAGCCACTTTGCCACATAATACAACATCGCATTAAGATTGAGTTAAAGCTGTGTTTAAGTTATAAATTAATTTGGGAAAAATAAAAACTTTCACAAAAGTGACTGAGCCTCTCCAGGGAGATAGAATATTTATTTTTATAAATAAAAATAAATTTATTTTATATTTTTTGTTTCCGTTCACTTTTACATTTTTATTTGTTTTCAAATAGTGCATTTTCAAAGATAACACTGTGGTTTTTTATATTTCTGTCGTTGCTTATATGATAGAAAAAATTTTAATGATATCAAAGAAGAGTTGAGACACATTAGAAGCAGACATTAATCAATATGGCCAAGTTCATTCAAATCACTGCCTGAGGTTTTATCTACAGTGTGCCCACCTTCATTAGTGTAGTTTGTTTTCTGTGTTCACAGTCGAAATTAATAAACATGCACATTTCTAAGAATATTTAAAAATCTAGAACTTTCACTCCCTTCTGTAATTGAATCGCCACCCTCAGCCCCACTGTCCTTAACAGCTGACATTTCAATTACCCCAAGCTGCTTCTTCCCTGTGTAGAGCATTGACCCATTTGCAGTCGGTCCCAGAGCCCCAGGTTGCAACTGCTGGCTCTTCTACTGAATCCCATAAAAATTTGTCACTGGATTTTCCACAGCCACTGCTGTCACTGGTTTCTCTTCTGTCTGCCACTTAGTTGTTGACCATAGACTTTCCTTATGTTCCTTGGCAGGGGACCTGACAAGGCTTTGACAGTGATTCAGGATGACTTGGACCTTGGCAGTGGAGGGACCACAGCCAGGAAATGAGAAAGATGGTGATGATGCCTGTTGTCATTCTCCCCCAGCCTGACATGCCAACCAATGTCCACAATGTCCCCAGGACATCCCAGCCCTGTGCTGGGTGCTGCCATTTTTCCACAGGGTACCTGGTATCCTTACTAGAGACAGACTTTCCTACCTAATTTGTCTTCCCTCTTGATTGGGAACCAAACCTTTTGCTCCTCTGTGCAGATAGAGTGCTTTCTCCAGGCTCCTCTCAGGTGCAATCTTTTCTGCTTACCAGATGGTGGTTTTCACTCCATTGCTCTATAAGCTGCCATCTCAAATTCTTTCTCAGGCCTCTCCCAACATGTCCTTGGCTCAGTAGAATGCAAATTGTTGCTGATTAATATCCTGTGCCTATAAGTTGGTTAAAAAAAGTTCTACTCATTTCAAATATGCTTATCCATTCTTTAGAGCTGGTCTTTAACTGGACTAGGCAACCTTTGAAGAAGGAAGCTAGAATCATGGGTTGTCATATAAATATTCATTCACAACATTGTGGGTGCTTAGCCTTGAGGAGAAAAGGGTCATTATAGCTGTGACTTCTCCCACTCAGAATTGAAAAGACATTTAGATAATGTGGGGGAAATACTTCTTGGATGCTATCTCAAAACTTTGAATTTAGATGAAGAGATTCTAGCATTAAAAGTGATATTTCTTTTTATTTCATAGAATAAAGTTCTATCCCAAGGGATATCAAAATTTTAACTGGTCCCTTGGGAGGCAGCGAGCTTTCTGTCACCTTTGGTGTTCAATTAGAAAAGGGACAGCTACCATATGAGTCTTTGAGAAAGGCATTTGTTTGTAACATACCTATTTTACCCTTTAGAGCAATGATCACAATGTCAATCACCTTAGAAACATTACGGAAGAGTGTTAATAATTCCATCATTGAAGTCAGACAAATATGAATTCAAATTTAAGCTCTATCTGTCAAGTAATGTAGCCTTAGACAACATACACTTATTCTTCCATAACATTGAGGCTACGCAGGTGTCATTTTGCTCTCTTTTTGACATGTGCTAAACTAGTTTTTACTCCCTGCTAACTTGGAAGCAGAACTCATTCTCTTAGGGTTCCCTGAAATAATTCATCTGTACTGAAGCCGTGTTCTTGGTGGAAGAGGGTTCACATCATTTCACTCCCGCAGATAGCAAACAATTACAAAAAAAAAAAGGCAAACTTCCCCAGGCTTCCTTCTCACCCAGGCGTTTGCATGGACTGATTTGTTGTCTTTATTGTCCCCTTGTTTCCCATTCCACCTGCTACCCACGGACACTAATCTTATGAGCTCCCCTTTCTTTCCAGGTTCTAGCCCCACTCCCATCTTCAAATCTACCATTATGCAGAAGGTTGCAACTCTGTTTCAGCATAGCTCTCCAACTTAGGGTCTCAGACCCATCAGGCGCTCTTCAATCTAGGGGTTCTGGGACTTACAGAGGGTTCTTTCTTTGGAAGGCTTAAATTAGGAATCTTTTTTTGTGGTTTGACTTCTCCCTCAGAAAGCTCATAAATATTTCTCTTGAATAAGTAAAATATACTTTCACAAGAACGGTACTGGCCAATGAAATTTTCCCAATCTTTTATATATTTATTTATTTTTGAGACAGAGACTCGCCACTGCACTGTTGCTTGGGCTGGAGTGCAGTGGTGCAATCTCAGCTCACCGCAGCCTCCACCTCTCAGCTTCAAGCAATTCTCCTGCCTCAGCTCCTGAGTAGCTGGGGCTACAGGTGCACACCACTACCCCTGGCTAATTTTTGTATTTTTAGTAGAGATGGGGTCTCATCATGTTGGCCAGGCTGGTCTCGAACTCCTAACCTCAGGTGATCCACCTGCCTCTGCCTCACAAAGTGCTGGGATTACAGGCATGAACCATCACATCTGGCCCAAAACTTTAGTCAATAAGTGTTATATGCCTTGGTTGCATCATTTATAAAATGATTTATGATTGAATTATGTTAAATATGTGGCATCCATTGTAAATGTAGGAGCAAGAGATAAAAAAGGAGGATTAAAGCAATTGCAAATGCCCCAAAATTGTTTCCAAATAAATGACTGAATTGGTGAATGCCATAGGAAATTTCAAGTTCAATCAAGGTGCTATGGACTGAATTGTGTACCCACCAAATTTATATCATGAAGTCCTAACAACTTTTAATGTGATGGCATTTGGAAGTAGGGCCTTTGGAAGGTAATTAGGTTTAGATGAGGTCATGCAGTTGGGACCTTCATGATGAGATTAGTGTCTTTATAAGAAGGGAAAGAGAGACCAGAACTCTCTCTCCCTCTGCTACGTGAGGACAGAGTAAGAAGGCAGGTCCCTGATAGTCAGAAAGATGGCCCTCAACAGAACCTGACTATGCTGGCATCTTGATCTTGGACTTGCAGCCTCCAGAAATGTGACAGAAGAAATTTCTGTTATTTAAGCCACCCAGTATATGCTATTCTGTTATGGCAGTCTGAGCTGACATACATGAGGCATCCTAGGGACAGAGCTCCCAAACCCAACCAACATTCAATACCCTCTCACAGCTCAGGAGCGAGCTTGGCCTCACTTGAACTGGCTATTATCTATCTACTGTGCCTGCAGCTCCACAGTCGACTTTTTGCTATCATGCTGTATGCTCGGTGAGGCTAAGCTCTAATGAACAAAATCTTCTGGGTTCTTTAGCGTCTCACTTTTGTTTGGATTTGGCATTGGACAGCACTGGCGGGAGATCAGAAGACAGGATCAAAGACAGATGCGGTGTTTTGGGCTGTTTATTCCCTACTTTGGTGGCACAGCTGGGCAGAGGCTATCACTGTCCCCTATAGCTCCTTCCTGGGGGCCTCTCCTGTGCAGCTCCAGCTCTTTCTTGGATCCGATTACTCTATGTTCTCCCCCTGCCCCTTCACAGCTGGGGCGGAACCTACATCACAGGATTGCAAGTTCCTGTGTCTCTTCCCTTACCTCTGTATTTCCTTTCTTGTAGACTTTTCAGATGAACCATCTAAATGTAATTCTGTTTCCTGGATACAATGCTGGCCCTGACAGATACCTCACTCACAGTATATTATAAAAATATAAAGATTACTTGTTCCTGGATTCCAAATAGAGTGATAAGTTTGTTTAATAAAATATGAAGCATGACTGCATTAGAAAAATATATTATAAATAGGGGCTGTTTTAGCTTGAGATCCATAGACCTCAGCCTTAATGCTGAACATTTAGGGGTCACTTAAAGAACATTTAGGGGTCACTTTGTCCAAGTTTTCCTTCATCTTTTAAGGTCAGTTTTAGCATGCATATTCTGGTAGAAACAGAATGGTCTATGGTATCAGAAAGTTTTGGTTCAAATCCCAGCCCACATACTTAACTACTGATCTTGGGAAAATACTTAAACCATTCTTAGTCTCAGGTTTATCATCTTTAAAAGAAGTATAATATATGCAGACCAAAATCCCTTATCCAAAACCATATGCCCAGAAATGTTTCAGAATTTGGAATATTTTCAAATTCTAGAAGTTTAATATAATACAATGCCTGTTTCTAATATTGTGAAATGCCCTAAAAGGGTTATGGGCAGTACTCTGTAATTAAAATCATTACTGTTTTTGCAGGGATGCATGAATATTCATAAGAACAAAGTAAATGAAAACTGTAAATAGTGTCATACTATTTCTGGTCAGGTTTTCCAACAAAACGAGTTTTTACCTACCTTCTAGAGTTATTTTGCAATGACATTAATGCATTTCCAGCCAGTGGCGCAATGTTGGGGATATAGTATGTACTCAGCAAATGTCAGCTGCCGTTATCCCACCAGCATCATTACAGCAGTTACTATATGTTGCACGAGGACACAGAGCTTTCCCATACATTAAGCTTACTTTTAAGGGAAGGCACTCTCTGGTATATTGTCAAATTCTCCCAGGTTATCCATGAGGGTACGTAATCTCAGTGAGTAATATTTCCAATTTCCAAGTCTCCATAGTAAGTAGAGCTAGAATACGAGCTCAGATTTTCCATCTCAAACTCTGGGCTCTGTTTCTGTATTTATCCATTTGTTCAAATGAGGAACAACATGCATGGTATCTTCTCATGTATCTAGAGAGAAAAGCACACTGTAGGAATAGATCTGGAAGGAAACACAGTAAGCTGTGCATGGTGTGTGACTGGGTGTGGACAGAATCATGTGCCCCAGAAGACGCACCGTGGGACTGGGATGCACCAACACACTTGAAGTAGCTTGTGAGCTCTGGACGCTGGGGTAAATCCATTTGCAAATGTGCATTTATTTTCCTGTGGAAAGATGAGCTTACATCCATCACATATCCAAAAATACAGAGAGAAGTACAGACACACAAAATGCCTGGAAATGGGGCTTTTGTAGAAAGTGGGCATCCTGTTCCAGGAGGCTGAACCCCATGATATGCTCTCCCCAGGTGGATGGGACCGTGACAGTCCACAGCTGCCTCGGGACCCGATAATCAGATTCTCCTGGCAGAAGGACATTTCATTGCTAATTAGCATAAGGAGTTCTTCCAGGCTTCTAGGGCTGGGGCCTGGCAAATGATAAAAGGCTTGGGTCCTGAATGGTGCCCTTGGAGATGTTTAAATGGGTTTGAGAGGGAGCCTGTCACATCTGGTTGCTGTGATAATTGGATTATGAAACGGAGACAGGGAGAGAAGTCACCCAATGTTATCTGCAGAGGCTCTGCTGGAGGCCTGGAGTGGATAAATTGGCAGCAGAGGTGACCTCCAGAGGGTCACACACAAAGCAAGCTATAGAGCCAGAGTTAGGAGCATTAACTCACGGAATGTTTGGTGTCTATGGGGCCTTTTGAGGGTGTCTGGTACAATAGCTTCCAAACATCAGTCATTTCGGTGTGCTTTTTGAAAATGGAAGCTCCCAGGCTCTGCCCCTGTGAATTCCAGGTCAGCGGACTTAGCTTTGACCTGGAGGTGGGAGATGGGGGTCTGTATTTATATCATGCTCCTGGGTAATTCTGATACATGCACAGTTCCATAGTCACTGACCCAGGTCAACATCAACATTTTATTGATGGGAAAACTGAAGTATGGACATTTATTTGCCTCATATCAAATCATGATAGTGGCACCAAGCAAGTTATGTGTGTTGCACCTCACTTACTCTTCCTGGGCAGTCCTGCAATGGTGACTGTATTTGCTCAATTTGACAGATAAGGATACTGAGGCTCTGAGAGGACCAGGGACTTGTCCATGGTCACACAGCTAGTAAGTGATGAACATGAGAAGGCATCAGTGCCTCCCAGGACACCCACACCCAGGAGATAAACGGAAGGGCTTCTTCTCATGGCCCTTGATGTCAGCATGGTCTGGTCCGTGCCTAATCCTAACCTCATTTCGCAACTCTTTACCTCAATCATGATGCTCCAAAACATTGGTCTTCTTTCAGATGCTCAAAGAAAAGTGTAAAGCTCTGCTGATATCAGAGCCTTTGCACATGACATTCTGACCATGTACTCAGCTTTTTCCTAACTCCTTACATGATTTTCTTCTTTTCACCCATGCTATAAGCAGAGGAATCTTTGTGTCTGGCCGCACACACACATATAAATACATACACAAATAAATACACACATGTATATATACACATATGTAAATGCACACATACAGATATACACATATATACAAACACATAAAATACACACATATATACAAATACACCCATACATACACACTCAAACACGCACACAAGTACACAACATACAAATACACTCATGCATACAAATGCACACATATACAAATACATGCAAATATACACACATGTATAAAAATGCATGTGAATACACACACATATATACAAAAACACACACACACACTTAAGGTTCTTCAGTGGCCTCCCAGTGCTCATAGATAACAGTGATCTGGTTTGGCTCTGTCCCTACCCAAATCTCATCTTGAATTGTAGCTCCCGTAATCCCCACGTGTCATTAGAGGAACCCAGTGGGAGGTAATTTAATCATGGGAGCAGTTCCCCCGTGCTGTTCTCATGATAGTGAGTTCTTACAAGATCTGATGGTTTTATAAGAGGCTTTCCTCCACTTTTATTGGCACTTCTCCATCCTGCTGCCTTGTGAAGAAGTTGCCTTCCTTCCCCTTCTCTTTCTGCTATGATTATAAGTTTCCTGAGGCCTCCCTAGCTATGTGGAACTGTGAGCCAATTAAACCTCTTTCCTTTATAAACCACCCATTCTTGTGTATGTTCTTATTAGCAGCCTGAGAATGGAATCCTTCTTTTTTCTCTTGAGACAGGGTCTCGCTCTGTTGCCCAGGCTGGAGTACAGTGGTGCAATCTTGGCTCACTGTGTCCTCTACCTCCTGGGCTCAAGGGATCCTCCCATCTCAGCCTCCCGAGTAGCTGAGATTTCAGGTGTGCACAACCATGCCTGGCTAATTTTAGTACTTTTTGCAGAGGCAGGGTTTCACCATGTTACGGAGGCTGGTCTTGAATTCCTGAGCTCAAGCGACCCGCCCACCTAAGCTGGCATCATGCCTATAATCCCAAAGTGCTGGGATTATAGGCGTGAGCCACCGCGCCTGGCCTAACGGCTAGAATTCTTACCAAGACCTGGAGAGCCCTGCGGTCTGGCTCCCTAGCCCTCTCCAGACTCCCTTCACACACCAGGCTTTTCCTCACACCTTGGCCTTTAGATCCTGGACCCTCCCAGTGCTCTCTGCTGCCCCCTGCGGGGCCTTGGCTCGCCTATGCACTTTTGGCTTTGTTTACTTGGGGGATCGGAAATGAATGCTATTTCTATCCCTTTCAATTGAAACGCTATGATTTCACTTAAATCAATGATATGAATTCAATCAATGTTATTTCTACCCCTTTCAATGTCAATGGAAATGTCTTTCGATTGATTGATACCCAGCTGTGAGCATCACTTTTTGGGGGAAATCTTCCCTGAACTAATTGCACTAAACACCTTTCATAGATTTCCAATGAACCTTGACCATCACCATCGTAACCCTTATCATTTTAGTCTTCAATTTTTAAAACTGATTGTCTCTTTCTTCTACTAAAATACAATGCCAGGTTTTACTCATCATTAAATCCCAGAAAAGTACTTGGTACACAGTAAGTACTTGATGAGTACATTTGGGGGGTTAAATTAATGGGTCACCTAAGTACATACTTAAGTATCACTGCTGCAGAAAGGACTTCCCTGGATGCTTCCTAAGGTAGATTTCCCTATTATTTGTCTCAGTCATAGGAATAATGAAAAATTATAATTATTTAGCTAGCTTTTAACTATTTCTCCATAAGAATGGAAGTTGCGTGAGGGCAGGGGCGATGTTTGCCCTGTTCACTTCTAGAACAGGTCCTGGCATATATTCCGTGTTTGGGGTTCACTTGTTGGTAGGAACCAAAACTCCAGATTCTCAGTTCACAATTGTCTCCCCTCGACGCGTAACCTCCCACTGGTAGCACCCGGGCCCACTCCTCACACTATAATATTGGG